>NC_000008.11:29254041-29557072 GCF_000001405.40 Homo sapiens | reverse complement strand
ATTTCCACCCCCAAGAGCAACCATCCAGTGGATTTAATATATATCATTTTGCTTGGTTGTACCCCTATAAAATGTGGATATTTGCTTTATGTGTATGTATTTTTAAACTTCTACATGTCCCTACATGACACTTTGCTCCTGGTGAGTGAAATCTGCTCTTTCTAGGTCGTATACTAGGTACTAGGTTCTATATTTCTATTTTCCTGGTGAAGCTGGTGAGAGAATTCCTACCTCCAAGCCCCTTCCTCTCCACCACAGAAGATGTGTTCAAGCAGAGGAGATCTGCCAAAACCACACTTTTCATTAAGTGAAAGAGCACATATTATTCATCTATACAACAAAAGGAAGGGGGGCAAGATGGCAAAGTGATTAACAACACAAGCTCTCGAGTCAAACGTGCTTTAGTCTGAAGCCTGCTTTTCCACATTTATATAACTGCAGGCCAATTACTCAGCCTCCCAAAAATCTGCATTTCTTCATCTGTAAAATAAGGATAAGAGTAAATCATGAGGTAATGGTAAAGGTTAAATAAGACAGGCTTAGAAAAACAGGGGCTGGCACCGAGTACATTCTAAATGAATGACAACTGAATTTAGTAATAAATACTTATTGGAGTGCTCACAGATGCCAGGCCCTGCAGGTCTTGTGCAGGAGAGAGAGCTTAGAATGAAAGACAAAGAGGAAGTGAAGACCTTTAAAGGCATGTCTGGGAACCCAGAAAATTATACAATTAAAGTCTTCTAACTGTTAACCCTTTAAGTCCCAGGGATACAAGATTCCAGTGAAGATATTTACAAGTGTCATTATTGGTCATTTTCTACACTGGCACAAAACAATGAAAGGAAAAGAATAGTCTTCCGTGTGTGAAACTTCTGTTTTTAAGGTTAAAATCTATACTTGGAGGCATAGGTTTTGTGTTCACCTAGCTTTCCCACTTTCAAATGAGAGCCTCTCACACATGTAAATTGCCACCTGTCTGGTATTAACTTGGTCAAGAGTGTCGTACCAGGCTATCTCTATTCTGAGGCTTTCTATTCAAGGAAGCTTAGAGTTACAGAAAGCTGGCCAGAGCCTGGGGGTAGGGGAGTCCTTAGGGACCATCTGCCTTACCCTTCCTTTGCACATGAGGACTCTGAGTAGATTAAGCAGCTTCCGTCACCGGCAGTATTTTATGTAATATGCTCCAACAGACATTCAGCAATCATACAAATATGAATTCCTGTGAGTGATAATACTTAGAACATTCTGGTGTTGCCTCCAAGTTCATGGGCACCTGCATGCAGACAGCAGTGGAGGTCATGCACGACCTTGCCTTAGGACAAAGAAATACTCCATAATCATATCTGGTGTCCAGATATCTAGGAAAGAATGTGACCTAAACTTAACACATCATGTGTTCTTCAGCCCTAGAGCCTATCCCATCTCGCCATCGATTTAGCCTTTAAAGGGCACACCTTGAGGAAACAATGATCTCAGTCATTGCCCTTCAGCAATGTGAACTCTGGACTGTGTATCTAAAACAGATGGAGCCAGGTGCGTCAGAAAAGTGACGCCCAAAGCCACAGCGATCACGGCATGATTATGAAAACCACAACCTGTAACATTAGCTCAAAGAAGCAAGTTGAGTGCTTCCTCGAAGAAAAGTCTTTTGATGAGCCTAATGAGTCATATGAAATCAGGAAGTTATTCTTCCATTTATACTTTCCAAACTGGCTTAACTGTCTTTATTAACTGTTGTTAACACATGAAAAATGTTATTGATTGACTTTTAGCAGAATGATGAATTAAACTTAGCTTTTCTCATTGTTTCTCAATATAATACTGGTGTTGTTACCCTCTTTTAAATGTCTGATCAGCATCTACAGATATTCAACCCCTTAAGTGGGGATTAGAAAAGTCAATACACCCATAATTAATCCTAAACAGCTGATGTCCATCATTGGTGGACATTGGTCAATGAACTGTTGTCATAATTAATGTTAAATGTATAAGAGAGAATAATTTGGCTTTATACTGTTCATGTTAAGGCAGCTAGACAGAAAAAAATATATAAAATCTTCCAGAAAAATCTTGAAATAGATACATTTTAGAGTTTCATATGCCTTAGCATTCTACTTGTTTAAGATACTCATAGGGAGTTGTGAAAATGTGTCATATTTTGTTCTGATTAGTTTCAGGTTTTATAAATTTCTATGTATCAAATAAACTGAATTTATTAAGACATAATTAACCTATTTTCACATTTTAATCATTTAAGGCATATATAACTGTAATCAAAGCTTCAGATCAGGATGATATTCAATGTTATCAAACTGAATTAATTTAACTCTAATCAAAAGCAAAAATACCATGACATTCTGGTTAATTCATGCACTTTTATTTTGGGAAATGTGCAAAGTCTGTTGAACTTCTTGAAAAAATGAAAATTATTTAAAAATCTCTCTTGCTTCCTTTAAAGACCTCCTACGGTCCCAGGTCCCCCAGGGGATGAACCACTGAGTTAATGTTTCATAGAGGGCTCAGTAGTAGAATTCACACAGCCTTGAATTGGAGAAGGAGATCTGTCTTTTACTTCTGCCTTTGTCCCCCAAAACCTGCGTTTGTGACCAAGACACAAGTCCAATGCTTACCCTTCCAATGTTTCAATTTACCCATCTGAAAGTACGAAAAACTATGAGATAATTTAAGAAAAAAAAAAGGAAGAAAAGAAAAAGCAAAGAAAAGAAAAGAAAGAAAGAAAGAAAGAAAGAAAGAAAGAAAGAAAGAAAGAGAGAGAAAGAAAGAAAAGAAAGAAAGAAAGAAAAAGAAGGGGAGGGAGGGAGGGAGGGAAAATTTTGCACCTCAGGGCTTAACAACAATTCTACAGGAAGAAAACAATTTGGGTGTTCTGAGCTCAGAGAACACCTTAGGATGTTGCTCGTTCACATCTACTGAGCACCAGATAAATTCAACCTTTTTGAGAATTTAAAGAATTCCAAAAATTCAACTAGACTAGATTAGTTCCATATCAAGCTATTTGAATTCAATAATCTTCAGAAAAAACGATTACAATTCCAGAGAGAGAAATTGTTTTGAATTCTGGACCAGGGAACAAAGCCAAAAGTTTTGACTTGAGCCCTAAAGAGTTTCCAACTGTATTTCAATTGGAAATAAAAATGTGCTTAATTATGTCCACATCTACTTCTTTTGTAGTTTATATAATAGCTGTTTGGGGTGACTTTCCTTAGGAAACAGAGCTTGTGCCTTGATAGCTAATGAAAGGGATGCTTTAAAAAGTGTACTCACATAGACAATAGTCCCCTCTGACTTTAGACTTTTCTAAAAGTCCCTCTCTGAGTTGAATCCCAAGCTACACGTGTGCATTCTTATGCAAATAAACCAAATATCCAAACCAGGTGCACAAAACAAGAAATTCCAACACAGAAATAAAAACCTTATTTACTCACAGAATTGCAACAGTCTCAGTATTAACTGCTCTAACCTCATGAACAATCAGGTGCTGAGGGAATCAGGTGCTGGGGACTCATGGCTCATGAACTTCAGCCTGAGGAGACCATGATGATCCTAACAAGATGAGATGCCCCAAGGGACCACAATTCTGACCTTTGTCTCCACAGTCCATTGGCCGACCATCTTCTCTAGAAGAGTCCATCTTGCAAAGAAGTGCTCTTTGTTTCTCTGATGTTCTCATTGGAATCAAAAGAAAAGAAAACCTACAGACATGGTCTGTACCATGCTGCCATGGGTGACCCCCTGGTTTGCAGCCAACTGATAATCCAAAACAGTTGAGATGATGAATGTTTTAGAACACTGGTTTAAAGAAAGGCTCTTATTTTGGCCAACATGAGGCTGAAAAAAACCTAGCCAATGCCATTTTGAGACCAAATGGAAGAGCAGCAGGAATTCTGTCTGATTTAGAATGTTGTATGACACAATCTTTCATTACCTCCCACTTTGCTTACATGTTATTTATGCTTACTGAAATAATTTTTAGAGGTGAATATACTAACCATGACTATTGTCATTTATACCACAGAACCTTGAAAAAGCTCAGAAATTAGTGGTACCAGGTTACTTTGGAAGCAGAGTTAATGGTAAATAGAGTTATTTAAAAGGTTGTTGACAAGCTGTTAGGAGTTCACCTCTAATAGAATAAACTCCCACTGGACCTCTCTGCCTCAAATAATAATAATAAACTTTGAACAACTTTTTAAAAAAAATCCGAAAACACTGCAGAGTGAACAAAAGCAGGTAGATTCTGGAGGGGAGTTGCCATTTGGAATAAGGGAATGGCACAAGGTAGCAGAGTAATTTTCCCTTTTCTTCCTATTTCTTGGACCTAGGAAAGGTGGCCAGGTGGCATTGCTAAAACTCCAATAGAAAATCTGCAGTCTTTCTGGTCTGAAGAACCAGAGAAAAGAGTTCAGGGCCACTATAGCCACAACCACAGGGGAAATAAAGGGGTAATATTGGAAAGGAGGGGCCAAAGAAGGGGAGCCACAAATTAAGTGTGTAAATTCTGAGCTACTCCCTAGCTACACATGCACAGGGCAAACTGCACACATATCAGCTAAATATGCAGGAACTACAAGGAGATCTGAACTATCACCAAAAATCAGAGTTTTTAGCTTGAATCAAACCAAAGCAATTGCCTATTAAAATAAATAAATTCAACAACAACTCTCTCCCAGATTGTCCACAACATAACATTCACAACACCCAGAATACAATCCAAAATTATTCCATATATGAAGTAACAGGAAAATGCAACTCATTCTCAGGTGAAAAGATAATTAACAGAAATTGACCTTGAGATGACCCAGATGTTTGAAGTAGCAAACAAGGATTTTATGGGAGCTATTATAACTGTGCACAATGATGCAAAAGATAATATTCTTATAATGAATGAAAAGATAGGGAATCTTAGAAAAGATATAGAAACATAAGAAAAATTCTAGAACTGAGCAGTATAATATCTGAAATAAAATATTTACTAGGTAGAAGAGTAGGAAGGAGATAACAAAGGAAAGTGTCAGTAAACAAGAAAACAAATCAAGAGAAATTATGCAATTTCAAGCATAGAAAGGCAATTAAAACAATAGATCCTTTCCCTTACTCAACTTAACCAGATGACTTTCCCTCCTCCACCCCAGCAGAACACTAAAGGCTTAACATTCTCTAAAGGAGGTAAAACAGAGTCTCTGAACTTAGTGACCAAGGATAGTTGAAGATGGTAGTACAATAATAGAAACAGAAAAATTAAGTAGAAATTGACATACTAAATAGAGACAACACTCACTCCCATGCTTGCTCTTTTTCTCAAAATGTTAGCAGTAGGCTTATGCCCTCCAAGCAAGATATTAAAATATTCTACTTTGAGGAATCTTACCAACCCAGGAGAAAAGACCCAATGATATTGACAGCCAAGGTTATATTCTCCAGCCAAGTAATCCAACCATTTCCTATCTAGGAGAATATATGCCTGGTTGATTGCTTTCCAGGAACAAGATGGAGAAAGAAAACCGGGACTTGCATCATTCAGTGTGCGAACTTCCATAAAATACTTCCGCTTGTTAGCCCTAAACCTCTGTTCCCCTCTGTGCTGTCCCATCTGTGAATATTTATCCCCACCAAGTAGATGAATTGGATATTTAAGGAGCAAGAGTCAGAAGAAGGCTAACTTGTATCTACATTCTCATTAGTAATTTTGAATTTTGTACCAAAAGCATACATTATTCATTCAAAAAATAAAGCATTAATTTCCAGTGCTCAGTAAAGGGAATGACAGATAAATTTGAGGAAATAGCCCACAAAGGCCAGAAAATACAAAGAGAAGAAAAGTTGAAGAATAAACATGAGAAATGTGAAGAATCAATTCAAGAAATCTGACGAACAACTAATAGTAGTTCTGAGAAAAGAATAAAGAAAACAAAGAGAGGACATTGTCAGAGAAATAATAGAAAACTTCTCAGAACAAAATAATATGAGTCTCTGGATTGAAAGTAACCACAAAGTGCTCAGCATAATAAATGAATAAACAAAGATCCAAACTGAAGTATGACAGCCATTTAAAAAAGAAGATACTAAAAGCACTTAGAACAAAACAATCACATGGAAAAGAAATGAAATTGGAAATATATCAGAATGCTCTACGGCAACACAGGAAGCCAGGAGACACTGAACCAATGCTAACTTCAACATTCTGAGGGAAGTTATGGATGTACCTGGAATTCCATTACCAGCTAAATTATCAATCAAGTATGAGAATAAAGATATCTTCAAATATACAAGGAGTCTGGAATATTTCCTCTAATGTACCTTTTCTTAATAAGCTTCTAGAGGATGTGCTCCAGAAAAATAAGGGAGTAAAATAAGATGAGGATGCAGGACACAGAACAGGTGCAAGGAAAATCCAGGAGGAAACTGGGGAGTAGGACTATGGTAGCAGTAAGTACAGACTGGACTAGAAGGATAAATGGCTCAGGGGCAGTTGTCTTCGAAGCACAATGGGATTGATCAATTATCAAGAATATTTGACCATTTGAAGGCAAAATGGAAGGTGTTGGATAGACCTCAGCAATCATGAGTGTGGTGGAGAATTAAATAAATTTTAGTAAATTTTTAAAAAATAATTATTATCTCCAATAAAAACAAAAATTTCTAAAGCAAAATGTAATTATAGCACACCACTTGGTTTAGAAGTGAACAATACATATATAACCATAATAAAGTAAATGCCAAATCTGATTTAACCATAAATTTGATGGAACCTCATTGCACTGGTAGAATCAGAGAAATGGGATAGGAAGTGCACAAAAGCTCAACTCGACTGCTATAATACATGTAGATAGATAATGTCTAAAACTGATAAATCAAGAAATAACCATTTATACTTATTATTTAGAACCCAGGAACTAAAAACCAGAATAACCAGCTAAAAGAATGGATTGGAAGTAACTGCCTCTGGACAGCAAGATCACAGATTCGTTGTGAACATGGAGACTGTTATTATTCATTATTACTCTTTAAATACAATTTGACTTTTAACCAGGTTATGTATAACTTTGATAAATATAAAAGTAGTTTAAAATAAATAAGTACAATAAAGTAAAGGCTGAATTATTCTAAAGAATGATTCTGAGAGGGGTAATAATTATGATGGCTAAGACTTAAGTCATGTTCACTATCTGCCCAAGCTTTCCTTAGCATTTAATATATATTAAATCATTTAATTCTCATAACATTACATGAGGTCTCCATTTTGCAGACAATGAAACTGAGGCAGAGTAAAGTTAAGTAACTCATCCAAGATTCATGCAACTTTTAAATGGTCTAGTCAGGAATTGGACTGAGACAGAAGGTTCCAGAATCTGGGCAATTTACTACCCATTGCCCTTTTAGGAAAAAATGTCTTCCAACTCCCCTCTCCCTTCCTTCTATGTGCTATTTAGGTTCAGTGATTCTAGTTCACACAAAATATACTAAAGTAAACAATGTTTTAAAACATTCAAAAATACTTTGCAAGACTTTTTTTAAACAAACGTTTTTATTACTATAAGTTGTATAAATTGTAAAATGATGATTACCCATTGTATAAGATTGATTTTAAAAGTCAGAAAAATATAAAGAACAGATTACCCTCTTCCTCAAAGGCTCAAATTCAGTGCATCTCTGGAATTGGGCAGAGAGATGTGAAGACTACTCAAAGACCCTGGATTTTTAGAGCTTCTGTTGTATTGAAACTCTTAAAGTTTGAAGCTATTTAAAACTCGAAGCATTTCCATCAGAACAAGGTCCCAATTTCATATCATCATCCTTTCCGTGTCTGAAAGTATCATTTCCCTAAGTATGGGCAGCAGAACTATCATACTAATCATTTTGCAGGAAGAGTAAGTACTACTATCATGACTGTCTCAATTATTATAATTATTATCTTCTCTAAACTACCTGATCAGGTAATCCCAGGCAAGCTGGTGGTGGTACCCCAAGGGATAAGTTTGAAAATAGATGCCCAGGGCCCTTAGGTTGGCATATGCTAGATTAGTTTGTCAGAAGCCATGACATTTTTTCAGAATCCATGTATATGACAAGGTTCTCTTTGTCTCTTAGGTCCTCTGCCAATACTTCAGTCTCAGTTCTGAGCCTAAATTCTGAGAAGACTCTTGAATTACCATAGTTGGATTCTTTCACTGTATTCTGTGTGGCAAGAAGCTTCAGACAAAAACACTCTGGCTGGGCGCAGTGGCTCACGCCTGTAATCCCAGCACTGTGCGAGGCAGGCAGATCGCTTGAGGTCAGGAGTTGGAGACCAACCTGGCCAACATGGTGAAACTCTGTCTCTACCAAAAATAACAAAAATTAGCTGGGTGTGTTGACTCACGCCTGTAGTACTAGCTACTCAGGAGGCTGAGGCATGAGAATTGCTTGAACCCAGGAGGCAAAGGCTGCAGTGAACCGAGATTGCACCACTGCATTCCAGCTTGGGAGACAGAGCGAGACTCCATCTCAAAAGAGAAAAGAAAAGACCCTAATGCTCATTTATTGAACACTGTGCTCACACATAAATCCATTTATTGCTTACAATAGGCATTCAGGTTAGTCGTATTATCCTTATTTTAGAGATAAGAAGACTGAGGTTTAGAAAGGTAAAGTCACTTGCCTAAAATTACACAGTGGGATC
Source organism: Homo sapiens (assembly GCF_000001405.40). NCBI lineage: Eukaryota > Metazoa > Chordata > Mammalia > Primates > Hominidae > Homo > Homo sapiens. The sequence continues at coordinate 29,548,392 of NC_000008.11, read as the reverse complement.
CCAATCCGGTTGTGTGAATTTCAGCCAGTAGTGTGATTCAAATCCAGTTGTATTAACAGGTTTCTCCATTATCCAGATCATTCTTGGTTTCCCTTGTCTGCAAGAATAAAGCTACAATATACTTAGATGATTCAGACCCATGGAATATTTTTTAAAGGTCAGATGTCTTTTCTTCACAAGCAGGTGCAAGAGCCTTAATGAGAAATCATTACTTTTAAGAATGGTTTGAGATATATTTAGAAGAAGAGAAATGTCTTTCACTAAAATCACATATGCTAAAAGGTCAGTCTAACATTATGAGCATTGTCTTGGGGGATTTTTGGAGAAGAGGGAAAATATGGTGTTTAAATCATTTAAGTGACCTCTTAAGTTTCCCTTATTTTTAACATAATTCCTTAGTAAGCTGATGGCACTTCCAGCTTTGAAGGGTTTTTGCGTATATTTGATGTTCTGCTACTTCCCCTTCCTTTGAGAGAAATATTGGTTATCTTCCAAAGAGCTCTGGAAACATTTTACAGGTCTATGCATCTCTGGGGGAAAATGGCTTCTTACATAAAATATTGTTTTAAGCATTTGAAGCTGGCTTTGTTAATCTTCCATTTCTTAAAAACTGGGACATCACAGTGACATTATAAGAGAGCAGTTGTCTATAATTTGCATGGCTAAATTTGGTTTCTAGATTGTCAAATATGCAAGTGTATTGTTGGGAATAATAGTTAATAATAGTTTCCAAGCAAGTCGGAAATAGAGCCACTATCATTTAAAGGCTGAAGCCAAAATGCAACTGCCTCTCCAGCAAGATAATGAATTAATGAGGGAGACCTCTTTCAAACCAACAAACACCATCATTCAGAGATATCTAGGTGCCCACTACCTTGAACATCAAGTTGCTAACCCATAACAATGTGATCACTAAGAATAGCCCCATTACCACCTCTTCAGCAAGGTCATGAGTTAAACAGCTGGCTCTTGAATCTGTGCTCTGCTGGAAATGATGACTACAATAAGAATAAGGCCCTGGGTTTATAGAGCTTTCCTGAGAACAAGAACAAGCTATTGGATTATGGAAGGGAGTGACTTTAAGACTCTGAGATTCTAAGGCACCTGCAATAGCTCCTTTAATGCACTCCCAAGAAAACTCTTAAATTTCCCCAGCATGGATTTTGCACTGGATAGTCTCCATCTGTCCTGCCAGAACCACTCTCTGTCCATTTCCTTTCTGCACTGTGCTGCAGCCAGGAAGCTGACCTCTAACGACTGCAACCACACAGCTCCAGTGACCTCTGTCTTCCAGGGCACCAGGCGTGTGATCAGAGGGCATTGAGAGAGTGAGGATGGAATATTGATACCTCTGATGCAGCAATAGCAGTGCTTCTGTACCTACAGCTCACCACACCTCAGCTACCGCTCCCTACCCCTTGGCACTCGGTGCCAGTGGCTTCCTGCTGCTGCTGATCCTGAGGCTTCCGCATCCCTTATTGCTTTTCTCTAAACCGGCTCTACCTTTGTCAACGGCCCCTCCATGGAACTCTTGATCACCCCTTTTGAGTGTGTCATTTGTTTTCTATGGGACTCCAGTTGATACAATAGTCCTCATTCTCCTCCCTTGCAGCAAACTGATGTTGGCTCCTGCATATGGAGATTGCAGCTTTTGGGGAAGACAGAGGTTGGTAAGATGTTAACTATCCAGGATGCTTAAGACATAGTCCCAGCCCAGCTATTAGCTCTTTGTGTGAACTGGAGAAAGACATCAAAACCTCAGTGTCTGGCTTTTACAGATCAGATTCCCAACTACACATGCGGGAATCTAATCCTCTTCCCGCCAATCAAGCCCTTTGCAGAACCATGCTGCCCTCACAGCCACTACACACAGTTTCTACTTAATGCTTCACTTCTCCGGCAACATGATACAGTCTTTGCCAGTAGACGCTGCTTATTTTGTCTCTACCAACATGCAGAGCACAATTCTTAGGCCACAGTAACTTCTCGGTCCTTGTTAACTTGGGAATAACTCAATAGACATAAATTTATATCAGCAGTAAAATACACGTATCCATGTATTTTGTAACCATTTGCCTTCATGTTCTACACTGCTATTGTTTTTTTCCTAAGGCCTTTGGAAATAAATAAAATGTAATATATAGCACATCCTGATATACAGATATATGTGTGTGTATCTGTATCTATTTATCTATCTATCTACTTATCTGTCTATCAATTGTTAATATTATCTAGGGGCAGGGGACAGAGAGTAGGGCCATGAAATAGAAAGGATGGGCTCTATAGCAATATAGCTCTGGGTTTCAACTCCAGCTCATGCCACTTACTGAGTCACCTTGGGCAAGTTGCTTAGGCTCTCAGATCCTATTTCCTCTTCTGTAAAAATGGTGATAATCTCATCTCTGTGGCAGGTTATTGTTGAGGATTAAATTCTTTGTTTTATATAAAGTATCTGACCCATAGAGGTGCTTAATTAGAGTTCATTTCCTTCTTCCCAGAATTATGGCTTATAAACAATGGAGATCCTGAAATTCCATGTAAGTCTTGTTTCTTTTTCCAAGAGTCCCTTGGTTCTTTGAGTCAAACAGCCCTGAACCAGAACCTCTGACACCAGAAGCTTTGCAGACTGACAAAATAAACTTTCTACTGCTGAGAACTTCAAATTAATCTTATCAAAGTCCCTTGAGGTCCAATGATTAATTGTCAGAAATGTAAGTGATTAATAAGACTTAGGAGTAGCAAAGACATACATTTATTACCTAGTTCCTGGATTCTTAAGAAACAAAAGCAGACTCAGCTGGTCACGGTGGCTCATGTCTGTAATCCCAGCACTTTGGGAGGCTGAGGCGAGCAGATCTCTTGACACTAGGAGAACAGCCTGGGAAACATGGTGAAACTCTGTCTCTACAAAAAATAGCCGGACATGGTGGCACACCCCTGTAGTCCCAGCTACTTGGGAGGCTGAAGTAGGAGCATTGCTTAAGACCAGGAATTTAAGACTGCAGAGAGCTATGATCATACCACTGCACTCTAGCATGGGCAACAGAGTGAGACCCTGTCTCGGAAAAAAAAAAAAGAGAAGAGAAGAAAAGAAAAGAAAGAAACTAAAGGAGCCTCTAGGAAGGAACCATGAGGTTGTGATCAGCTTAATGTTAGATATCTTCAACCCAACTCATCAATCTGCTCACCTTTACAAGCTAATAAGAAAATATAGAGGCCAGAGGAAACTTTATTTATAGACAGGATCTCACTCTGTCGCCCAGGCTGGAGTGCAGGGGCATGATCAGGGCTCACTGCAGTCTCAACATCCTGGGCTCAGGAGATCCCCCTGCCTCAGCCTCTTGAGTAGCTGGGACTACAGACATACACCACCTAATTTTTGTATTTTTTTGTGGAGATGGAGTTTTGCCATGTTGTCCAGGCTGGTCTTGAACTCATGGGCTCAAGTGATCCTCCCACCTCAGACTCTCAAAGTGCTGGGATTACAAGCATAAGCCATCACACCTGGCCTAAGAGGAAACTTTTGAAGGTGATGATTATTTTCATTATTTCAATTATGGTGATGGTTCATGGGTGTGTATATATTCCAGTTTACTATTATATATCAATTGGACCTCAATAAAGCTGTTTTTAATAGTCATACAAGAAAAATAAATTTAAAAAAAGGAAAAAATTCACTGGCCTATGCATTATGTTTTGTATATTTTACTGTATATGTTATAGCTCAATAAAGTACAAATAAATATAGTAACATGTCAAGCAGTGAATATAATATGCTACCTTGTGTGTAAGAAATAGAGGGTATAAGAATACAGATTTGTATGTGTTGGTATCTGCATAAGAGTTTTATTTCTAAAAATAAATAAGGATCAAATGACAATTATCACTTTTGGTCCAGGGAGAAGAAGATAAGGATGGAGGCAGGACTGAAGCTTCTCAATGCATATCTCGTCATAGCATCCTGTTCCTTGTATCCTGTGAAAACAGAAAGTAAATAAAGAATTTTAAAAGGAAGATGAGTAACCAAGTGACTGGAGTGGGAGGTTGGGGGATTCATACAGAAAAAAGAAAAGGTCAGATGGGCATTTTCTAAAATCAGAAATACTTTGAAAGCACAAACAAGAAAAGCCCACATCGGAAGGTTCTGTGATGCTGAGTGACAGCGCCATCAGGATTTGAGGGCATAGAGTAGACGTGACCTGCAATCTGCTTGCCACACGATCTATCTACTGCCCAGGAGTAGAAACATTTTGTTATACTCATAACAGATTTGCCAGGTATATTTAAAATTAAACAAACCCAAAGCACCATATTATGTACTTCAGTTATGAAACCAAATCAACCAACCAGGACATACCTATTAAGTGACCTCTACATGTTAAACATACCTGCAGCAGCGCTGCCAGGGACCCAAAGAAGGGGACTTGCAAGACGAGGCTCATTCCCCTGGGGAGATCAGGTCAGCTCAGGTGAAATGGCAGGGGACAGTTCTTGACAGTTGTCAGCTGCAGAATGAGGAGGTGCAAGTTCAAAGGGGCCAGCCAGAGAAGGCTTCAGTGACTCAATTTCTAGATATTAATTTTTTGGTCTGCACTGTTAGGCCCCACAATGGAAGGAAAAAATATGGGTTCAGCTTCTCATCAGCCAGAAAGGGATCCCACACAGCCCACACATTGCTCGGCTTTTCCCCTTGCCCATCTTTGAGTCAGTGCCGGGTAAGCCCTTCTAAGAGGCTTTCCTCCTTGGTTCCCCTCCCTCATCTCTCTTCTAGGCCCCTCTGCATAGGTCCTGGCTTTATCCTGCCTCAGCTGCCTGGGCTCTGCTATGAATTAGTTTCCTAGGACTGTTGTAAGGAAGTATCACTAACCAGGTGGCTTAAAACAACAGATATCTATTCTCCCATCCTTCTGGAGGCTGGACGTGCAGAATCAAGGTGTCTGCAGGGCCACACTCCCTCCAAACCTCTAGGGGAAGACCTCTCCTTCCCTCTTCCAGCTTCTGGTGGACAGAGCATCCTTGGCTTGTGGCAACATCACTCCAATGTCTGCCCTGTCACAAGTGTTCTCTGTGTGTGGCTGTGTCTCTTCTCTTCCTGTAAGTGTAACTGCCCAGTGGGTTCCCCTTGCCTGCTGCCTAGAGAGAACCGATTTATCAAGACAGCGGAATTGCAATGGAGAAAGAGTAATTCACACAGAGCCACCTGTGCAAGAGACCAGAGTTTTATTATTACTCAAATCTGTCTCCCCGAGCATTCGGGGATCTGAGTTTTTAAAGATAATTTGGCAGGTAGGGTCTTGGGAAGTGGGGAGGCTGATTGGTCAAGTTGGAGATGGAATCATAGGGGGTCGAAGTTAGGTTTTCCTAATGTCTTGTGTTCCTGGGTGCAATGGCAGAGCTGGTTGGGCAGAACTGGTTGGGTCTGGGTGGTGTCAGCTGCTCCATCAAGTGCAAGGTCTGCAAAATATCTCAAGCTCTGATCTGAGATTTTACAATAGTGATGTTACCTATTGCGGGATCTGGCCAGCAGCCCGCAATGCAATAGGGCTCTCTCTTTGTTCCCAGGCAGGTCGGCAGGTTGAGAAATAATAGACACACACAAGATAGTGAAAGCTGGGTCCGGGGGGGTCACCGCCTTCTGGTCCTGTGGTGCCAACAATGCACTGGATATACCAGCACTTATTAAATTTAGTGAGGGCAGGGGTAGGTTAGTGATGGATTTAGGGTCATTTGATTATGAGGTGAGATGGTCACATGGGGATGAAGTAATTCTTTAACATAACATTTGTATGTAGAAGTACAGTACATTTGTATGTAGAAGTACAGTATACAGAGATAAGAATTTACAATATAGTGTGTGCATCAGTAATTTTTAACAGAGCCTTAAAACCGAAACACAATCTTTCCATAACCTATGATTAGCAAGATATTAATCAGCAGTAACAATTGCCACACAAGCTGGTTACGAACAATCCATGGAAACAGGACGTGAAGCTAGACAACCGGTTAGACCAGAAATTCTCAGAAGGGAGTATGCCTTAACCCTAAAGAGGCCTAGAAGAGCCATGGCAAGATGAGGGCGTTTATAGCCCTATCGTATCCATATGGACAGGTGCCACCCCTCCCCAACGCACCCATTTATAGGCTCTCCACAAGGGTTGCATTCCATTCCCAGAGCTATGAACATCTGCTTTTCTGGGATAGGAATCTTGGTGATGTGAAACCTCCCTGACTGCACATCCATTCATAGGCTCTCTGCGGGGGGAAGCACATCACGCGCTGTTGGCTCTTTCTGGCAGTCCAAACTGGCATTGTCTTTACACAATCCTGCATGTAATTTTGTATTTACAATAACCAGGAGCATTTCATCTTTTACTCCGTAGCAATAGTTTCAGGGGGACTCCCTACAGTTACCCCCAGGAGCAATTTGGGGAGGTTCAGACTCTTGAAGCCAGTGGCTAATTTCTAATCTTATAGCTAATTTGTTAGTCCTGCAAAAGCAGATTGGACCCCAGACAAGAAAGGGGTCTTTTCAGGAAAGGGCTATTATCGATTTTGTTTCAGAGTCAAACAATGAACTGAATTCCTTCCCAAAGTTTGACCTACGCCCAGGAAAGAACAAGGACAGCTTAAGGGTCAGAGAAGCAAGACAGAGTCGGTTAGGGCTGACTTCTTTCACTGTCATAATTTCCTCAGTTATAATTTTGCAAAGGCAGTTTCTTAAGGGCACTAGTTATACTGGATTAAGGGTCCACCCTATTCCAGTATCTCCTCTTAACTTCCATCTTAATTACTTCAGCAAAGACTGTACTTCCAAACAAGGCCACATTCATAGGTACCAGGCGTTACCACTTCAATATGTCTTTTTGGGGGACACAATTCAACTCACAACACCCTGGATACCTATATTCTACTGAGAGGGACCCCACCATACATCAGGTCTATTCTGTCATTTAAATAGAATCCCAAGGCAAAACTTCCCAAGGGTGATTCTGTTAAAAGCCTCCTTCCCTGCTGTGGGGCGGGATGGAGATAAACAAAGGGGTAAAGAGGATGGAAAACCCACCTCCTTCCATGTTGGGGAGGATGAGTACAGGCAGGAGAGAAGGACAGAGAAGCCAGCCCTGCCAAAGTGCATGTTCTGCGTTGATGCTACCTGCTCATCTGCTGGTTAAATCTCCTCTAAAGTGATGCTGACTTTAAGCCTGTAATGGAAAGGAGGGTAGAACCTGCTCTACCACTGCCTCTGAGAAGTCATTTAACCTTTCTGATCTCTGGTTTCCTTGCCTGTAAAATGAAGGGGTTTAACTATATTACCCGGGGTGTGGTGGGGGGGTTAGCTTGAAAATGTCCCCAGTTTTATGGTGACATTTGGGGGTTTCCTGCTCTCACGGACTCTGGGTTAATCAGAGGCAACTGACTGAGGATGTGGCAGACGTCCCAGGCAGGGGTCTCTGGATGGAGACGCTGCCTCACAGCAGTCCCTGGCCCCTCTGCTGCCGGCACTCAACAGTACCTGGGCTGGTAGACCAGAAGACTGAATTGGTGGCACGGAGAGGGTGGCTGTGGAAGCTGGTTACACAGAACACAGCCCTGGCTCCCTTGGCTTCTTGGCTCTGGGAGGGAGCTGAAGCTCCAGTTAGGGAGTCATGTGGGTTCCTGCAATTCTCATTTTTCTACCAGTCACTTTCCTTGCCTGCTGGCACCTCCCTTCAGAGCAGAGAAAGGGACATTGAAAATGACCAGTTAGGGCAGAGCACGGTGGCTCATGCCTGTAATCCCAGCACTTTGGGAGGCCAAGGGGAGGCAAATCACTTGAGGTCAGGAGTTTGAGATCAGCCTGGCCAACATGGTGAAACCCCGTCTCTACTAAAAATACAAAAAGTTAGCCAGGCCTGGTGGTGTGTTCATGTAATCCCAGCTACTCAGGAGGCTGAGGCAGGAGAATTGCTTGAACCCAGGAGGCGGAAGTGGCAGTGAGCCGAGATGAAACAACTGCCCTCCAGCCTGGGAGATAGAGTAAGACTCTGGAAAAAAAAAGAAAGAAAGAAGGAAGGAAGGAAGGAAGGAAAAAGAAATAAAGAAAGAAAAGAAAGGAAGGAAGGAAGGAAGGAAGAAAGAAAGAAAGAAAGAAAGAAAGAAAGAAAGAAAGAAAGAAAGAAAGAAAGAAAGAAAGCAAGCAAGCAAGCAGGCAAGCGAGACTTACTACCTATTACCATTTGATTAGAAGGACTTTCACAAGGCCTTAGATTTCCTAAACTTGACCTCTCCACATCCCCACCTGCTTGGGTGATGTTTCCCATTCAGTCCCACTGCCCTGTCCTTCTGGAGGGCCCCTCTGCATTTTCCCAAGGCTCTCCTGCACCACTGGGCACTGGGTTCATTCCCCCAGCCAGACATTAATCCACCCAGTCAATAAGCAGTTTTTAAGAATCTCCAGGGTGAGTAAGATGCTCTCACTGCACCTAGGGAGGCTTGCAGGACAGTAAGGATAATTACAGTCCAAGTAGCTTCTATTGTGCCTGGGCTTTCCTAAAAAGGGCACCAGGAGGACAATGGAGCAGAGGGTGAGGGGACACAACAAACACTGTGACTCCCAGACTCGAATTTCAACCCAGGCTCCTTAAAGCTTGAAGGCCCTTGGCTTGGGGAGATGGAACAGTTTGCATAGAGAGTTCCTATGATGGGTAGATGTGCATCATATCCCTTGGGCCATGTCTTTGAATTGGTATCCTCCATGGTACCAAATACGGAGCCACTGCATAAATGTGTTTCCTTCATATCTCTGCCCAGTAAGTGGCCCTCCCTGCCCAAGGGAACGTTTTTCTCTGGCAAACAGTCATGCCTTCCCTACCTCTCCATGCCTCCCACTCCCAGCACCCGCTATGGATTAGAGTCATGTGAATCGTGTGCCTCTCCAATAGTCCTCGCTGACATCCATTGCTTACGCGATCACTAGCGTTTCATTCTGATTACAAAATTTTTTCCGCATTGCAACACAAGCCCCTGCACAAGATTGATCTCTTCCCTTTGCTGTTACCATTTCTCATGTCTTGTTTTTATTAATACATTCGTTTCATCCTAGCAGCTTTATTTCAAGTGAGTCCAAGCTGACTTCCTCTTTTAACTTAATTCAGTCTCTGGGGAAACTGGCCTCCGATTGCATTTGAAGAGCTCTGATCCCATGCTGATGCCCTTTAAGCACAGAGACTACACTTTCTTCTTATTTTTCCCTCAGCGACATCCAACCCAAATCCACTTATCCTGTGTGCTGCTCCTGTGTCCTGGGTTCAGTTCATTGAGATAAGCTCCTTGGAAATTGTTTCTCTCTGCCTGAAGACCTGTAAAGACCTATGAAATGATGAGACCTGGATAGAAGAGTGAGTGACTACTCCAGAGGCTGAGGCAGGAGAATTGCTTGAACCCAGGAGGCGGAGGTTGCAGTGAGCAGAGATAGTGCCACTGCACTCCAGCCTGGGTGACAGAGCGAGACTCTCTCTCAAAAAGAAAAAAAAAGTGAGTGACAAGGTCATCGGATGCATGGGGTCCTATGACTCATTACTTACGTGACATTTCATAGAACTACTAATCAGCCCCTGTGTTTCTATTCTGCACTCCAAAACCTAATGGCTTAAAACAACAATTTACCTGTCTCACAAGGGTGCAATTGGCACAAAGCTTGCAGGAAATCTCATCTCTGCTTCATACAGTCTCACCTGGGGTGGTTCGACTGGGAATTGGAGAATTAGTTCTAAGATGCCGTATTCTTGCACCAGGAAAGTCGGTGCTAGTGGTGGGATGGGAGCTCAGCCAGTGCCCCCAACCCATGAAGGTACTGGAAAATAATGCGTAAAAACAGCTTCAAGAGTATAACCTGGTGTCTGGGGCTCTAAGGCCCAAATTAGATGAGTCCTGTTTCTGAGCTCAGACTCAAAAACACTTATCACTTGAGGCAAAATACTCTTGCTCCTCTGCCGGTTTCTCAGGGCTCCACAGTCAGCAATCTCTAGCACACAAAACCCATCTGACCTGACTCTCCAGAAGCACACCCTCTCCCCCACCTGTTTGCTTTCCCTAGCATGTCTTGCACCTTCTTCTAGATTTACACTTGTTCTGTTTTATGCACAGGAATTGCCTTCTCCACCTGTCTCCAATTTATTCAGATTCTTGAAGGACTGACTCACGTATCAATGTATCCAGCAAACCTCTGTTGAGTAGTTAACTGTGTGGCAGGCCTATGCCAAGCACTATAATACAGGATACAACAGTAAAAGGCCTGGTCTCTGATTCAAGGAGCTTATGCTCTGGTGAGGACACACACACACACACACACACACACACACACACACGCACACACGCACACAATTTATAATACCCTCAGATAATTGCCATAACAGAGATTTGCATTGAGAGAACCCAAGAGAAGCTGCCAGGCTACTCAGATAAGTTAAGAAAGACTTACTTCAAAGGTAGAGGTAGCATTTGCGTTCTCAGATGTCTTTTATTAGCAACAGAAACATCTCTGCATACATAGCCCAACACCTCCTTCCCAAACTTCTCTTCTCTAAAAATTTGCTTTCCTTGGAAAATCAACTTCAACAGGGTCTCCCAGCTTTTAAGTGTTTTCTAAAGTACAGTGCTACTTAACAGGGGATCCACAGATCAGCAGCATTTGCAGTGTTTTGATAGAAATGCAGCTATATGAGCCCTGCTCCAGACTCACTGACTCAGAATCTAGAGGAGACAGACAGAAATCTGTGTTTGAACAAGCTCTCCTGGCCAGGCGCGGTGGCTCCCACCTGTAATCCCAGCTCTTTGGGAGGCCGAGGCAGGCGGATCATTTGAGGTCAGGAGTTCAAAACCAGCCTGACCAACATGGTGAATCCCTGACTCTACTAAAAATACAAAAAAATTAGCTGGACGTGGTGGTGCATACGTGTAATACCAGCTCTCGGAGGCTGAGGCTGAATTGCTTGAACTCAGGAGGCCAGGGTTGCAATGAGCCAAGATCATTCTACTGCACTCCAGCCTGGGTGACAGAGTAAGACTTCGTCCCAGTTAAAAACAAACAAACAAAAAAAAGCAAAAACAACAACAACAAAACAAGCACTCCCAGCTCTCTTGGGCACACTCACGTTTGAGGAGTGGTCCTAGGAGACTTGCTCCTGGTCTGCTAATCTCTCTCTGCCTTTCCTTCCAGCTCTGCTCCACAGTGCTAGCCCTCAGCAAGTTAGCCTGCCTCCTGGACCCTAGCTAATTAAATAACTCAGCCCCACTCTCCTCCCCTCCACTCGCTTCCGACATCCAGGTCTCCTCTTCAAACAGCACCATCAAGCATTCATCAGTCATTCCCTCCGAACATTGTTCCCATCACAGTTTCTTCTGCCTCAGTTGGACAAGCTGTACGTGTTTCTGTTTTCTTCCCATAGAACGTGCCAGACTCATTGCCTACCATCTCTTCAATAACTGACTGGTTGAAATCTAGAGAAGAAAACATGACTTTTGGAGCGAACCTGCTACAATTTGGTCTCAGTGCTTCAGAGATTTAAGGCATTGCCACAATGAGGTTTTTTCTATTGATGCTTCAGGTTCATCTACTATACCAACAATCTTAACAGTTTTCTTTAAAACTCTTCTTTTTTCTTATTAAGTCTGAATCTGAGACAAGATCTAAAATATTCCTGGTTTTAATTAATTCCTTTTTTTGTGTGTCTGTGATTGGGAGTTTTGTTTGTTTTCCCAAGGGACCAAGATTTCTTTGGGATATGTATTACTATGTAGAACCCATATATTAAAAATCCAATATTATATTATGTAATATATTGCATATTACCTTTATATAATTTATTCATTATTTATTTATCTATGTAATATATTTATGGTCTGATTCACATATTTGTCTCATTTTGGATTTCTATTATATTAAATTATATATTAGAAATCTAATATATATTATATAACATATTAGAAATTCAAAATGAGACTAATAATGGCCCTGCATTTAACCACATGGCAATGTGGTAGTGGGCTGCTAGCTTTGGAAATATCCAGATTGTTCAACTGCCATGGGCTCCTGGGGTTGAAGTCATCATTTTGGCAAATTAGCACTAAGTCTGCTTCTCAACCTCAGAAGCTCAGAAACTAGGTTTTTTTGGCACAGATATGGTGGCTGCTCCTCTCCTAGCCAAAATCTCAGGGATGGACCATGACACTGAGGAATCAAACCAGAAAGTCAATTTATTGGCTCACAATGAGCAATTACTCTCTCCAGAAATGCAAAACCCTGGTCCACATATAATCGATGCATTCTTTTTCCATCTATAGTCCTATGACATGGGAAGCCAAACCATTCTCTGAGTCTAATTTATAAATTTTACAACAGGAAATCACCAACACAGGAACTAGAATACTTAAAGTCTGTATGACTAAGACATCTTTTCCCGCAAGGAAGTTTCCATGGGAGCAACATCATAATCTAAGGGTTGCTGTTATGAGTTGAATTGTGTCCCGCAAAAGGTCTCTTTAAGTCCTAACACACAAGACTTTGTGAATGTGACCTGAGTTGGAAGTCAGGGTCTCGCAGATGTAATTAATTGAACCCGCGAGGCGGAGGTTGCAGTGAGCCGAGATCATGCCACTGCACTCCAGCCTGGGCGACACAGCAAGACTTCATCTCAAAAAAAAAAAAAAGAAAAGAAAAGGAGAAGAGACAGAGACACACAGGGAAAAGACAGCCATGTGACCACAGACTCGGGAATAGGAGCGAGGCATCTACAAGTCAAGGAGCGCCACAGGTTGCCAGCAAATACCAGAAGCTACGTTCTTCCCTTCAAGTTTCTGAGAGAGCCAGGCTTGCAGACATTTGATTTCAGACTTTTGGCTTCCAAAACTGTGCAAGAATACATTTCTGTTGTTTTAAGTCACCCAGTTTGTGGTACTTTGTTATAACATTCCCAGAAAACTAAAACAGCTGCTTTTTCTTTTTCTTTTTTTTTTCGAGACGGAGTCTCGCTCTGTCGCCCAGGCTGGAGTGCAGTGGCCCAATCTCCGCTCACTGCAAGCTCTGCCTCCCGGGTTCATGCCATTCTCCTGCTTCACCCTCCCAGGTGGCTGGCACTACAGGCGCCCACCACCATGCCCGGCTAATTTTTTGTATTTTTAGTAGAGACGGGGTTTCACCGTGTTAGCCAGGATGGTCTCGATCTCCTGACCTCATGATCCGCCCGCCTCAGCCTCCCAAAGTGCTGGGATTACAGGTATGAGCCACCATGCCCAGCCAAACAGCTGCTTTTTCAATATGGAATCCAAATGAAGGGAATTAGGGAGAATCCCATGTTTAAGGGAATCAAGCTCTGAGAGCCAGCTCACCTTTCTCATTACAGAGAGGACTTTTCAACTGATACTGAAATATTCAAAGTCTATTAGGTAAGACCCAATCTTACATGGAAGGTACTCATGAGATTAAGTAGTACTTATGGGGTCAAATTTCACGCTTAATAGAAATCCCACACATTAAGGCACATGCCCTCATTTCCAAGTAGCAAATGAGACTGGCTGGGCCTAGTACAATCCTTAAGAATAAGCAAGGACTCCCGAGAATAACTTACTCCATGGCATTCCTCCCTCCCCTTTTTTTTTCTGGAAATAAGGCCCATATTTGGACAATGCCTTGTAGCTGGCAAATATCTTAGAAAAAATCTTCCTGAGCTTCATGTCACAGCTTTTATGCAGTGGCTTCTGATGCTTCCTTTAGGGGTCAACAGACTATGAACCAAATAAATAGACTTCTCTTTTTTTTTTTTTCCTTTTTTAAAAGACAGGCTCTTGCTCTGTCACCAAGGCTGGAGTTCAGTGGTGCAATCTTAGCTCACTGCAGCCTTGAACTACTGGGCTCAAGGAATCTTCCCACCTTCGCCTCCAGAGTACCTGGGGCTACAGGCACACACCATCAAGCCTGGGTAATTTTTTGTTTGTTTTTTGAAGAGACCGGATCTCACTATATTGCCCAGGCTGGCCTCGAGTTCCTGATCTCAAATGATCCTCCCAACTCAGCCTCCCAAATTGATGGGATTACAGGGATGTGACACCACGCTGGGCCCTCTTTATATCTTTTAAGATGTCTCTGCATATCTCTGCTCTGATTGTAAGTTAATCTTACATTTAACTCTTGGCAACCTTGTTCCCCAATTTGGACAGGAAAACCACTGGCGTTCCCAAGTACTGATAACACATATGCCACTACTACATGGCCTAAAGTATGAGGGAAGAATACCAGAAAAAGCCTTGAAGACGCTATTTTAAAAGTTGTTGTGTATTATGGAAATACTGTTCATTTTTTTAGGTGTTAATGGTATGGTGGTTTGTAAAATGTCCTTATTCTTAGGAGATGCAAGTTGAACTAGTTCGGGATAAAAGATCATGATGTATGCAACTTACTTTTAAATGATCCAGCCAAACATGTACACACACACACACACACACACACACACACACACACACACACACACAGCTACATATAAGAGATAAAGCAAACCTGGCAAAATGTTATCACCTGTTCAATCTAGGTACAGGATATATGGGCATTCATTCATTGCAGTACTCCATCAACTTTATGTATGTCTAAAACTTTTAAAAATAAAACATTAGAGGAAAAAAGCTGTATCCTTTAGGGTACTGTAGGGTAGAAGCAGGATGGAGAGAATCTTCCTTTTCCCCAGCAAGGCTTCTTCTTGAAAACAACAACAACAACAAACAGTGGAGAAATCTATATGCAAGTGCTTCAGACTGAGATGTTAAGTAGAAATCCATCTTTGTTTTAGATAGGGAGTCTGTAGAAATTATTTATGGCATTAAGGCATTTTTGCTTCCTCTGGTTGGGGTAAGGAGATAGGGAGGAGCAAGGGACAAGGGTTAGGGAGTGTATAAGTCCTGAGTTCATCATTTTCTTTCATAACTTTGCCCAGCGAACTTAGGAGCAACCAACCAACTTCATTACGTTCCTTGGTTCTCCACATATAGTCCAAGGTATTATGTATAGAGTCACTAAACTCCTTACCTCTCATGAGGGGTGAATCAGGAGTATCAAATGCATTTATTTTGCATAATTCTCTGAAGAGTTCACACCAATGGCTATTAGTGTTCTCTGTACTATTAGCAGTAGAGTCCTTAGCATTTTGGGGTCTAATCATATTAAGCAGCCAACTCCAGAAACCCCAAAACCAACTAAAGAACTCCATCCTTAATATTCTGTTCCTCTAGAACCACTCCTGGTACGAAAATCTATATTAGTCAGGGTTCTCTAGAGGGACAGAACTAATAGGATAGATAGATATATATAAAGGGGAGTTTATTAAGTAGTATTAGCTTAGAGGATCACAGAGTCCCACAATAGGCCATCTGCAAGCTGAGGAGCAAGGAAGCCAGTCCAAGTTCCAAAGCTGAAGAACTTGTCTGATGTTTGAGGGCAGGAAGCATCCAGCACATGAGAAACATGTAGGCTGGGAGGCTAAGCCAATCTAGCTTTTTCATGTTTTTCTGCCTGCTTTATATCCTGGCCACACTGGCAGCTGATTAGATAGTGCCCACCCAGATTAAGGGTGGGTCTGCCTTCCTCAGCCCACTGACTCAAATGTTACTCTCCTTTGGCAACACCTTCAGAGACACACCCAGGATCAATACTTGCATCCTTCAATCCAATCAAATTGACATTATTAACCATCACAGGGAGCAAGAGATTCTGGGCCAGGAGGTGAGCTCCAGGGCAGGGCAGGAGCAGGCAAGGGTGGAGGCAGAGACGATCAGTAGTGAGAATGTTCACCATTCTCCAGGGAGTGGGAAGGGGGCTCCTGTACCCACCCTGCTGCAGAGAGGCTGAGCTGAGGGCAGCTCTGCGGCACAGATTAGGAGCTGCCAAAAGGCCAGAGTTAACCTGCAAGAGGACCCAAGCAATGACTTCTAGAGTAAGACAATAGGTAACTGGCCCCTCCCTAAGGGACCCTTAAAAATATGGGGAGGTGAGAGGACTGGATTTGCTGAAGGGCCACAGGAGTGGAGGCTCAAGCCATTACCGTGGACAGAGAAAGCTTGGGGATATGTGGATTATGTATGCAGAAGGGACACATTTTTGCTACCCAGTGTACCCTAACACCAGATGGTGTTAACAGGAAGGCCTTTATTTTGCCAAGTGCTTGGTGGGCTTGTGAAAGTCAACTGGGGACAGAGGCTGACACCTCCGGGATGTTGGCCTGTACAGTAAGGCCTCAAAGGAAAGTGAAACCTTTGCATTGAAGCAGGGAAAGAATTGGAGCACAAAGGAGCCAATCCAGGTTAGAATTAGTGAGAACCAGAGGGGCCAGGCATGGGGTGGCTCATGCCTGTAATCTCAGCATTTTGGGAGGCCAAGGCAGGTGGATCACTTGAGGTCAGGAGTTTGAGACCAGCCTGGCCAATGTGATGAAATCCCATCTCTACTAAAAATACAAACATTACGGGTGTGATGGCACATGCCTGTAATCCTAGCTACTTGGGAGGCTAGGCAGGAGAATGGCTTGAACCTGAGACGTGGAGGTTGCAGTCAGTTGAAATTGTGCCACTGCATTCCAGACTGGGTGACAGAGCAAAATGTCATCTCAAAAAAAAAAAAAAAAAATTAGTGGGGACCAGAGATAGGGGATGGCAGAAGGCTCAGGGCTCCACAAGGGGACCCCATCCCACAAACACCCCAAACCTAGTAAGTTCTACTTAAATTCAGGATGTTTGGCATGAGCAAGTCCCTAATGAAAATAAAAAGTGGCTTTCAGCACCCCGAGACCCATGTTGCCCAACTGAACTGAGGTCTGTGCCTCCAGGGCAGTGAAGCCAAACATTCAAACTGAGGTTTTGTAGTGAGAGAAAGGAGGGTGTTTATTTTCAGGGCACCCAGCAAGGAGAATCAGGCAGCTCACCTGACCTTCCCAGTGGCTTGCAAGCAAGGGTTTCTAAAGGCAGGCAGGCAGAGGTTACACACAAAGTCATAAGTCAATACATGGAGGCTACATATTGGTTTGACCTTAACACACAGGATATCTTGAAGCAGGGGCTTACAGGTCACGGGGTAGGGGATTCAACAATTTTCTGATTTGCAGTTGGTTAAGGAAGGGAAGCTCTATTTAAAAATTGAGAGTCAGCATTAAAGAACGTTAGGTCTGGCCCATGGGCGTGACTTCCTTCAGGTCCTTCAAGAAAAAATGCAGAACAAGAAATAGCAGTCAGAGTTCAGTCCTCAGTTTCCCCTTTTCTGAGGTCTGCGTGCCAGCAGATCCATTTGGTAGAGGTCTGGGTTTCTGAAAAATAACTCAGGAACATATGTTAAGATGTATCTTCAGTTTCTATAGGGAACCAAACATCTCATGGCTCTAATTTTATTGCTATTGTTTTATGGTATGATTACCTTTTTACTTATGAAGTTGCTCATTAATTTCTCAGGGATAGCTAGGTGCCTGCAATTTTCCTTAAAGGAACTCAAGATTTTTATTTCCACACTGTGGAGGAGGGGTGGCGTGGCAAGCCCCTAAGAGGGAATCCTCCTCCATCTCACCCAGGCTAAACAGAGACAGAACATTCAGACAGACCAGTGGGGCAGGGGAATCTGCCGCACATCCGCTGACATACACAGATGTATACGGTATTTTCAAGTCTGATGAGAAATGGTTTGGGTATATGTCATTCCCCAGCACAGGCACCAATATCTTCCCAAGTAGTTTCCTTCCACTTTTACTAGTGCCTTCTCCCTGCCGTCCCCTCCAGGGTTCCTGCCGTTTCATGCCAATAATTTAATTACTCTCTTTGCAGAGGCTCAGTTCTACAGACAGCCTAATTTGAGGTTTGCCTTACTCTTAAATATATATATCGTTTCAATGGATTTATGAAAGGGAGAAAAGAGTGCAGAAACAATTAAGGCATCAAAGACAAGCTCATCCAAGCTCCCAAGGACAAAAAAAAAAAAAAAAAAAAAAAAAGAAAAAAATGAAGGACCCAGCCAAGGACCTCCTCTTCCCTCTGTTCGTGCTCTCTGACAGTGACCAACACCAGGCTTTCTGGTCAAACAGCCTGAGCTCCTGGGCGGATTTTCCTGGTGTTTTCAGCAGAAGGAACAGCTGTCCCGGGATTTGCTGGTATTCCCAGGGAGCTGGAACTGAATTGTTGGCCAAACTGCAGATGATTCGTTTAAGGGTCGGAATGAGAGACAGACAGGGCTTTCGGAGATAAATAATGAACTCCACGTGGGTACACCATTGAGCCGTATCCTCAAGGGTTAACAGCTTAAAGGTTATTGGGGTTTCTGGCTACACGCTAAGAGTCCTGCTTCCTAATGTAAGCTCCCCTCCCCCACATTCTTTAAACACATTACTTCCTCAAGCACTTCCTCTGGCTTAGGGGCGGGGTTGGGGGGAGAAGGATGCAAATTTATCTAATCTCTAAAAAAAACCTCTGGTATTTGTGCAGTGAGTTTCAGGCTGAAGAGAAGAGAGAGACCTGCGGCTGTTTCCGCCCACTCGTCCCAGCACAGCCACCAGAGAACGCCGCGTGGTTTGTTGTTTGGACCCTCCCAGAGCCTCTTCCAGATGCTGTTGGAAAAAAAGAAAAGAAAAGCTGGGCAGCCAGTGTCACAGCCCAGATGCCATCTCGGTCTATCCGCGGAAATGCAAGCACGCAGCGCCAAGCCCAACCCAGTAGGTGCCAGGCCCTGGGTGCAGGCTTCAGCTTCACGCCACATCCTCTCTCTCTTTTCAGTCTCTGAGTGACTTGACTCAGCCAGGGAGAGGAGATACCTACACATCCGCATGAAGGCGCGTGGGAGGAAGCCGAGAAATGACGGATGGCGCAGGGCCTACTGCAGCCGCACGTAGACTAGCTCCTTCTTTACGGGCAAAACCCCCTACTTGTCTGCAGTGGGAAAGGAGTCCGTTCAGGGCAAGCTCTGATCGCTGAGCTATGGATGTAGATGGTAACTAGGCGTCTGGAGGTCATTACACACCATATTCGGATGGTGGAAATCATTGCTTATTTCAGGACACTAAAATGGTCCATTTTTATGTATTAAAGTTATTAAGAATGAACTGGCTGGGCCGGAGTTGTGGCTCACTCCTGTAATCCCAAGACTTAAGGAGGCGGAGGCGGAGGCGGAGGCGGGAGGATCGTTTGAGGCCAGGAGTTCAAGACCAGACTGGGCAACATAGTGAGATACACACCCCACCGCCACCACCACCCCAACAAAAAACTTAACAATTAGCTGGGCTTGTGGGTATGTGACTTAGTCCCAGCTACTCCGGAGGCTGAGGTGGGAGGATCACTGGAGTCCAGGAGCTCCAGGCTGCAGTGAGCTATGTGATTACACCGCTGCACTCTAGGCTGGGCAACAGAGGGAGACTCAAAAAAAAAAAAAAAAGAGCAAATGGCTGGCTCACTGTAAGGAATTTTGGAATTTTATCTGGTTAAAACAGGCTCTTCCCGCCCACTTCCTCACCCGCCTGGCTGTGCCTGCCCCAGTCCCACCCTGAGTGGTGGCTTACCCAGGTGTGGCCGCCCTGTGGTCAGCTCAGGAGGCATCTCCGGGTGGGAAGGTGACTTAGTTGTCTCACAGTAAAGTTACACTGGGCCTCAGTAGATAGTCTTTGGTCCCCTGTATCAGCATCCCCAGAGAGCTGTGCAAATGCACATTCCTGGCCCTATGGCACTCTAAGCTGGACTCTGGGAGTGGCAGCTCAGAAGCTTTAGTATAAGCAAGCTCCCGGCTGTTTCTTGTTGCAGATTAGGGTTTGAGAACCACTCCTCTTTCGCCACATTGTAAACTCACTAAATGCTCTCCTAGTGAGTAAATAAATATAATAGAATCTAACTCCTGCAAAGGTATTAACCAGTCTGTCTAACAATGGTGGACATTTTTGTAAAGAAACTCTTGAAGTTTTCAAAACTTAAGTTTAAAATGGCAGCTCCTTGGTTTGTGGGGAGAGCTGTCAGAGTGGGAACCCTGTCCACATCCCCCCAGATATTCACATACACCCACTACTCATAGACTCCCAATCCCATGGCGAAGAACACGATCTTGTTGGTGTTATTTTCTCACTGCCTACCAAGCTGCCCAGCAGGCACTTTACAGACTTTATCTCCATATTCATATCAGCGTACAAAGTACAAGTCCCAATTTCCAGACAAGGAAACTGGGGTTCAGAAAGATTAAACAATTTGCCTTCTTATATTGCTACTAAGGGCCAAGGTGCAGATTCAAATCCATTCAAGTCCCAAAGCTTGCATGATCTTACCACAGTCACCAAAATCTATTTCATAAGTTCAAAATGGCATCAGAGGTTCATAATCAGGACAGGCAATGCCCTGCAGGTTTATCTAGAACACCTTTCCCACTTTACAGATAAGAGGCAATGCAGTATGAACCTGAGGCTAGCTGATATGATTTGTCTGAGCTGCTTAGTTTTGTTTAAGAAACTTGAATTATTCAATATTGAAAATCCTTGAGATTTTACACTAAAACTCAGACTTTTTCTCTCTTATAAAAGCAGATTTTTGTAACCCCGAACCCCATTCCTGATTCTGTTCATGGTTAACTGTATAGGTTTTGAAATCCACAGACGTGGGTTTGAGTCCTGGCTCTAGGCCTTATTGGCTACGTGACCTTGAGTAAGTCACTTAACCTCTCCGGGCCTCTTTTCCTCAACTGTAAAGTAGACATAGCAATAGTATCCACTTTATATGCTGGCTGTGAACATGGGATGAGGTGATATGTGTTCAGTGCTTAGCACTGTTGCTTAATAAATCTTAATCGGTATAAACTTAGATTGTGCAGGCCTTGACAATGGCGATACACCTAGTCTATGACAGAGCCAAGACTCACACCCCGATTCCAGACCCCAATCTCCAAACTGCTTCCACTGATCATCCCCCAACCACCCTCATGCCCCTCACCACTCCCCATGAAGTACCTAGGTAATCTTGCAAGCCATGAAGAAACCTGAGTTTTCCAAATGTCTTCGATGGCGCTAGCTGGATACATCATTTCGCCTCAAGAGACAAAGTGTTCTTTGTGTAAAGAACACTCAACTGAGATAGAGATTCTACTCTCAACTGGCATACTAACCCTATGCAAGTCACATGTCCTCACCGCCCCTCAGTTTCCTCACCTGTAAGATAGGTAATGCCTATATCATGGGCTGAACTGTGTTACCCCAAAATTCGTATGTCAACGTCCCAACCTCCGAAATTTCAGGATGTAAGTATATTTGTAGATAAAGTTTTTAAAGAGATGATTGAGTTAAAATGAGGCCATTAGGGTAGGACTCTAATCTGATATAACTGGAATACATTCCAATCCATTCAAGTCCCAAAGCTTGCATGATCTTGCTACACCCACCAAAATCTGTTTCATAAGTTCAGAATGGAAAAGGAAGAGACACCAGGCACACACACGCACAGGGGACGACCAGGTGAAGAGGGAGGAAGAGGGTGACTATCTGCAAGTCAAGGAGAGAGGCCTCCAAGGAAACCAAATCGCCCAGCACCTTGATCTTGGACTTCCAGCCTCCAGAGCTGTGAGAAGATAAATTTCTGTTGTTTAAGCCACTCAGTCTGTGGTATTTTGCTGCCCTAGCAAATGAATACAATCTGTTTTACAGAAGAATCATTGAAGAGCCTTCTACATAGTAGGTGTCTGGTTAGTTTTTGTCCTTACACAAGCTGTGCCCTTACACAAGCTGTGCAGAGGGCGTGGGATCCGCCTGATGGGGACTTTTTCATGCCGAAGCTCCTTCACTGAGAGAGTCTGCCAAGCACCCTGGAACGCACATGCTGTCTGGCAAGAACGCCCTCTGCCTTGGACAAGACTGGAAAGATAATGACAGATTTGTCAACTCTCCTTCAAGCTGCCACCACCTTCCTGTTAGCACTTGTCATTACAACAAACCCTTTCTTCATTTCAACATCTTTCTTAATGTGCCTCAATCTCTAAATACCAGCTCAATCTCTAAATACCAACTCAATCTCTAAATACCAGCTCAATCTCTGAAGAGCAACTCAATCTCCATGACATCTTTTAAAAGTTCTTAATGAATCCTGGAAGCTACTTGGACTCACAGATAAAATTTCTCTCAATGTAGAATGAGTTATTCATCGGACACAGTCATTCTAGTTTTCACACCCCTTGGGTGCTGATTTTGCTCATTCTAGGAGCCCTGCCTTTCATATCTGACTGCCCTGACCTGCCGTTGTCCTTGCATCTATGGTCTCTTGTGATTCATAAGATCACCATCTGATCTTCTGAAGTTTACTTGAACCTCCTAGTCCATGAAAGAAAAAAAGACTATTCATATTTTTGGTTGGCACCACTATGACTACCTGTATCTCTCATGTTGTTTAAAGCAGATATTCACTCAGCTCTAAAATATTACACAATACTCTTTAAAACGGAAAGACACATCCATTATACCGAACTGCTGTATTGGCTAGTGGCTGCTGAGCGCTTGAAATGTGACCAGTCTGAATTAAGATGCACTGTAGGCCGGGCGCAGTGGCTCATGTCTGTAATCCCAGCACTTTGGGAGGCCGAAGGGGGCGGATCATGAGGTCAGGAGATCGAGACCACCCTGGCTAACACAGAGAAACCCCTTCTCTACTAAAAAATACAAAAAATTAGCCGGGCGTGGCAGCCATCACCTGTAGTCCCAGCTACTTGGGAGGCTGAGGCAGGAGAATGGCGTGAACCCGGGAGGCAGAGCTTTCAGTGAGCCGAGATTACACCACTGCACTCCAGCGTGGGTGACAGAGTAAGACTCCATCCCAAAAAAAAAAAAAAAAAGATGCACTGTATGTGTAAAATAGACAACAAATATTGGACTTGGTATGAAAAATAAGAAAGTAAAATGTTTCATTAGTAATGTTTTAGGCCGGGCATGGTGGCTCACGCCTGTAATCCTAACACTTTGAGAGGCCGAGGTGGGAGGATTGCTTGAGCCCAGGAGTTTGAGACCAGCCTGGGCAAAATGGCAAAACCCCATCTCTATAAAAAAATAAAAAATTAGCTGGGTGTGGTGGCATGTTCCTGTAGTCCTAACTACTTGGGAGGCTGAGGAGGGAGGATCACTTGAGCCCAAGCAATAGAGGCTGCAGTGAGCCATGATCGTGCCACTGCACTCCAGCCTGGGCGACACAATGAAATCCTGTCAAATAATAATAATAATGTTTTATATTGATTATACCTTAAAATGATAATATTTTGGATATATTGGGTTAAATAATGTATATTCAAATTAACTTCACTTATTTCTTTTTGGTTTTGTTTTCAACACATCCATCACCACCCATGCTGTATATTAGATCTCCAGAACTTGTTCCTCTTACCCAGTTTGTACCCTCTGACTAATATCTCCCCATTTCACAGAGAGCACTGTTCTACTCTCTGCTTCTGTGAGTTCAACTTTTTTAGATTCCGCAAAGTGAGATCAGATGGTATTTGCATTTCTGGGTCTGGTTTATTCTTTTTACTCTTTTAATGTGAATTCTAGAATGTTTGAAATTATGTATGTGGCTCACATTCTGTTTCTATTGCCGAGCTGTTAAAGAAGGGAAATTGAGGCACAGGAATGTTGTCAAATGACTAGCTCTGGGTTTCATGAGACTCAGAACTAAATGAATGACTGATAGCCTGGGAAAACCTCACCCACTAAAGGAATATGGCCAAATGAAATAGGAATGGCACCACTGGATGTGATTCCTTTGAAATATCTCTCCAGCCCTGAGATCATTTATCACTTAGTATCTCCTGAGAAGGAAGCAGGTGCAGATGAAATCAGCCCAGAAGATCAACAGAAAGCCGTATGGCATATGAGTCTTGAAGGGTAATGAATGAGCTAAGAATTTTCCATCTCTGATATCTAGAGCAGTCATAAGACAGTTCTTTACTCCCACTACCACATCAGAACATATATGACTAAAAAAAATAGTGAAACTCATATGACAAATATTTTCACTCTGTTATCTCTTCTTTATCAACAGCAGTTGGGGTGGTTGATAGCCACTCAACAAATCTCCAAATGATGTCATCTAAGGTTCTGAAACAATCATTATCTTGTGTAGGGACTCACTTGGAATACGTGCATTGCATCTAAGCAAAAATATGAGGAAAAGATAGGGCGCCTCAGCTGATTTTGCCTCAGCCCATACAGAGAGAAAACACCAGCATCCAGTGTGCCAAATGTCACTGAGTTTGGGGGCTGAGCTCCCAACAGAGAGGTCCTTTTCTCAGCCAGATCTTGTCTGTGCCCTCGAACTCTCAACCTAATCAGAGCCATTCAGGGAAGATGCCTGCTCACCTGTCACAGCCTAAAATGCCTTCCTTATCTGGAGGTCACCACTGCAGCATCCTCCGCAAGACAGGCAGAAACATTGATGTAAGAAGAAAAC
This sequence comes from Homo sapiens, assembly GCF_000001405.40. Lineage (NCBI taxonomy): Eukaryota > Metazoa > Chordata > Mammalia > Primates > Hominidae > Homo > Homo sapiens. The sequence goes on along the minus strand of NC_000008.11, from coordinate 29,523,948 downwards.
AAAAACAAGCCTGGGAACAGCCTGAAGAGCTATCGGTTAAGTTTATAGGAAACTTATTAGGTTCTTTCCAGAGCTTGTTTATTCTTGCCCTCATATACGACCATAACGAAGTAATTTATTAGTTTCAGTAGAAAGGAGTGGGAGAGAAAAAAGGAAGAAAATACTGAGACTGACTCTGAAACGACGTCAAAGCAGCAAGAAAGAGAAAGATGATGAAAAATAAATTCATGAATTCAAAAAGCATCACAGTTTATAGCTGGTTGATGTAGTTCTATAAGTTTCAATACAGTGTTTGTTTTGTTTCTGTTTTGTTTTTGTTTCTCTTTTTTTGAGATGGAGTCTCTCTCTGTCATCCAGGCTGGAGTGTGGAGTGCAGTGGCGCTACCTCAGCTCACTGCAACCTCCGCCTCCCAGGTTTAAGCAATTCTTCTGCCTCAGCCTCCCGAGTAGCTGGGATTACAGGCACCCGCCACCACACCCAGCTAATTTTTGTATTTTTAGTAGAGACAGGGTTTCACCATGTTGGCTAGGCTGGTCTCGAACTCCTGACCTCAGGTGATCTGCCCACCTCAGCCTCCCAAAGTGCTGGGATTACAGGTGTGAACCACTGTGCCAGGCCCACAATACAGTGTTTTGAACACCAAAATAAAATAGTAGTTATGATCATTGGTTATGCTTAAAACTTGATCTTCGTATTAATAACCCAAAGCATTCATAGAGGTTTGTATTTTGTTCCCTGTTTTCTGCTTTAAAAAGCACAAAGATATATGATGCTTAGAAACAGTTTGGTCACATTTCCTTAAATGTTTAATCCCTTGCAGAGAGGAATTTGTATATTTTTCGTTCCTCCAACAATACCCCATAAAAGAGGCTTTGTTAGAGAAAGCATCCTTATGGTGGTCACGGAACATATGTCTCAGTAATCCCCGGACAGAAGTCAGTTGTCCCATCCTTAAGAGCCCTAATGTGCCTCCTGCACTCTGCACACCATTTGTGCAGTGGCCGCGTGGGCCAGCGTCCTGGCAGAGGCACCGCTCAGGGCCTGGCTGGCTCGGCTTCCTGAGTCAGCACACTCTCCTCTCCATGGAGCAGATGGGCCAACCCTCCGGGAAAGGAAGCTCTTCTAAGATCCTCCTGTCTTCATTCGTCCCAAATGGGCTTTGCTATAAAAAGCAAATTAAACAGCCATTGTTCCTTTTCTCCATGAGGCTGGCATGCTAACATCCTGCCTAATACCAAAGCTCCCGGATGTTTGTTGCTGGCCTGGGGACGCCTGCCACCGCTTACAGCAATAAGAAAAAACATGCCTTCCACTTGGGAACAGAATCTCTCTTAAGTTCCAGGCCTTTCTTTTTCATCATGTCCCTCCCCCCTTTTTTTAACGTTATGACATATAGTACACAGCAGAAAAGGGCTTTCTTGTTAGCTCCAGCATTCTTCTCCGTGCCTGGCGAAGTACTCCCACGGCCTTACAAATAGGCTTAGGCGTCTAATCACAAGAGATCCTGAAGGCCTGGCCCTTAAATCTTCCCTGCTACGTGATGTTTCTCAGTGCAACACTTACTGCATTGTGTTCTGGAGTCCTTCTGAAATACCAAGAAGTCACCCTCCTCCCAACCTAAAGAAGAACACATAAAATACTTTCTGAAAAGACAAACAGCTAAGGGTAAAATAATAAAGCCATATTGAGCCCCTACAAGGCAAGGCCCTGAGGGGGAAAAAGAGAAGTAAAACATATCATATGTCTTCAAGCAGCTTTTGGTCTCTGCAGAGAGAAGAAAAACTGGGAAAAAGAGAGAGAAGAGAGAGAGGGAAATTGAAAGAGAGAGAGAGGAGAGGCCACCTGGATTTACCATTTATTACATTGTAATGTAATTGCTGGTGTAATTTTCTCTCCTTTCGCTGTACACTCCAGGATCGATAATTTAGGCTTCTATTTTATATGTAAACTATTTCAAATTCGATTTTTACAGAAATCTGATATTTATCAGCAACTCACTGAAAGCCAAGCCATCCTGAAGTGGCTCATGGGGCTGTTTCTCCTAGGAGAGTATCTCTGCAACTTCTTTGTGGACCATCCAAAGGTAATTCAGCAGTGGCTGAAATTCTATTCGATAAGCTGAGATCCCTCTTTTCACACTTCTGTATGGTCCTATGAGTGCCGTTAACCACAGAGCTGTCTCTCTCACTGATGGAATTAATAACTTACTGGCCAGGGACAGTGGCTCACGCCTGTAATCCCAGCACTTTGGGAGGCAGGCAGATCACTTGAGGTCAGGAATTCGAGACCAGCCTGGCCAAAATGATGAAACCTCGTCTCTACTAAAAAAAAAAAAAAAAATTAGCCGGGAGTGGTGGCATGTGCCTGTAATCCCAGCTACTCAGCAGGCTGAGGCAGGAGAATCACTTGAACCTGGTAGGTGGAGGTTGCAGTGAGACGAGATCACGCCACTGCACTCCAGCCTGGATGAGAGAGAGAGACTGTCTCCAAAAAAAAAAGGGGGGAGGAATTAATAACTTACCACAAACAACTCAAACATTCAATTCATTACTCTTCAATAACCCTAAGGCAGGAATTCAACAATGCAAATAAACCTCAGGAGAGTTCCAGATACAAGGTACCAGAGACAGGCAGTTCTAGGAAAGTGAGTCCCAGGAGGAAGAATATGTCAGAACAGTAGGCTTTTAGCCAAAAGGATTTTCAAAACTAATTTCTCTTCCATCTTTTAGAGAGAAGACTAGATATTTTAAATACTAGTTTTTGAAAGCCAAGCATATTCCTGGGACATTTCACAGTTACTTATTCACTAAACCACTGCTAAACTTGGGGGTCTTTTAGGTTTCCAACCTCAGCTCCCACATGAAGCTTTTCAAAATGAAACCTTGGTATGTGTTTACTGAACAGCTTCTCTCTACATGGTCAAGCAGACTTAATCTCAGAAAAGGAGAGACATTTCTGGTAAGTAAATGACCCAAACAGGAAGTGAGCCCATGACAAGTGCGTAGAATGTGCTGGAAGGTGTGCAAAGATGAGGAAGGTCCTTGGGGACATAGCTCATGCTTTTCCCAGCAGAGCTCCTCAGCATCGTGGTCTTTTCCCCCTCACCCCCCTGCAAGGAGAGTCCTGGCAGGAAGGTGCCAGCCAGGACCTCTGTGGCCAGTAGGAGCTCATTTCCTGGCCCATGGCTTCTACCTGATGCTGTGATATTGACCAAGCTAACATTATAGGAGATGCAAATTATATGTTTCCTATGACTGCTGTCACAAATCACCACAAATCCGGTGGTTTGTTTGTTTGTTTGTTTGTTTGTTTGTTTGTTTGAGACGGAGTCTCACTCTGTCGCCCAGGCTGGACTGCAGTGACACCGTCTTGGCTCACTGCAACCCCTGCCTGCCAGGTTCAAGCGATCCGCCTGCCTCAGCTTGGGATTATAGGCGCGTGCCCTACGCCCAGCTTATTTTTTGTATTTTTTTTTAGTAGAGACAGGGTTTCACCATGTTGGCTAGGGTGGTCTCAAACTCCTGACCTCAAGAGATCCGCCCACCCAGGTCTCCCAAAGTGCTGGGAGTACAGGCATGAGCCACCGTGGCTGGCCCAAACTTAGTGGCTTAAACAATACAACTTATTATCTTTCAATTCTGGAAATTGGAAGTCAGAAATGGGTCTCACTGGGCTAAAATCGAGGCATCAGCAGGACTGTGTTCCTTCCGGAGGCTCTAGGGAAGAATCGGTCTCCGTGTCTACAAGAACACCCTCAAACTGCACCTTCCTGTATCTTCAAAGCCAGCGAGGCCGGTTGGGTCCTTCTGACATTGAGTACCTCTGACCTACGCTTCTGCCTCCATCTTCTAAGGTCCTTTGTGTTAACATAAGATAAACCAGGATAATTCTTGTTAAAGTCAGCTGATGAGCAACTTTAATTCCATCTGCAACTTTAATTCTCCTTTTGCCGTGCATTATAACACTCACAGATTCTGAGGATTAGGATGTAGACATCTTTGGCGGCCAGTGGGGAGGGAGGTGAGGGCACACTTTATTCTTCCTACCACACAATCAAACCAACATAAATAGGATGAAAGATGGGGAAGCATGCCCTCTAGATTAACACAACGAAAATGTGAAAACACCAGACAATGCAAGTTAGGTGCAAGCTTTAAAGTGAAAAAACACAAGACAGTCATGGGCAGGGGCCAGAACACCCCCATGTGTCAGGGGACATGGTAATGAAATCAAAGAAGGATGAAGCCCTCCCAGAGATTTTTGATGTGTGAGAACCAATAGGAACCTCGAGAAGTCATAGCGCTACCTTTATTGAGTGCTCCTACACTTTTGTGGTCATTTTGGTGCAATATTTGAAGATATTAAAAGATGCCAACCAACACAAAGCAAGCTGTCAACCATTGCAGCACTTCACATTGCCTTTAAAAGCACCCAGCCGGGCGTGGTGGCTCACTCCTGTAATCCCAGCACTTTGGGAGGCTGAGGTGGGCAGATCATGAGGTCAGGAGTTCGAGACCAGCCTGACCAACATGGTGAAACCCCATCTCTACTAAAAATACAAAAATTAGCTGGGCATGGTGGCACACACCTGTAATCCCAGCTACTCAGGAGGCTGGGGCAGGAAAATCACTTGAACCTCGGAGGCGGAGGTTGCAGTGAGCCAAGATTGCGCCACTGCACTCCAGCCTGGGTGACAGAGCAGGACTCCATCTCACAACAAAAAAAAAAAAAAAAAAAGTCCAGGTGTGGTGGCTCACACCGGTAATCCCAGCACTTTGGGAGGCTTTAGCGGGCAAATCACAAGGTCAGGAGATCGAGACCATCCTGGCTAACACGGTGAAACCCCGTCTCTACTAAAAATACAAAAAATTAGCCAGGCATGGTGGTGGGCGCCTGCAGTCCCTGCTACTCAGGAGGCTGAGGCAGGAGAACGGCGTGAACCCAGGAGGTGGAGCTTGCAGTGAGCTGAGATCGCACCACTGCACTCCAGCCTGGGCGACAAAGCGAGACTTCGTCTCAAAAAAAAAAAAAAAAAAAAAAAGAAAGAAAAAAGAAAAGAACCAATGGTTTTCACACTATTTATTCAATTCCCACCCCTATCGCTTTCAACTCTGAGTCAGGATTGAAAAGAACTGTGTACAGTCCTGACAGTTCAAGAGACAAAGTTCTCACATGTCCCAGTAAACACATGATTTTTTTTTCCCAAGAGTTTGCCCATAGCAAATTGTTTTCCTATTAGCCTAAGTGTTGAACTGGATTTGAAAATCTGGCAAATATCTTGTGCCCATTTAGACTCACAGTACAGAGGGGACCTCCTCGAGAAGGGCTTGAGGGATACCAGTGTATCTTTGCACACTGTTTGAGACCCATGGACTTCTTAAGAGCCAACTCAAATCTTTCCTCTCATCTGCCCAGCAACACTTTTTGGCAGATAAGGAAAATTGAAGTTCCAGCAGACCTGAGACAGAACCTAGTATGTGCTACCCACCTGTAAGTCAGAGTTTTTCTGCTGTGTTTGCTGTCACTCATGTAATCATCCCTGGTTGCTCTATTCTTCCTATTGCATTAATTATGGAGAAGATGGAGTTCCTGGCTGTTATATTATAAACCATATATATATGTTATCCGGATATGCAGTGGGGGTCAGTAAATATCCCTTTCTATCTCTTCTCTAAATTTTCCCAAATTCAAAACTTCATTATTTTTAGTTTTCCTATGAAATATTATATCCATTAATCTCTGTGTCTCTTTCTCTCTGTTGACCTCTCTGTACTTCTGTCTTCAACTCTGTCTCTCAGTCATCTCTTCCTCCATCACTCTCTCCCTCTTTCTCTCTTGCCATCTCTCACTATCTCTTCCCTTGCTTTAGAAATTCACTTCATGGTGTCAGATCCATTTTTGTAAACAAGAAGAGACAAGTGCTATTCCAAAGTAGATTTTGGGGTACTTCCTTATCCTAAGCCACCTCATTCATTTTGTCCCACCACTGTTGGGCCAAACAGTCTCAGGTTTAATGCACTTCACTTTCTTAATATGACTTACAGCTCTGTTCTTAGTCTCAGTCCAAACCATTGGTCAGGTACTCATCCATTCAAGCCCTGCAAATCAATCTGCTCTGCTGATTTCTGCCTTTTCCTTCTTCTTTATTCATTTTACCCACACTTTTAACGTTCCATCCAAAGTGTTCTCATAGGAAGGTTTTTTACCCAGACACCTACCCACTCCACTCCTACCCTTCCCCATCTGGTAAACTCCTCTCATCTTCTAGAATTTCCATCAGTCCTGCAAAATTGTCACAACTACTGTGTTTAACAAACACACACTTCACTGTAGGGTGCAGGGATATTTGCATAATACCAGGTAGCAGCTTTTTTGAATAAAATTCAGAGGAATGGTCCAATATTATAATTCATGAATGTAAATTCATTCAGGAATGGCAATATGTTAATCAATGCAGGCTCCTCCCTTCTTCCTCAGAGAGGGATTTTGCCCTGTCAAAGAAAAAGGAACAAGTCTAATCAAGATATCCAATTCACTTAGTTGCAGAGGTTTGTAACTCTTCTGGGAGAGTTTTTGCAAAGGAAGAGCTTTGTTCAAAGGCATCCATGCTAGAGAAAGCCCCAAGGTTCAGAACAGCAATTAAAATTAAAATCAGCCAGAGTGGAGGTGAGGCAAGAAGAGCAGAGAACTGATTGTTTTCCCTGATGAGGCGGACAGCTGTGGCAGGACAGGATTGTGTGAAGATCAGAGGGTAGGGGAGGCAGTGCCTGGCTGGTCTAGAAATCTAAGGTTTCTTTACATAGGGAGGGGAGGGAGAAGATACAGCCTGGCCCCAGTGCTTGCTTTGGTTAAACTGGGATGTTTTACCCCACTGTCTGGACACGAGAAGTAGCTACTTTCCAGAAGGGTAAAATTATTTTGTTCCCACCTTTAAATGCTCAGGAAAAATATCAAATGGGAAAATTGAACCGGGAAAAAAAACAGTTGATGCCTTGAAACAGAACCCAGTAAAAGTGAGAACTTTTTCTTTTCTTTCTTTTCTTTTTTTTCCTTCCTTTCTCTCTCCCTCCCTCCTGCTACCTCCTTCCTTCCTCCTATCCATCCCTCCCTCCCTTCCTTCCTTCCTTCTTCCTTCCTTCTTTCCTTCCTTCCTTCTTTCCTTCCTTCCCTCCTTTCTCTCTCTCTCGCTCTCTTTCTTTCTTCCTTTTTGAAAAAGGGTCTTTCACTCTCACTTAGGCATGATCATGGCTCACTGCAGCCTAAACTTCCTGGGCTCTCAAGTAATCCTCCTGCCTCAGCCTCCTGAGTAGCTAAGACTGTAAGTACACACCACTATACCTGGCTAATTTATTTTAAATTTTTTGTAGAGACAGGGACTTACTATGTTGCCCAAACTGATCTCAAACTCCTGGGCTCAAGCGATCCTCCCCCTTCAGCCTCCTTAGTAGCCGGGACGACAGGCACAAGCCACTGCACCTGGCTAGAGGCAGGACCCTCATTCAATACGTGGTGACGAGGTCCCTGAAAAGAATGCCCCAAAGCGTTCCAGACTACATAGAAATTCTAGGAGCTTTCTTATACCCAAAAGAGGAAAAACTATCATTTATCAGCAGTTATTATGTGCCAGACATGATTTATTGCTCCAAAAGTATTGCAATTCTGCAAGAAAAATATTTTTAGGCCCATTTTACAGTTGTGGGAACTAAGGTTGTACCAACTAAGAAGTTGGTAGAGCCAGGACTCAAAACCAGCTCAGGCTAATTCCAGAACAGATGTTCTTTCATTCTTTGAGGGAAGGAGAGAAATGTACATCCCTCAGTACACTGTAATTTAACAGACTTCCTATAAGAATCCACTAGTTCCTACCTTTAGGAAATTAGTCTGAATGCGAGTCCCAGTTCAAATGCTTTTCTCCATCATTCCTGTGAACACTTGTATTATTGAATCATTATTCTTGATGATATTTCAAAATTATGACTATTTAGAATGAAAACTTCAACTGTCAGCACACAAGAAGGGATTCTTCAAGAGAAAGATACTACATGGATGATTTCTGATAGGCCTTTTGTAAATCACCTGTATCAATGATCCCGGCTGCACGTCAGAATCACCTGGTGATATTTTAAAACTAAATGCCCAACCTTAGGCCTGGAGCTTCTGTTCTGTAGGTTTGGATCCAGGATTAGCAATCGTTCCTATTAAAAAGTTGCTATGCTTGTGTTGATCTGCAGCCGGAGCTGATACCCACAGACACAGGGCAAAAACAGATTACAGATTTCTTCTCTGTTCTGTCACTTGCAAATGCAATCACAATGCAATCAAAGAGAGGCATAAATCCCTGATCCAAAAACTCTTCCAGAGCAACACAAAGCAATCACAGAATCGTTTTTTAAAAATGCAGGCCAAAGCTAAGCATAAACTAGGGCAGGAAAACCACCAGATGTGAACATATTAAGCTTTATTTTAAGGGATCTCAACTGGAAATTGTTTAAACGGGAGCATGAGTGCAGTGAGGTGGCAGATGGTGAGTGGCCCGGAGGAGAAAGGCAGCCTCCTCTCGCAATCCTACCTTAATCCAGTCCCACCTCTCTGGTCACCACTATGGGAGGTGCTGAACTGTTTCTTTGGCACAACTGCTCTCTGGCTATACTGGAGCCATTCCCATTTTAATCCAGACTTGATCCTTTCAAATAGACAAAGTCTCAAATGTCACCATTTTCAGAACTGTAACTGTAACAGTAATATCCCAAAATGTATTACGCATTTGCCTTATGTACCGAAGCTCATCATCATCCCCATCATCAACAGTCTCCATAAAAGTCTGGAGTTTTATTTATTTTTATTTATTTGTGGGGAGGGGATGGTCTGTACAATTTTTATTGGAAAACCACATGCAGAGAAGTACCCAAGCGTAAGGACTAACTTGATGAATTTTCACAAAGTGAACACAGCTAGGATGGAACCAGTACCTATATCAAGAAACAGAATATGAGTGTGGGCTGTTTTTGGACTTAATACAAATGGAATCATATATGTACTCTTTGGATCTGGCTTCTTTCAATATTATTCTTTCAAATATTAGGTTTGTAAGATTCATCTGTGCTGTGTGTAGTTCCTTCCTATTCTTTGTCTAGGGTTCCAAAGTATAGTATACCACAATTTATCCATTCTACTTCTTTAAAACTTTTTTTAATTTTTAACTTTTATATATTTAGAGGGAAAAGTGCAAGACGTCTTACATGCATCTATTGCACTGTGGTGAGGTCTGGGCTTTTAGGGTGCCCATCACCCGAATAGTGAACATGGTACCCAATAGGTAATTTTTCAGCCCTCACTGTCCTCCCATCCTCCCACCATCTGTGGTCTCCAGTGTCTATTATTCCACTCTGTATGTCCATGAGTAACCATTGTTTAGCTCAGCTCCCACTTGTAAGTGAGAACATGCAGTACTTGAAAGGCCAGAGCTTTAAAACCAAATGCACAGAGAGAAGAATGAAAGTGTTTCCCATGGGCCTTAGAATGTCAGGAAGAACTGTCCACCATGCACGCTGTCTTCATGGATGGTAGTCTGAGGACAGTATGCCAGCACCAGGATCTCCTACAAGAGCTGCATCCGCCTGCTACAAGGTCCAACTTCTGGGATTCACCAGGTTAGTTCAGAAGAGCTTTTGTTTTTTGCTTTTGTTTTGAGAGGGAGTCTCGCTCTGTTGCCTCGGCTGGAGTACAGTGGCATGATCTCGGCTCCTGGGTTCAAGCGATTCTCCTGCCTCAGCTTCCCAAGTAGCTGGGACTACAGGTATGCACCACCACACCCAGCTCATTTTTGTATTTTTAGTAGAGATGGGTTTTCACTCTGTGTTGGCCAGGCTGGTCTCAAACTCTTGACCTCAGGTGATCCACCTGCCTTGGCCTCCCAAAGTGCTGGGATTACAGGCAAGAGCCACTGCGCCCAGCCCAGAAGAGCTTTGGATGTCTTCCAATAGCGTTGTTTTAAGAGTTTGGCAGATACATTTCAGGGTCACAGAGAGACATCACAATAGCCTCTAGTAAGCAGAATAGGGGTGTCAGCACAGAGGGTCATGTAACCTGAACAGATGAGGCTCTGGAAGGAAGCAGGCTGTGCATTCCCTGACAGCCCTTTCCCTGAGGGGATGAAGCAGAAAGGTGAAGGAAACATCCCATGGAAAGTAAGACTTAATGAGCCTTTCTGTGAAGGGCGGGGAAGAATGAGCCTGACAACACTGAGGCTGGGAGAGAGGACAGCCCATGAGAAGTGAGGTCCATTCCAGGCAGCAGAAGTTCAGTGTGACCAAAGTACAGAATTATAGAGTGGGAAGCCCCAGGGGTTAGAGATGAGGCTGTGAGGCAGGCCCTGCAAAGCATGTTGGGAAGTTTAGACTTCACTCGAGATGCCATGGGGTACAGCTGCAGGGTAAAGCCGGTGAGTGATAAGAACAAATATGCAATCCAGAAGATTATGCAAGCCAAGAAATGGACTAAAAGAGTGAGTCACCAGTAAGAGGAGATGAGCTAGGAGGCCAGACAGGAGAAAATGGTAGCCAGGGTGAGAATAAGAGAAGAAAGTGAATAGAAGAAACAAAGGATCTCATAATGCTCAGAGGCACTGTCAGCAAGACCCGAGGGTTCATTTGTTTGATGGAGGCAGGAAAGGTGAAAGACAAAGAGAGAAGAGAGAGTAAACACTTCATGATGATTCCAGCACTATTTATTGGGAGCAGAGAGATACTGGGACCATTTTGGACTTCTGAGTTTGGGTTCCTGGGACATCCAAGCAGAGGTGTCCAGTAGGCAAGTGACTAGCAAGCCTGGAGCTCATTCAGGACACTTCCCTTCTCCCCATCAAGTTAATTTTGCTCTTCTGTCACCTCTTTATATTTCCCTCCCGGTGACATATAACCATCACCAGAAAATTCTCTAGGGAAAGCTAATGCCATAGGCAAATGCCCAGTGGTATGCTGGTAAATGTTGACAATTGCTTATTCCCATCCCACCGTCCCTCAAAAAGCCCTGATTTGCAGCATTTGCCAGTTTCCATGGTGTCAATATTGTCTGTATGGCCAGGTTCAAGACACCAATGTGACATCACTGCATGTGGAATTGGGAAGAGATGTGTAGAACCAGAGTTCACAAGCCTGAGTGAACCAGTTCCACAAACCAAGGCACACACCCATCAAACCCAAAATAAATAACACCCCAAGGCAGAGTGCAAGACACACTGACCCATCAGGCCAATCCAAGTGACCTCTGCTCTCGAAGACCTGTGTCGTACAAAAGTCCTAGAAAAAAATAATTCTATGGGTGCCTGGGAATATCATAGACCTTAAGTGAAATTGAGCTGAACCCTAGTTTGATCCCTGTTCTCTAAAGGAAGGATCAGCACTTTACAACCTCAAAGTCAAATTTGGCCAGCAGCCTGACTTTAAAGTCAGCCTGCTAAGAATAATTTTTACATTTTTTAACTAATTTTTTTTTTTAGACACAGAGATCTCACTGTGTCATGCAGGCTAGAATGCAGTGGGGCGATAATAGCTCACTGCAGCCTCAAACTTGTAGGCTCAAGCAATCCTCCCACCTCAGCCTCTCAAGTAACTGGGACATATAGGTGTATGCCACCATGCCTGCTATTTTTTATTTTTATTTTTTTATTAAGAGACAAGATCATGCTATATGGCCCAGACTGGTCTTGGACTCCTGGCCTCACCTGATCCTCCTGCTTCGGCTTCCCAAAGTGCTGGGATTACAGGCATGAGCCACTGTGCCCAGACAGTTTTTACATTTTAAAATGGTGGCATTTTTAAATAGTTCTGTAAGTACCTATATAATATCCTTGATTTTGCCTGTTAGCACACAACCCCCAAAGCCTAAAATATTTACCACCTGGCCCTTTAAGAAAAAGTGTGGTGACTACTGTTTTAAAGAGCCCTGAAGACAAAGCCAGATCTGCTTCCTAATGCCTCCTGGGCACCACCAAAGCAAGTACTTTTTTTTTCCTCTCCTCTCCCAGGCCATCTCCAAGCTCCTCAGATTGGGAAAACACATATCGAAATCAGGAGGCCAGATTGAATTAGCCTCTCCACTCTCAGGCTCCTTTGCCACTTGCTCCATCCAGGGCTCATCCTGGGCTTCTCTGTCTGCTCCCTCCCCTGCTGGACTCTGCTGAAGCCAAACCACAGGGTGTGAGTCAGGCTTTCCCAGGGCCGACCTATGCAACCTGGAAGTGCAGGGCTTAGCTGCCCATGGGACAAACCTTGACTTACAGGACACAAAAGATACAAGGGAGCTAGCAAATAAATCGCCTCTCCACTCTTCCCTCCAGTGGATGGTTCTGAAGCATGATATTCCTGTGTAACCTGTCTAGATTCATCCTGTGGAGTCAAGCACCTAGCTGTGTGCCTTGTGAAACAGCAGCCGGTTCAAAAAGCCACCTTCTCTACCTCCTTTCTCTTTCCCTTCATTCTGGCTTCCCTGGGATTGTACCTCTTAATAAAATTTTAACACTTAAGCTGAGCATTAGGCTCTTTTTTCTAAGAGACCTGCCTAAGAAACCAGATGGTAAGGTATTATTTCTGATAATCCATCCCTTTCCTAAAGCAACAACAAACTAGGTCACCATGCCGTACCCCTTGAATAACTTCAGATGGCATAAGGCTTTAAAAAAGGCATGAAAAGAGCTTTTTTAGAGTCTTCTAAAAACCAAAGTGTTATGTGGTGCCCTTTTAAAAGCCATAGGATACATCCACTAGAAAAGAAAACCCTGAAAAAAGTATGAAAAATAATAGTGGCAACTAAAAGAAAGCCACCAGAGGCAATGAGCCCAGGAAAGCAAGACTAATTCAGTGAAATTTCTCAGTGGAGGCCAAAAGACTCATGACTCAGGATATTTGGGCTGCAATCTGACCTCAAAGGTGAGGGCCAAATAAATCCATTGGAATGGATCTTACTCATTTATTGACTAGGGAACTTGAGGAAGAAGCTTGATCTGGGACAGAAATGAAAGGAAAATAGAAACCCAGACAGATAAATAGAAACCAACTGTAGAAATGTAGTGGGTTGGCCAGGCACAGTGGCTCACATCTATAATCCCAGCACTTTGGGAGACTGAGGTGAGCAGATCACCTGAGGTCGGGAGTTAGAGACCAGCCTGACCAACATGGTGAAACTCCACCTCTACTACAAATACAAGATTAGCTGGGCATGGTGGTGCATGCCTGTAATCCCAGCTACTTGGGAGGCTGAGGCAGGAGAATCACTTGAACCTGGGAGGCAGAGGTTGCAGTGAGCCGAGATCGCACCATTGCGCTCTAGCCTGGGCAACAAGAGTGAAACTCCAACCCCCCACCAAAAAAAAAAAAAGAAAACAGAAAGAAATGTAGTAGGTTAAGGTGCATTGAGTGAATTTTAGGTAATGTGACAGTGCCAATGTATCTGTAACTTATCCACTGATATGGTTTGGATCTGTGTCCCTGCCCAAATCTCATGTTGAATTGTAATCCCCAGTGTTGGAGGTGAGGCCTGGTGGGAGGTGATTGGCTCATGAGGGTGGTTTCTCATGAATGGTTTAACACCATCCCTTGGTGCTGTTCTCATGATAGTGCATGTGGCTTGGGACCCTGTGCCCCAGGCCACAGCCCTTGTGTTACTGAAATGCCTGCAGTTCAATCTAGGTCCTATTGCTCACTGCACAGAAAGACAATCACTGAGACAGCCATTATTGCCAAGAAAGAAGGCTTTAATCAGATGCTGCAGCCAAGGAGATGAGAGGTCAGTCTCAAATCCATCTCCCTGACTGACTAAAATCCAGGATTTATATAGCAGGGAAGAAATGTAACTATATGCAGGAAAATGGGAATCAGGGAAGGATAAGGAAGAGGAGCTGGTCAACAGGAGGCAGGTGGTTGGTTAGACAGTCATGATGGGTGAGGGGTCCAGCATCTCATTGTGCAGATGCAGTGATCTGGTGAGTTTCAGTTCCTTGATACTCTCTGGGAGTCCTGATAGTTGGTTTCCTGAGAAAGGAACTCAGATAAGACAGATAAGATAGTGAGTGAGTTCTCATGAAATCTGGTTGTTTAAAAGTGTGTAGCACCTCCCTGCTCCCTCTCTTCCTCCTGCTCAGCCATGTGAAGTGCCAGCTTCCCCTTCAATTTCTGCCATGATTGTAAGTTTCCTGAGGCCTCCCCAGAAGCCAAGCAGATACCAGTGTCATGCTTTCTGTACAGCCTGTGGAACTGTGAGCCAATTAAACCTCTTTTCTTTATAAATTACCCAGTCTCAGGTATTCTTTAGAGCAGTGTGAGAACTGACGAATACATCTACATATCCGCTGTTTTGTCCCACAAGTCTTCTACAGGAATCTGTGCTCTGCTTCAGAAACTCTGCCCAAGGAGAATTCCATCCTTTGGAGGATCTTAGTAGATCTCCAGCAATAGATTCTTAGGGATGAAAGGGGGCTCTGAGTCCATTTTGCACATCCTTTCCCGTATCTTTTAACTTTTACCATTAAACTCCATCAAGCATGAATTGTTTTCCTTGACACTAGATGAAGGTGTTAACACTCAATTAGTGCTGCAAGTTCAAGAGTATCTCTAAACTAAGTGCATTAGCAGCAATGTGTCAGCACCCAAACACAGATTCTGGCATAGGGAACACATAATAAATATGGTTCAAGAAATTAGGCTGGGTGTAGTGGCCCACACCTGTAATCCCAGCACTTCAGGAGGCCCTGAAGTGGGAGGATTGCTTGAGCCCAGGAGTTCGAGACCAGTCTGGGCAACATGGCAAGACTCTACCTCTACAAAAAAATTAGCTGGGTGTGGTGGTGCACACCTGTGGTCCTGGCTACTTGGGAGGCTGAGGCGGGAGGAGGTAAGGGCTGCAGTGACCTATGATTGCACCACTGCACTCCAGCCTGGATGACAGAGTGAGACCACTGTCTCTAAAAAAACAAAATTATCAAACACATGGCCAGTCCTTGAATGCCTTTTTGTCCTTTTCTTAGGGCAGAAAGCATAAATCAATTTCAGTGGGCTTTCCGTAGAATCAAAAGACGTCCTCCATCGAGAAAAGAGTGACAAGCAGGCCTACATATTCCCCTTACCATAGCACATGGCTTAAATTCTGCCATTTGGGCTAAGAAGTTGAAAGATGTGGAGGTAAGAGACTCTTCCACTGCCTCCTTGCCTAGATAATCATTTGATGTGTCTCAAGGATTAAGTGAAATAAGGTTTGCAAAGCTTTTAGTACAATGCCTGGCACATCATAAGGGAGAAAGAAATGTTTGTTAATGTGGTGGATTTTACTATTGTCATTGTTGCTGTGGTTGTTACTTGCATGTTGTGTATTCAGGTGGAAGAGTTAAATTAGCAATCCCGTCTCAGCCTTTTCATGAGTTCCATCTAAATAACAAGCTTTATAGTAATCCTTTATCCAGACCTGTACAGGCTTTCCTGAGATGATTTCCAAACACAATCACACAATTTAAGCTTTAAAAAGGGGGAGGTATTAGGAGTGCTTTCTGTTCAACAAAAGCATTTAGGATTTTACAGGGGGAAAAAAAACCCAAAAATATAAATATAAACCTTCCTTGAGCCCAGCACATGGCAGAAATTTCCCAGAGGGCAGTAAATATTTGTCCAGGAATGACATGCACACCTAAAATTCAGGACAGAAAGACACTCCCCTGAATCCCTTCCTCTTGCAGGGTTCAAGGGTTATGGAAGTTTACCTCTAGTCTCAAAGACATTCTGACCTCCCCACGTCTAGCCTGCCTTCACCCGAGTTGCTCCCAGTTTCAAAGAATATTCTAAAAGCACACACAGAGAGAGTAGGTAGGATGCTGACACTTTGCTCTTATTCACACAGGGTAGCAGTGTGCTGGCGAAGTTTATGGCATTTGAAAACCAGGATAAAGTTTTGCATTTCCCTGATGGCTGCCAGTATCTGGGCACAGAGTCACTGCTTTGCAAACTGCATCCTTACCAACAAATACTCCCCATATTACCTGATACTAAAACTATCAGTTGATGTATTAAATAGAAATTTAGGCTCAGCCAGCAGAATTCTACCACAACTTCATTAAGGCAGAATACACAGGTGTATTGTAAATTGTTAAAACTTTCTATTTTCCCAATGCCTCAACATCCCCACAAACTAGCTGTGAACACCCCACCCAGGTGACCAGGTACCTTAGGGTGACAAAGATGGTCCTGGCCCCACGTTCCTCTTCTCACCCTCACATAACTATGACCCAGTGACATTCAAAAGCATCAATGAAATCACTCATTTCTTATGGGGTACTCTTCCAACCCCCAATAAAGGCACTTGCCTATGAGTCTTCACTCTCTCTCCCTCTCTCCCTCTCTCCTCCCCACCTGCTTGGTTGAGCCTCTCCTTGGAGCTCCTTCCCTATGGCCCCTCCTTCTCTAGGTGCTGAGAATATAATAAATCTTTTAACTGCCTATGCCTCCACATGCAACTTCCACAGTCGTGTTGGAGTGACCCTTAAAGGCCCCACAAGTAGGACTGGGCATGGTGGCTCACCCCTGTAATCCCAGCAGTTTGGGAGGCTGAGGCAAGAGGATCACTTGAGGCCAGGAGTTCAAGACCAGCTGGACAACATAGTGAAACCCTCTCTCTATAAAAAAAAAATTCAAAATTAGCTGAACGTGGTGGCACATGCCTGTTGTCACAGCTACTCAGGAGGCTGAGATGGGAGAATTGCTTGAGCCCAGGAGGTAGAGGCTGGAGAGAACCATGATTGTGCCACTGCACTCCAGCCTGGGCAACAGAGGGAGACCCTGTTTCAAAACAAACAAACAAACACACACAAAAACACAAGGAGGACTTGCTATCCATTTACAACACAACAGGTATTCTTGGGTGCCTCCTCTGAAGGGAACAACAGGGATTCTCCTCTCCAAGTTTATTCTCTCATGACTATCCTGCTAAGCCTACAAACCGGAAACAAATAGACACCTGCCTGCTCAGCCCTGAAAAAAAGAATCCTTTTCCTCTTGCCATTTATTCTTTCTAGCACACACACATTTATGCAGATTAACAGCATCCCCACTGGCCCCATGGCCTCCACTGGGATTCACGGAGCATAATCCTATCTTAACATAGATTTTACACTGTGCTATTGTCTTTTAGAGTCAAATGAACACCCCTCTGGGACACTGAAGGCTGAACACAGAACAAAGATGAAGAGGAGGGGGTGGCTGGGCATTTTCCATCACCCCAGGCCCCTGGGACCCTGTGTCCCAGGCCACAGCCCTTGTGTTACTGAAATGCCTGCAGTTCAATCTAGGTCCTATTGCTCACTGCACAGAAAGACAATCACTGAGACAGCCACTATTGCCAAGGAAGAAGGCTTTAATCGGGTGCTGCATCCAAGGAGATGAGCGGTCAGTCTCAAATCCATCTCCCTGACTGACTAAAATCCAGGATTTATATAGCAGGGAAGAAATGTAACTATATGCAGGAAAACGGGAATCAGGGAAGGATAAGGAAGAGGAGCTGGTCAACCGGAGGCAGGTGGTTGGTTAAACAGTCATGATGGGTGAGGGGTCCAGCATCTCATTGTGCAGATGCAGTGATCTGGTGAGTTTCAGTTCCTTGATACTCTCTGGGAGAACTGATGGTTGGTTTCCTGAGAAAGGAACTCAGATAAGACAAATGTAACTTTATCAAGTTTTAAGAATGGGAGGGTCAATTTCTATGTTTATTCAAAAGAAACCATAAACATCAGCTCTATGGGACAATTGAGCCCATTTCACCTGGGCCTTCATCTCAGGACCCAGGTAAATCTGCCCAGAAGAAGCAGGGAGAAGGTTGTCACCCTGTGGCCCTCACCCATTAGGAATGGTATGGATTGAGGACTGAGAAGACAAGGATGATGCATGGAGGACCCTGCAGCCATGAGGGGTAACCATGTAGACTTGTAGGACATTGCAGTAGACCCACCCGGTGCAGAGCTGGGGAGGGGCAGACATCCAGGAGTGAGACACATCCAGTGTGGATTCTAGAAAGCCCCCCTCCCAGAGAGTCAATGGTGCATCCTCTTGGTGATCTGACCCCAAAGTGGGAGGAGGGTGCTATCCCCTGGGAATGTTCCCTCTTCTCAGTAGCACTGGGAGTTGAGAAGGAAAGAGAATGAGCCACATGCACATAGACTTCACACATTGCCAAAATCACTCTCCAGGAATCTCCATAAGAAATTGGCCTCGGAACCCAAAGAACTTAAAACAGAACACCATTGGACCTAGCAACACCATTACTGTGTATCTACTCAAAGGAATATAAATCATTCTGCCAAAAAGACACATGCACTTGTATGTTCATCGCCATGCTATTTGCAATAACAAAGACATGGAATCAACCTAGGTGCCCATCAACAGTGGACTGAATAAAGAAAATGTGATACATATACACCATGGAATATTGCACAGCCATAAAAAAGAATGAAATCGCGTCCTTAGCAGCAACATGGATGCAGCTAGAGGCCATTATCCTAAGTATGTTAATTCACCATTTCCTTTGAATTTGTGAGACTGTAAAGTAACAGAAAGCCATATACCATCTCGTTTATTAAGTGGGAGCTAAACATTGAGTACACATGGATAGAAAGATGGGAACAACAGACACTGGGGACTACTAGATGGGGATGGGTAGGAGGTGGGGCAAGGGTCTGAAAACTACCTATTAGGTACTATGCTCAGTACCTGGGTGATGGGATCAATCATATTACAAACCTAGCTGAATCTAAAATAAAACTCAAGAAAAAAAGAGAGTCAAATGAACCGGAGACTTCTCTCATACCTCTGACTTTGTAGTGTTGTTTCTTCCCCTCTTGTCTCCTTTTTCTGAGATGAAAGAATAGCCTCACTCAGCTGCTAATCGCCTGCTCAGAGGCACTGACAGTCACTAGGAAAGGGTGGCAGGGCTCTAAGGGGGCAGAGGCCATGCACATGTGGCATGCAGCCCTGCAAGGAGCTGGGGGAAGCATCCCCAGAGGAGAGAAGTTGCTCACCATCCTTTAGCAGACTTCCTACACTCAGCTGCCTTTGCATGAAGGTAAAATCCTAAGCACCTTCTTCATAAAGCTGTTAAGAAACACAGATTTCTTCTGGGCTTCCACAGCCGATGTCACCTTTCCTCCCCTGCACCTGGAGACTGCCCTTTGGGCATCTGTAATGAATGAGCTTCTGTGGTGCTGCAGAAAGAGCCCAGCAGTCAGAAGGCCTGGTTTTAAGAGAGGTAGACTAGATATCTCAAGAACCGTTCTAGACCAGTGACAATTCTAACACTGAGTGAGTGAAGAAGAGTGCTTTAGATTTTGCCCGGGACCCAGAGTGGAAGAAGGTTGCCTTCCTCAGGACTTGAGCTCAACTAAGATAGCTAGTTAGACCAGACTCACACCTGGATGAGATCAAAACAAGGGGACACTAGAAAATGGAGAGAAACAGCAACGTCATGATTTTTAGTCATATTCAGGATTGTAAGTCAATACTAAGGAAGCTCCTGGAAAAGCGAGTATATCCATTAATCAACCTAAACTTAATTCAATGAATATTAAAAAGGGGAGGAAAGGGAGATGCTAAAATTTTACTCCACCATTTTCTAGAAATGTCCTAACTCTCTAGTTGAGACCTGGGGGAGAAGGTTGTCAGGGGTTCATGTTGGACAGGTCACCTAGGCTCCCAGGCTTGGGATCATCTTGATGAACAGCTGGGACCATCACCCTGTGGCTGCCACTCTCCACTGCTCAGCTGAGTCTTCAGCAGCACGATGGCTGTCTGTCCTCCTTCCAAGTCTAGACACAACCTCTTCCCTCCTAAGGGGGACACCATGTTCTAGTCAACAGGGAAAAGCCAACAGCAATAGTTTTCACATGAGAGAGGTGGGAAATCCCTAAATAAAACAGAAGTCGGTCCAACAGCCCTTGCAATGCCCTTTAAACTCTGGCAAAACAACAGCTGCCTTGTTCTGATTCAATCTAATCTTTCAGAATTTATGTTCCTGAATTCTCTTACTTGGCCTCAATACAGACAAAGGAAGTACATGGCCTTTGCCAAGTCAGGTCCTGCTGCCCTGCCAAGTCACAAGCATTCTCAAAAATCAGGAGGCCCATGTTCCTCCAGGCAGCTACCCTGTGACATACCTGGCACACTGGACTCAGACATCAGGTGGGTTAAAGGAGTCTGTCTGGGAAGGTTGGGCTTTTCGAAGGATCTCAAGAGGTGGTGATGTTTCTTCTTGGGAGTCACTGAGATTTCATGGATGGACTCCAGTGTCGTTCCCCGAATTGAAACTCACAGACTAACTGCTGCCTGATGAAGTATGCTCTACGAGAAGCTGATTTTGAGACCAGACACAAGCCTGTGTCACAGCAAAGTGGGAAGAATATACTCGCTCCTGGGGAGTTAAATTGAACCCCAACATCAGCCCTAACACACCTCCAAAGATGGATATAAAAGTAAGAATCCCATGAACCCTTTTTGAAAGCACTGTGATGTAAAGAGGTTGCAGATTGGGATGGGGTCATCTAGATCTATTTTAAAATAACCCTGACCCAGAAGCAGGTAATATACAAATGATTTGCTTGTATCCAGAGCTGATTTTGAAAAAACATCACATCAAAGTAGCAGTGCTGCTGAGTGCTCAGTCTGTGTTATTTGACCACCCTCCGTGGCCTTCGTGGTCACACCAGGACACACAAGTCACCCAGAGCCAGGAGAACTTGGTGCAAAGCTCAAGACTTTCAGTGGGTGAACCACTAGATGGAAACAAATTACCTCTTCTGAAGACTCAATCTTCTCAAACAAAGGGAATTTACTTTATATAAACAAGCACATAAGTGACAAGAAGGCACACGTTTCTAAATCCTTCACCATTATTGCATAAAAATGACTGGGTGCCAACACCACAATGGTCCCTCTGAGAACAGAGAGAAGGCATGGTCTTCACATAGAGTTTCATGTGGCAAAGAAAAATAAAATGACCCTCATATTTGGAAAACATATGATCCCCACAAGTGAAAATCGAGCTGATTCCATCCTGTTAAGAAGGAGAGGATGGATTGATGTCTGTCCGCATTGCCTTCCCTTGTTCTGAGGTTGCTTTGGGGAGCTGGGGAAGACATAATTGGAGATTTAATATTTCCTGTTCCCCTTCAGCAAGCATTCAAGAGGACTTATAGGGTCAGTTGCATTTGGGAAGGAATTGGAGAAGGGCAAAACAGAGATATGAAGAGAAAAACAATCATGACACTAAATGAAAGATACAAAGAAAATGAAAGATACAAAGACAATGAAAGATACAAATGAAATGAAAGACTCCAGCTGTTCCCAAAAGGAAAGGGGATAACACATTTGCAAGTAGCAGTGAATCCCATGGGCCGGGAATCTAAAAGGGAGGGGTCAGCTTTTCCAACATGAGGGACAACAGGAGGGGTCTGGTTCCCTTTTCTTACCCAGTGTCAAATTTTCTCATTCTAATACCCTAGAACACACATGCATCAATATTAAAAATCGTCACTTTTAAGTGGCACAATAAGGTACAGATTCATGAATTACTTGCACAAGGTAACCCAGCAGAGATTCAGTGCTAGAGCCTGTACAGTCCTCTAAATGTCCAAGACAGTGGGATCATCACTTGAGTTACCCACTTTGGACAGGTAAGTTTCTTGGATGTTAATCCACATATGAGCACACCCCAATTAAGGTTGCCAAATACAATACAGGACACTTGGGTACATTTGCATTTCAGATAAACAATGCATACTTTTTAATATACATATGTGCCAAATATTGCATGAGACATACTAAAACTTATTTATTATTTATCTGGAATTCAAATTTGTCCAGACATCCTGTGTTTTTATTTGTTAAATCTGGCAACCTTAATACCAATGGTTTTTGCTCCCCTTTCATTCTGGTCTTCCTGTTAGAAGTGCCATCCCCTCTCCTTGTACCTATTTCAATCATGCTCATCCTACAAGGCTTAGGTCACACCTTGCTGACTTTGGGGGTCTTCTCTTGACTTCTCCCACCCATGCTATTTGTCTCCCTTTGTCAACACCTAAAACATACTGACAGAACAGTATGGACCAGCCTGGGATATGCCATTGTTTCATTCTGAAATTGTTTTTTAAGCTTTCATTGCCTCTGTCCATCAATATTGCACGCTACTTGGATGGAAGCCATGCCTGCCTCTTTCCTGTGTTGTATCTGGTGTGAGGCTAGGCAGAAGAAGCTTCTCAATAACTGATGGAAAACTGCTTTAGGGCATACAGAGAAGTTGACCTGGGCAAGCTGATGCTATCTTTTTTTCCCCAAGTTTCTCCCAAGGCAAAGGGTGGAGAAGGAAGGGTCTAGAACAGGGGCGTCCCATCTGTTGGCTTCCCTGGACCACAGTGGAGGAAGAATGATCTTGGGCCACACATAACATACACTAACACTAACGATAGCTGATGAGTGAAATAAAAAATCACAAAACAATCTCATAGTGTTTTAAGAAAGTTTATGAATTTGTGTTAGGCCACATTCAAAACTGTCCTGGGCCATATGCAGCTCATGGGCTGCGGGTTGGATGAGCTTGGTCTAAAGGCTCAAAAACTGATTTGCACATAAATTAAAGATGACATTTGTGTGTGAGGTAAGAAGCCACAACCAAATGGTGAATTAGGAAAATTACAAGAGCAGGTGATATTACCGACCGGTAGATTTGCTTCTATGGAAATCTTCTCCCCTTCTAAAGTCTGCAAATACCATTAGATTTCTAAGCATTAGAGCTGGAAGGACCTTAAGCATCCCCTGGGCCAAACTATCAACATACAGGAGAAGAACTGAGACCTGGAGAGGAAAGTCACTTGTCTACAGTCCTATAGTGGGCTACAGACAGCCTCCTGGTCCCCAGGCCAAAGATCTTTCCATTTGTCAAACTGACCTTCAGTTTCAGGGTCAGAGTCTCATGCCAGGGGGCAGCTTTTCAGCTCTGCTCAATTTTTAAAATAACATTTGTTGTCTTTTTCTTTCTGTAAAAGGCATTTACTTTTAGTAGAAAATCTGGAAAATACAGAAGTACATAAAGAAGAAAATTCAAATTACCCACCAGCCAGAAAAATGCTATTATTAATATTGGATGTATTTGCTGTTATGCCTTTTTCTATGCTAGACTATAAGGGAGACAGGGATTAAATAAATCTTACTCATGTCTGTAACCTCAACCCCTAGCCCAGTGTCTGGTACATAAAAGGCACGCAATCTACACTTGTTAAATAAATGCCTGCATCACTATGCACATCAATATATGTATTATATATGCATACATATGTTTATGTAATTTTAAAAATGGAAGTCATTCTATTATAGTTCACCCAGTATTTTCCAGTTAACATTGTATTATATTTTCCAAAAAATATCCTCCTATAAAAATATTTTCAGTCACTGCATAGCATTCTGTTGTATAGCTAAACTGTGATTTACCCATCTCCAATTAATAGACATTTAGGTGGTTTCCATATTATTCTGAATAACAAATTGAGGATAACTATTTCTGGGCATGAGTCTTAGTGAGAATCAGTCTGTGGGGAAACTGGGCCTTTACTTTCACTAGTGGGGAAAGTTCGAGCAAACGCCATAGCGAAACAGCTACCTTGGATCATTTAATCATCCCTGCATAGGTCATTTGACTCAGCTTCCCTTACAAATCACGAGCCTTGAGTCAGATGATAGCATTAGATTATCAACTTAATTTTATCTCAGTTATAGCTTACATGGGGAAGTCACCTCGTGTGAGGGCGATAAGAATATCTGAAACAAAGGGCATTTTAAAGGTGATTTCATCAGTCCCGCTCTTAGCCAAAGAGCACTAAAAAGTAAATAAGTTCTCTCCTCTCCCAAACAAGTTCAAAATGTATATTCTAGGAATGTGACTTTAAATTCAAGAAAAATAAAATAGATGACTCAAATTCAAATCTAAGTATGACATTTATTTTTTCTAAATAAATCTGTCTGTAAGTTCCCTGCAGAACTTGCACTTGGCTGGACTTCTTTTTTTTTTTTTTTTTTGAGACAGGGTCTCACTCTGTCACCCAGGCTGGAGTGCAGTGATGTGGTCGCTACAGCCTTGAACACCTGGGCTCAAGCGGGTCTCCCATCTTAGCCTCCCAAGCATCTGGGGCCATAGGCACACACCACCACGCCCAGCCAATTTTCTAATTATTTATAGAGATGAGGTCTCGCCATGTTGCGCAGGTTGGTCTCGAGCTCCTGGGCTCAAGCAATCCTCCTGCCTTGGTCTTCCAAAGTGCTGGAATTACAGGCATGAGCCACCACACCCGGTTGGTTGAACGTTTTTCAATGATGGTATATTACACATCCACTGACATTCAGCAACCTATGAGTTCATGTTGCCGCTTTCACTTTCCCTTTCAGCTAAAGCAAAGCAGAACAGAGCGGATCTTTCAGCGGCTAGGGGCCTCAGTTCTAAGAAGTAAAGGGGATCTTCATGGTATTGTTTTGTGTGCTGCTCTGAGCACTGACATTAAAGAAAGTGGCCGGAGAAGAAGTGGGCAGAGCAGGTTCCTTCCTCACCAGCGTCACCTGCTTTTCTCTTCCAAGTTCAAACTCGGCTTAGGTCCCCGCCTAGGGAAAAGGACATCAGATTCCAGGACTGGCCTGCTGTACCAGGCGGAGAGCACGAGAAACCTTCCTGCTGTATGGTGTTTTGGCATAGATATTCTGGATGTGACTTGAGACTGCTTGCTGTTTCCGGACCATTTACACCCATTGTTGTCTTGTGAGCCCAGTCACGGCCTGACACGGAACGCCTCTCATGTAATCTTCTCATAGGAATCTAACTAATGCAGAGTGCTGTGGCATTGTCAGCCCTCATCTTACACACTGCTCAGGATGCAAAGGTGGCTAGTATAGTAACATCTGCCTCTTTAGCAAGAGCCTCAGTTGCTCCAATTTAAATACGGGGAGGGAGCTGGGTGCAGTGGCTTATGCCTGTAATCCCAGCGTTTTGGGAGCCAAGGCAGGAAGATCGCTTGAGCCAAGGAGTTCAAGACCAGCCTGGGCAAATTAGCAAGACCTCCTCTCTACGAAATTTTTTTAGAAAACTTAGACAGGAGGCCAGGCCCAGTGGCTCATGCCTGTAATCTCAGCACTTTGGGAGGCCAAGGGGGACGGATCACTTGAGGTCAGGAGTTCGAGATCAGCCTAGCCATGATGGTGAAACCCCTTCTCTACCAAAAAAATACAATTACAGGCACGTGGTGGCGCATGCCTGTAATCCCAGCTACTCAGGAGGCTGGGGTGGGAGTATCACTTGAACCTGGGAGGCGGAGGTTGCAGTGAGCCGAGATCGCACCACTGTACTCTAGTCTGGGTGACAGAGTGAGACCCTGTCTCCAAAAAAAAAGAAAAAAAGTTAGACAGGAGTGGTGGCAGGAGGATCAGTTGAGCCCAGGAGTTTGAAGTTGCGGTGACCTTTGATCGTGCCGCTGCACTCCAGCCTAGGTGACAGAGCAAGACTCTGTCTCTAAACAAATAATTAAGAAATAAACAAATAAATGGAGCTATTGAACAAGGAGAGCAAACATTTTTCATCTTAGGAGCTGAATAAACTTGAATAAACATGAATAAACTTCTACTTGCATTAACCACCTTGTAACATCTCAGTTCTACCTGACTAGTAGTAACCCTGTGAGTACTGTCTGAAGACTATCAGATCTTATCCAGAGCATAAGGAAAAAAGGGTTTAGAGTCACTGAGTGACAGGGCCTGAAGGAAAACCTAGCATACCCCAACCCCAAGCCTGTGAGCCCCTGAGAGCAGGCATTAGTCTGATTTGTCTCTGACCCCCAGATGCTGGTACAGTGCCTGGCACACGGTGAATACATGATTACAATGAGACAAAATGAAGACACAGAATACATGATCGATGGAAAGAAGAAACAAATCCTAAGAGTCTGACCACAGAGCTTAATTCTCTTTATGTTAAGTTGTTGCTGTTGCGTACAAACAAGAAATTCCTTCCCTAGCAGAGAAACATATTGCCACCCCTTCAAAAGATCAGAATGACTCTAACATGAGACACATCTTGCCAGGGCTGCTGGGGACTCACAGGGCAGGAAGAACAGGACAGAGGAGATGCTGTCTCTCCTCCACCTCAGGCTCAGCTAGCAAGACGCTGAGTGTGCTCCTTGCGGTGGCACCACACTGGCTTTTAGGTGCAGATGCTTGCTGGTCTTCTTTAGACTAGCCACCCTTAGAGCTTCCTAGGTAAGCTGTTTTCTCCCAGAGTTGAACAACGACAAAACAAAGGCGACACCAAGGGCACTTGCATAGCCAGCACTGTTCCAAGCATTATAGGCTGAGCACGGGAACGTGCACCTGTAGCCCAAGTTACTCGGGAGGCTGAGGTGAGAGGATCGCTTGAGCCCAGAGAGGTGAAGGCTGCAGTGAGCTGTGATCATGATTGTGCCACTGCACTTCAGCCTGGGCAACAGAGTGGGACCCCATCTCAAAAAATAAAACAAAAACAGAAACAAAAGAACAATCATTATAACACTCTACTGCTGGGTTTATGTCCTCTACAGATGGATAATACATGGCAATGATAGCACAAGGAAAAGTGTGAAGGAGAATATATTAGAGCAAAGTTCTAATATTTTACCTGAATTAAATCGGTATTAACCTGAACCAGATTTTGCTGAGTTCAGATGTATCTAGTAATTCCTAGAGCAACCAATGAAAAAATAGCTAAAAATCAAAACAAAACACTAAAAAAAAATCAAGAAAGGAACTAAAAGTGTCACACGAAAATATATTTGTTTAACATGAAAGAAGGCGATAAAAGAGGTACAGAAGACTAACTATTAAATGAGTTAATATCTGTAAAGCTCTCAGAACACTGCTGGCTACACCAAGTGCCCTTGGTGTCATCTTTGTTTTGTTGTCATTCAACTCTGGGAGAAAACAGAACTTACCCAGGTTTGGAAAGTCCAAAGAAGACCAGCAAGCATCTAAAAACCAGTGTGGTGCCACAGGCAGGGAGCAGCGCTCTGACAGCCTCAGAATTCTTAAGAAAATGTAACAATTGGTCGGGCGCGGTGGCTCACGCCTGTAATCCCAGCACTTTGGGAGGCTGAGGCAGGCGGATCACAAGGTCAGGAGATCAAGACCATCCTGGCTAACACGGTGAAACCCCATCTCTACTGAAATACAAAAAATTAGCTGGGCATTGTGGTGGGCGCCTGTAGTCCCAGCTACTCGGGAGGCTGAGGCAGGAGAATGGCATGAACCCGGGAGGTGGAGCTTGCAGTGAGCTGAGATTGCACCACTGCACTCCAGCCTGAGCGACAGAGTGAGACTCCGTCTCAAAAAAGAAAATGTAACAATTGCTGGGGGAGAAACTGAGAGGGGATGAGATGACATTGACCTTAAATAAGCCCCCAAGTGCATGGGTCCAAAAGATGCCTTGGAGTTTTAGCCAAGAGAGAAGGCTTGCACAAAGGTATCAGAAGCTGAAAGGGTTTTTCTAAAGATGTGTCAGTGACAACAGGGATCAACTGGAGTTGAGCCTGTTGGTGACACATTAATGAATGACAAGGATAAAGCAGAGTTCCAACCACTGCTCCCATGCTTCTGCCTTCTGAGGGAAGCAACATTGATGGGCTTGACTCCACGCCAAAAACCTTTCCCATGGGTTCATTGAATTCCAAGCCCAGGAAGGCAGAAACTAACATCCCCAACTAAACAATGGAGAAATGGAGTCAGCAAAAGAAATTGCACTCTCTTGAGGACACACAGCAATAATTGACAAATCAACATTCAAGTCCTACCTTTTTTGCTTCAACACCACAGCTACTATCTCGGTCAAATAAAAAGAGCTTTGGTGCTGGGCGCAGTGACTCATGCTTGTAATCCCAGTACTTCGGGAGGCCTAAGTGGGAGGATCTCTTGAGCTCAGGAGTTCAAGACCAGCCTGGCCAACATAACGAGATCGTGTCTCTATTTAAAACATTTTTTAAAAATTAAAACAAAATTAAAATTAAA
Organism: Homo sapiens; assembly: GCF_000001405.40. Taxonomy (NCBI): domain Eukaryota; kingdom Metazoa; phylum Chordata; class Mammalia; order Primates; family Hominidae; genus Homo; species Homo sapiens. The sequence continues at coordinate 29,495,862 of NC_000008.11, read as the reverse complement.
TAAAAATTGTAAAAAAGAACTTTGATCAAAAATTGGAATATTGAGAAAGAACTCAAGACTGAGCAAAATGAGTGAGGGTCTATAAGGGAGCGTTGAGTTGCCCCACATGAGTACAGCCTCCTGCCTTTGGTGAAGTCCACCCAATGCATGGAGAGAACCTATGTTTTAATTTCCTAGGGCTGCTGAAACAAAATACCACAAAGCAAGAGAAATTTATTCTCTCATAGCTCTAGAGGCTAGAAGTCCAAAATCAAGATGTTAGCAGAGTGATGCTCTCCCTTAAGGCTCCAGAAAAGTCTCTTCCTTGATCCTCTCATAGTTTCCGGTGTTGGCCAGCAACCTTAGCATTCCTTGCCTTGTGGCATCTTAATTCCAATGTCTGCCTCCGTGGTCAGATAGCATTCTCCCTGTGTCTATACCCAAATTTTCCTCTTCTTACAAGGATACCAGTCAAAGATTAAGACCCACCTTAATACAACATGACCTCACCATGACTTGATCATATCTGCAAAAATCCTATTTCCAAATAAAGTCCATTCACGGGTACCAGGGGTTAGGACTTCAACATATCTTTCAAGAGGACACAATTCAACTCATACCAGCCAGCAAATAAAACCACAGCTCCATTGTAGGAGGAGCCACAAGGCTGGAGAAGAGATAAGTGGCTCTTACATTTGCTCTCCTGACCTCCTGCCTCTGCTCAGAGAGCCCACATGAAGTAGATCGGCTTTCACAGACCCCTTCCCATTGGTGCAACCCTGACCTTCTTTCAACTGTGTTATCAGTGAAACAAGCTATTCTGCCTCAGAAGCAAGAAACAGGCTCTACCCTCTCTTTTTCTTCCTCAGTGCACCTCACAGATGGGTAAGGAGGGCCAGGACGCCATATTGGTTCACTCCTCCCATGTGGGAGACACACTGAGGTAGGCCCTTCTTTCCTGGGAAAAGACACACCATTTTCCAGCTTCTTTGCCTGAAGCTGGTGAAGTAAATTCAATTTCAAATGAAGATAGAAAACCTTATTACATTTCCCAATCTTTATACACAGACAACGGTCCCTCATGAATAAACTTCTATTTGCATTAACCACCCTGTTATATCTCAAAATGCTATCACTTATATTGCTTTATTTTATTCCTATAAGCTTCTCTGGTAAATTCGTGGGTATCATTATGCTCAATTTACAGATTAAGAGAAGTGAAATCTTGGAAAGAGTATCTTGTTCAAGACTGCACAGACAGTAAGTAAAAGAACAGGACATGAAATTCAGCAACTTGGACCCTAAAGTCCATGCTCTTTCCTAACCATTACTTCTTTCATGGTCTCCCCAGGTCCCATTGGAAGTTGGCTTACTACTAGACTGATCAGATGAGGAAAATTCATTAGCTATCAAGTAATAGGACATTATCTTGTCTGTAAATTGATCACGAGAAACTTTGTCCTGTCTTGGGCTGGATGCTATTATATTGCAATAGAAGGATGTATAACCGGTGAAAAGTCCAAAGTCTCCAGATGTTCACTGATGGACTGATAACTGAGATTCTAAATATGGTCAGTTCACCTACCTTAATGCCTGTCCATGTGCTCCTTTCCCCATCACAGCCTTCTGCCTGATCATCTCTTGCTCATGGTCACCCTCCTAACCCGTGGTCAGGGCTCCAGGCCTGCCTCCTACGCCCATGATCACTCCCCTAACTGGTGGCCAGGCCTCCAGCCCTGCCTCCTATGCCTATAATTGCTCTCCTAACTGGTGGTCAGGCCTCCAGCCCTACCTCTTACACCTCCTGCATTTGAATGAGGAGAAAGGATGGAGAGTGAGCAAATCACAGTCTAGGTTTGAATTCAAGCTAGAGACACGAGGATGGAAGAAGTGAAGGCTGCCAGAGATGTTTTGAAGGTAGAATTGACCCAATGTCATGATTCACTGGATACAAGGAATGAAGGAGAGGGAGTGCAAAATGACTCAGCAGTCTCTGACTCAGATGGCTGGGGTGGCGGAGGGTATTACTCAAGATGGCGAATACAGGAGGCTGTGCAGGTTTAGGGGAGGACCCAGGCAGGCTCACTTGAATGGACGTGTTGTATGGGCCTGGGCACTGTCTCTCAGGTGCCCAGTGAGCAGCCAGCTCTAGAGGAGAGCTGTCAGGGCCAGAGATTTGGGTAAGAGCATTGGATTTATGTCCTGGAGCTACCATGATAAATTACCACAAACTGGGTAGCTTAAAACAGAACATTTATTCTCTCACAGTTTTGGAGTCTAGAAGTTCAAAATCAAAGCATCAGCAGGGTTGGTTCCGTCTTGTGGACCCCTGAGAAAGAGCCATGCCATGCCTCTCTCCTTTCTAAGGTTGTGGCCATTCTTGGTGTTCCTTTGTTGGTAGAGAGATTACTCCAATCTCTGCCGCTTTCTTTATATGCCATCCTCCTCTCTTCTTCTTGTAAGAAGAACAGGTTTTCTTACAAGTCTCTGGATGTAGAGCCCACCCGAATCCAGATGACGTCATATTAACTAATTATATCTGCAAAGACCCTGTTTCCAAATGTCACATTCAGGGTTCTGGGTGGGCATGAATTTTGAGAAACACTATTCCATCCAGTACAGATGTTATTATCCACAGGCAAATGGAAAGGCAGGCTTGTACACATGAGAAAGCCAGAGAGAAAGACGCAGGAGGAGAGAAGAGCCAGGAGTGGAGGAGGCAGGCCAGTGGGAAGGAGGTGGGAGGGTCAATTCCAGGTGTCAACTTGACTGGATTGAGGGATGCCTAGATGGCTGGAGAAGCATCGTTTCTGGGTGTCTGTGAGGATATTTCCAGATAAGACTGGCATGTGGGTCAGTGAACAGAGAGAGGAAGGCTAGCCCTCAGTGTGGGTGGGTGCCGTCCAATCTGCTGGGGGCCTAGTTGGGACAAACAGGAGAAAGAAGGGGATGATTTATTCTTTCCATCCCTCTCTCTCACTCTCTCTCCCCTTTCCCCTCCAGAGCAAGATGCTTTTCTCCTCCTGCCCTTGGACATTGGACTTCAGGTTCTATAGCTGTCAGACTATGAGGCTTGTTCCACCAGCCTCCCAGGGCTTCTTGGGTCTTTGGCCTTGGACTGGGGGCTACATGGTCCACCTCCCTGGTTCTGAGGCTTTGAATTTGGACTGAGCCACACTACTAGCTTCTCTGGTTCTCCAGCTTGCAGATGGCCTAGCATGGGACTCCTCCATCTCTGTGATAATTTAAGCCAATTCCCTCATAAATTCCCTCTAATACATCCTATTGATTGTCTCTCTGGAGAACCCTGACTATTATAGGAGGCAAAACAGAACTCAGAGACATGTCCTGAGAACAGGAGACAACGGCATAGAAGCCAAAGAAGTGTGGGGTTTCCAAAGGGAAGAAGTGGTAAATGTTGCAGAAAAGCTAAGGAACAAAAACCAAGCAACCCAAACCAATTTTCCCATTGGGTTTGGCAATTAAAAGCTCGTGACTGACCTTCACTGCATGGTTTCAGTGGAGCGATGGGGCCGAGGTCTGATGGCCATGGGTTGCAGAAGAGAAGGGTGGCAAGGGGGTGGCAAGAGCAAAGACTGCTCTGAGAAATTTGTTTTGTGATGAGGGGCAAGGAAGGTAGACTCTAGAAGGTGTGCCAGGCAGGGGGAGACTCCTTATATATTTACTGTTTGGAAAATGAGAGACACTTAACCATAATAATATGCTGAAATAAAAGAGACCAGAGTAAAATATAGATTTTATATGTAAATGAAGGGGAAATTGATGAAACAGGAAACCTGAAAGGATAAGAATTAGGGCAGTTTGGGCAACAAGGCTTAGATAAAAAGGAGAGGCATTATGGTATAATAATATATTCAGGTTTTGTCCCCAATGCCTGGTACAGAGCCCCTAAAATCCTTGGGATTTCCTGAGTGATAGGAGTGTCTTTTGTTATTAATAATAAGTCCCTTTTGATCATTCCTGAGTTTATGCCAATGAGGTGACTTAGATAGGGGACCGAGATAGCTACAGGATGGGGATAGTCCTCAGAAAGACCAAACGATTAGAGGGCTAAAACTTTCAGGCCAGGCGCAATGGCTCATGCCTGTAATCCTAGCACTTTGGGAGGCCGAGGCAGGTGGATTACCTGAAGTCAGGAGTTCAAGATCAGCATGGCCAACATGGTGAAACCCCGTCTCTACAGAAATTAGCTGGGCATAGTAGTGGATACCTGTAATCCCAGCTACTTGGGAGACTGAGGCAGAAGAATCTCTTGGACCTGGGAGGCGAAGGTTGTGGTGAGCCGAGATCACACCATTGCACTCCAGCCTGGGCGACAGAGAGAGACTCTGTCTAAAAAACAAAACAAAACAAAACAAAACAAAACTTTCAGCCCCACCCACTGACATCTGGGAAATGGCATCAGGTCCTGGGGGTTAAGCTCTATAAAAACTACTGAAGGACAAGACATGGTGGGCTCCAGATGGCTGAAACTATGCAGGTGCTGGGAGGGTGGTGTGCCCAGAGACAGAGTGGAAGCTCCATGTCCTGCATCCCTAATGCCTTACTCTGTACATCTTTTCCATCTGCTCTTCCTGAGTAAACAGTAGACCTAAGTTCTGAGTGCCTGAGTTCTACTCATCATTCTAGCAAATTATCAAACCCAAGGAGGAGATCAGGAACCCTAACTTATAGCTGGTCACTCAGCATCCTGAGTCCCTGGGAGTACAGGCCTGGACTCCTGATTGGTGTCTGAAGTGGGGGGTGCAGTCTTGTGAGACTGAGCCCTGAACTCATGGGATCTGATGCTAACTCCAGGTAGATAGTATCAGAATTTAATGAAATTGTAGGACTCCTAGCTGGTATTCAGAAAATTGGAGACTTGCTTGGGGTGGAAAAAAAAAAAAAACCAACCCACACATCTATTAGAAGTGTTGTGTGAGGGTAAAGAGCAACTGTGTTGTTCTCTAGGCAGAGAATTCCTGGAGACAAAAACGAATTCCTGGAGGGAAGGATAAGCACAGTTGAAGAGTGAGAGGACTTGCTGGTGTTTAACTTGACGGCCCCATTCGTACTGATAAGAACAATGTCAGCACTGTTATTCATATTTGCTGTGATGGAGGGGCCAGATCAAGTGCTGAGGCTGACAAGAGGAAGCCAGCTGAGCTTCTGTGCAGAACTGCAGAGGCCCTGCTGTGGTTGGAGACCACAGATTTGCAGTCACACCCACCTGCCTTTCCTCCAACAGGGCTGCTGTTAGAAGGAATTGTTGCAAGGTCCAGCATTTGCACCCCCAAACCGCCACACAAGTACAGGCTGGTTAATGTGTTATTTTAGCAGGAGCTCGTGAGAGACAGACCTCAGAGTGTCTGCTAAGATAAATGAGTGGTCTAGTCACAATGGTGCACAGAAGTTCATGCTTCCTCACACCCACTCTGTACTGAACACATAAAAATGAGAGATAGAATATCAGAAGAGGAACCCACTAAGACACAGGTGGTCTCAGAAACAAGCTAAAGATCTCCAAAAGCCAGATGCAGATCCAAACCAAAGCAGTGTGTGGAACTGAAGCCTTCAGCCTGCAGGGTTCTGGGGCCAGAATCAGGCTGCTGAGAGGTCAGCTGCTTGAATAACAGGGACTCAACCTGTTCCTGCTTGAGGCTGAGAGGGAATCAGGCCTGACGCCACTCAAGAGGCAGCTGAAAAAAATGGCACCTGCCCAATGCCTGGGACTGTTTTAGGGAAAACAGAGGGAAAGATTCAGCCTCAGTTCCAGGACCTGTGTCCGCCACCTGCTGACCGGGACATTGGACCTGCCACATCCCCAAATCCCAGGGTGTAGAGAAAAGTCCCACCCAAATGACTATAGATGGGGTCCTGGTCCTAAGTTGAGGCCACTCAATCTTGCTGAACAGAGATGAAGACAGTAGCAGATGGGAGGCCATGGCATGTTTGAGCAATAGCAAGGGGGCCAGAGTGGGGAAGGCAGAGAAAATTCAGGGCAGTGTTAGGAGAGGAGGTGGAGGAGGAGCTGAGGATACATCATGCTGGCCCCTGAAGACAGCAGTGCTTGGGATTGGGATCCCAATGCAAAGAACAGCAGAATTTTTTTTTTAAGGAGGAAAGCACATCTGGACTAGAGAACTGTGAAGTGAATGCAATGGTTTGAAGTTGTTTTCTTTGGGCCCTCCAAGTTGAAATTTAATTCACAATGTTGCAGGTGGGGTCTGGTGGGAGGTATTTGGATTGTGGGGGTAGATTCTTCATGAATGGCTTGGTTCCATTCTCGCTGGAGGGAGCAAGTGAATTCTCACCCTTAGTTTCCATGAAAACTAAACATGGTGGTTGAACAGAGCCTGGCAACTCTTCCTTCCATTCTCTTGCTTCCTCTCTGATCTTGTGATCTTTGCACACTAGCTACTCTTCACCCTCTGCCATGAATGGAAGCAACCTGAGGCCCTCATCAGACATAGATCCTGGCGCCATGCTTCTTGTACAGCCTGCAGAACCGTGAGCCAAATAAACCTCTTTTCTTTATAAATTGTCAAGCCTAGGATATTCCTTTAGAGCAACACAAATGGACTAAGACTGTTAATATAGGAAAACTATTAAGCCAGTTTATCCAGGAATCCATTTTGAAAATGGACAATGGAGAAAAAATTTCTACTAAATATTAAAACATAAAGCCACAGTAAACAAAATAATGTCATATTAAAACATTATTAGGCCAGGCACGTTGGCTCACGCCTGTAATTCCAGCTCGTTGAGAGGCTGAAGTGGGTGGATCACCTGAGGTCAGGAGTTTCAGACCAGCCTGGCCAACCTGGTGAAACCCCATCTCTACTAAACATACAAAAATTAGTCCAGTGTGGTGGCAGTTGCCTGTAATCCCAGCTACTCGGGAGGCTGAGGCAGGAGAATTGCTTGAACCCAGGAAGCAGTGGTTGCAGTGAGCCAAGATTATGCCATTGCACTCTAGCCTGGATGACAAGAGTGAGACTCCATCTCAAAAAAACACAAAAAACAAAAAATATTATTAAGCAGACAGTTCAAGGTAACAGGCCTAAAATTCCAGAAATAGATGTAAATGTATTTAGTATAGGACAAAGTGGCATTTCAAATCTGGGGTAAAAATATATATTTGCAATACCCCAAACAATCACTGGTATAGTATTAAAAGCAAATCTGATTATGTCACACTTTTCTTAAAGTGGTTTACAATTGCTTTTGGGGTAAAACCCAAAGTTCTTGGCCTATAATATGAGGCTTCCCATCATCAAGAGCCTAACTACATTTATAACTTCTTCTCCTATACATTATCTAGCCACGAAAAGTTATAAACCACACAATACAAGACCTTCAATAAAACTATGCACATATTTTTTTCTTGATAAAACACTTCTGTACCGCTTAAGAAGTAGATAAAGAATTACTTAGAAAAATAGTCTTATTATCTGACAAAGGATAGATAGAGGCTCCTTTTACTAAAACATAAAGAAGTACCAACATTCCAAAGAATAACAGGCAAAAAAAAAGATCAATAGTTTACAAAAAAGGAAATCCAAGTGGCTCTTAAGTACATAAAATGACGTTCAAAAGAAATGAAAACACGTTGAGGTGACATGTTTCATCCACCAGATTAGCCAAGATCAAAGGATTGAATGACATGCCATATTGGTGAGCTTGCCGGGCATTTGCCCATTTTGCTGTCAAGCCCATTCCCAGCTCTTTTCCACCCTGCTGGTTTTACCATGTACCCCATCACCAAGAAGCCTCTGGAAGAATGGCCCTGCTGAAAGCTCAATCATTCTCCAGCTGTGAGACCACACACCATCAGGTGGGTATGCTCTCCTAACAGGAGGCAGCACACACCTTGAACCAGAGATCAATGTATCATATAGTTTCTTAATACTTGGGGACAGGAGCAAAGTGATGAAAGAGTGACTTCTCTCTATATACCTAACGGCCATTCACAGAATTTTTGCTTCCCAGCTTTGCAACCTTCCATTCTGCCCAATTAGAAGTATTGATTTCTATATTAAACAAACAAACAAAAAAAGAGGCCAGGCGCGGTGGTTCACGCCTGTAATCCCAGTACTTTGGGAGGCCAAGGCGGGCAGATCATGAGGTCAGGAGATCCAGACCATCCTGGCTAACATGGTGAAACCCCATCTCTACTAAAAATACAAAAAATTAGCCGGGCGTGGTGGCGGGCACCTGTAGTCCCAGCTACTCGGGAGGCTGAGGCAGGACAATGGCATGAACCCGGGAGGTGGAGCTTGCAGTGAGCCGAGATCGCCCCACTGCACTACAGTCTGGGTGACAGAGCAAAACTCCGTCTCAAAAAAAAAAAAAAAAAAAAGGATTGATTTCCAAGAGAAAAATGCACCCACCAGAGATACAACAATGGTTTCACAGAATTGGAAGTTGAGACCACCATCGGGCTGCTCTGGGATGCTCATGCCACCAAATCAATAGGCAGAGAAAGATGGCACGAGGAACGTCGTATTGGCTGCGGAGAGTAATCTCAATTTCTCTGAGAAAATCGGCTTTCTGTTATATGATGGGGCAGGGAAGTCTACATCTGAAACTGAAGAGATTCTCAGCAGTGCCTCTTAGTATTTCATCACCAACAGTAAAAGACAATGGAAGGCACTGCAGACCTGAAGGGGAAATCGAATAAAAAGACAGGACTATTAAGAAACCAGACCCTTTGGGAATAAAGACTTGAATCACTCCTCCAGGTAACGATTTCCAAACAGCCAGGTGCTGGCAGAGGTCAACGGGATTATGCAATGAGCGGTGGAAGAAGAGAGCGATAAATGTCAACTTCGACCTCATGGCCAGTGGCAGACATGGGGACTGAACAGCTACACCTGCTTCTGTAGGCATGTATTAACCCATTTTTTTCTTTTTCTTTCTCATTCCCTGACAGTTTTGCATGAGAGATGTTCATAGTAATTACGTTTACAACCGGAAGAACGACGTCCACGCCTGAGACCCTGGACTATCGAGGTGCACATAGTGAGAATGGGACTTTACTCATCTCCTTTTGGGGTCTGGGCTAAAGTGTCAGAGTTGGCACAAAGTACAGTTACATTCTGTTGGGTAGAAGCGCCAAGTCGTTGTTGTCTGGCAGTTAAATATGAAGCTGAGAGCAACAAGATTAGACGGTGCCAGGCCAGGGGCGGTGGCTCATTCCTGTAATCCCAGCACTTTGAGAGGCCGAGGTGGGCGGATCACCTGAGGTCAGGAGTTCGAGACCAGCCTGGCCAACCTGGTGAGACCCCATCCCTACTAAAAATACAAAATTAGCCTGGTATGGTGGCGGGTGCCTGTAATCCCAGCTACTCGGGAGGCTGAGGCAGGAGAATCACTTGAACATGGGAGGCGGAGGTTGCAGTAAGCCGAGATTGCACCACTGCACTCCAGCCTGGGCAACTCTGTCTGAAAAAAAAAAAAGAAAGAAAGAAAAGAATAGATGGAGCCATACTTTTTATTTTTGATTTGTTGTTGTTGCTGTTCCCAGATCCATTCTCCATCCTTCTCCACTCTGGTCTGCATCATGGGAAAATGCATTTATTTCCCAAGCTGAATTCAGGTGGTTTGCAGGAATGGGAGACACTGGTAGAAAACAGGAGGGTAGAGGCCGGGGCACTCCTCCCCTCCACTTTGCTTCAGGAGGCGTCTCCATCAGCAGCTACTTCTCCTCCACTCCCTCCTGACAGCCCCTCACTCCATCACCAGCTCCTGCCAGGCAGGCCTGCTGGGGTCCTGGCTTCGTCAATGGCCCTGCCTCCTGGAACCTATGATGTTGCCAAGTGGTTCTCTAGCTCTGGGGAGAGCAGCTCCTGCTGTTGCCTTTGCCCTGGGCTGCCTCACTATCCCATGTTAACCTCTCCAGCTCTCCCATCACCTGGGTACTCATTTCCCATTTTATGTCCCCCTCTGTTCAAAATCCCTAGAGACGTCTCCTTTTCTTGACTGGCCGCTGGCTGCTATGGCAAGGAAGTGGGAAAACCAGCAAGTAGGAGTATGAATTAGGACAGCCTTTGCTGGTGGGAGAGTAAACTGGCAAGACTCGATGCCAGAAAATTAGGCAATCTCTATATATCTATTAGAATTACAAAAGCGGAAGTCATTTGTCTCAGCAATTCCATTTGTAGAAATTTCTCCTATAGATATACTTGCACATGTTTAAATAATGTTTGTTTAAGATTATTCGTTACAGCATTGTTTGTAAAAGTAAAACACTGGCAACCACCTAAAAGTCCTCTGATGGGAGGTAGGTTAAATAGATAAGGAAACATTCATAAACTAATATGCAGTCATTGAAAAGAATGAGGAAGCTCTTTATTCACAGTTAAATTGCTAATAAATGAAAAAACAAAGTACTTAGCAGTGCCTATACTGCCACCATAAAAGGAATGAATATACAGAATATATTTACTTATATTCACAATGATTATTTGCAGCAAGAAACTGTTAATATTGGCTACCTCTGGAGAGAAAGACTGGGGAGATGGGAAAAAGAGATGAGAGAGAGATCGTTCACTGTTTACTCTTTAGTATACTTAGAATTTGACAATATATGAGGAATCACATATTTCAAAAATAAATAAAATTTAAGTTTTGTTAAAATGCAGCTCTATGCTGCTTACAAAAGACATGTAAAGCACACATACCCATGCAGAGCGAGACTGAGATTAGAAATAAATGAGTGGAAAATATATTCTATGAGAAACCTAGTAGAAAGAAACAGAGTTCTGGGAGTGACATTTAAATCAGACAAAATTAAAAGTAAAGGAAAAGCATCAACAGGGACAAAGAATGACATTATATAAAGCTTAATGGAAAAAAATTACCAGTCATAGGATAAAGAAAATGTGGTACATATACCCATGGAATACTATTCAGCCATAAAAAGGATTGAGACCATGTCCTTTACAGGGACACGGATGGAGCTGGAAGCCATTATCCTCAGTAAACTAATGCAGGAACAGAAAACCAAACACTGCATGTTCTCACTTATAAGTGGGAGCTGAACGATGAGAACACATGGACACATGGAAGGGGAACAACACACACTGGGGCCTGTTATTGGAGGGGTGGTGGGAGGAGAAAGAGTAACAGGAATAATAGCTAACGGATGCTGGGCTTAATACCTAGGTGATGGGATGATCTGTGCAGGAAACCACCATGGCACATGTTTACCTATGTAACAAACCTGCACATCCCACACCTGTACACCCGGCACTTAAAAGTTGAAGGAAAAAAGAAAATCTACCAGTAATAAATATGTATGTATGTAACAACAAAATCTCAAATATACAAAACAAAATCAAAAATAATCACAGAGAAGAAACTGATTGTGCCAATTAAAAAAATTAGTAACGGCAGAAGATTAGAACAATAAAATCAAGTCCCATCTGATAGACAAATATAGAATTTTTCACCAACAAATGCAGACTCTACATCCTTTTCAGACACACATAGAACATATATAAAAACTGATGCAGGTCCTTAGGAGATTGAAGACATCTCAATACATTTCAAAGAATCCATGCCATACAGACCACATTCCCTAACCATGTGTTGACCAGAAATCAATAATAAAAAGATTGTTTTACAATATGTTTGGAAACTTAAAAATTCACTTCTAAGTAACTCATAAACTTAAGTAGGATCATGGTGGAAATGGTTAGATATTTGGAACTTGCCAATACTGGAAATACTAAATATCAAAATTTGTGGAATGACTGTTTAGTGGGAAATTGATAACTGAATACACTTATTTAAAAAGCAAGAAAGATTGAAAATAAGTTAATAAGCTGGGCGCGGTAGCTCACGCCTGTAATCCCACCACTTTGGGAGGCTGAAGCGGGTGGATCTCGAGGTCAGGAGCTCAAGATCAGCCTGGCCAAAATGGTGACCCAGTCTCTACTAAATATACAAAAATTAGCCAGGCGTGGTGGCGGGTGCCTGTAATCCCAGCTCCTCGGGAGGCTGAGGCAGGAGAATCGCTTGAACCCGGGAGGCGGAGTTTGCCTTGAGCCGATATCGTGCCACTGCACTCCAGCCTGTGTGACAGAGTAAGACTCCATCTCAAAAAAAAAAAAAGAAAGAAAATAAGTTAATAAATCATTCATCTCTCAAAGCTAATAAATTTAGAGAAAATGGAAGAAAGGACTCTGTATTAGGATGTTTAAACACACACATCTAGTTTCTCTCCCTCCAGAAACTTCACTTTATAAAACTGTAGTAAAAGGATTTTTTTTCCAGACAGGGTCTTGCTCTTTGGCCCAGGCTAGAGCGCAGAGGCATGATCATGGCTTACTGCAGTCTACCTTCCAGGCTCAAGCCATCCTCCCTCCTCAGCCAAAAGGATTTCTTAAAAGGATAGAAAGCCCAGGTGTGGTGACTTGCACTTGTAATCCCCGTTACTCTGCAGGGTGAGGCAGAATGATACCTTGAACCCAGTAGTTCAAGACCAGCCTGGGCAATATAGTGAGACCTCATCTGTTTTTTGTTTTTGTTTGTTTGTTTGTTTGTTTGTTTGAGACGGATGGAGTTTCACTTTTGTTGCCCAAGCTAGAGTGCAGTGGTGTGATCTCGGCTCACTGAAACCTCTGCCTCCTGGTTTAAGCAATTCTCTGCCTCAGCCTCCCGAGTAGCTGGGATTATAGGCCTGTGCCACTATGCCTGGCTTTTTTCTTTCTTTCTTTTTTTTTTTTTTTTTGTATTTTTAGTAGAGGCAGAGTTTCACCATGTTGGTCAGGCTGGTTTCAAACTCCTGACCTCAGGTGATCTGCCCACCTTGGCCTCCCAAAGTGCTGGGATTGCAGGTGTGAGCCGCGGCACCTGGCCTTTTGTTTTTAGACAGAAAGGCACAAGCACAACAGAAAGGACAGAGGAGGAGACAACAATAAGAGACGGAAGCTGGAATGCAGGTGGCGGAATCATAACTGACTCTGCAGATCTGTGACAGGCACATCCTAAACCTGCAGTGGGAAGAACTGGGAACAAACCTGGTTGACTTGGTGGCAATTCTATAGGGCTAAGACGCTGGCAGTACCAAATACTTCCAGATTGGAAAGCAAGGGGGTACTACATGAAGCAGGATTTGGTGAAAGCTGCTTGAGAAACAGTAAATCCATAGAGTCCCCCTGGTACTCCACACTGCATATAACCACCCTCTCCCATCCTGGCAAAGGACCTCTACACTGGGGGCCACCAGACACAGCTGAAGATACAGGTGCCCTGCTCCAAACAGGGAGGTCATGTGTCATATGCAACTTGGTTGAGACAGGAGATCATAAGACTTTCCTCCATGGAATCTGATAGCCCAAGAGGAAAGACCTAAAGAGACTGACATCAGGGGTTTCCCCAATAAACAGCCCACTGAGGTCACTCCATGGTGAAGTCAAGTGATGACCAGTCTCCCTCATTCTCTCAGTGCTTCTGACCTCCTTTTTAATCTCCTACTTTTAACTATAGAAGCTTGGTAGCCAAGGATCACTTTCTCCAGACGGGGCTCTTATACATTCTCAAGAAATCTAAAGCCACAGCGTGACCCGAAGACTCTATTCAGCATTTATTCTCTGGCTGTGGAACTATTGCTCTTTCTTTGCACAGCTAGATTTGGGCTGGCTCCCCAATACTTCAAAACTGACCTCCAAAACATACTCAATACATATGTAGGTGGTAAAACTATAATTAAACAGGTGGTGCATCTCTGGGAGAAGGACACATTAAATGAGGTCAGTGCACGCCGGGGAGATCTGTGTGGGCCACCTTCCATTTGCACTCACTGGGATCCCTTCTCTGCCCTTCACTGCCCTGTTCTGAGCCCTGGGGAGGTCTGTCCCTACAGACCACATCATCAAGGCACCCTTGCCCTCTGGGTTTAACTTCTTTGGGGTTTAACCAATGGGAAATAACAGCAAAAAAAAAAAAGAAAAAAAATGAAAGCCTGGAGAAGACAGATGTCAAGATATTTATTCCCCCACACGCTCCTACTTTGGCACGTTTCTACCATAAACTACATCTCCCTAGATGATCATTCCTGTAGTGTGGCCCCTCTTCAGCTCCTAGTCTTCCCTGGGCCCCACTACCATCATCCCCTGCCTTGCTCTTACAAGTGGAATTGGATCAGTATGGGGAAATCGTATTGTGCAAAAAATGTTCTGGGGCAATTGGTGATCTTTATGAAAAATACAAGAATATTAGATTCCTACATCACACCACACACAAAAATCAATTCCAGGTTAATTAAAAACCCAAATTAAGGTTGAGGGACCTATAAAACCTAATGAAGAAAATATAGAATAACATTTATAACCTCTGGAGAGTAAGAATATTTCCCTTAGAAAAAAGAAAGAAAGAGGGGAAATCATTAAAGTGTATTTTATGACATTAAAATAGAAATCTTTTGTTCACTAAAAGACACATAAACAGTTAGACAACAATGTGCAGCCTGGGAAATGATACTTACAGCACTTTAATAAAGGGTGATGTCCAAAATTTTAAAAGGATTTCCACAAATGAAAAAGAAAAAGACTAAGGTCCATAGAAAAGGCATCAAAGTATAGAAAGAGGCAAACCACAAAAAAAGGAAACTGAAAATAAGCATGTGGAAAACACACTCAGCAGCCCTGATAATTAGGGAAATGCAAATTAAAGCAACGGACACCATCAGACTGGTGAAAAAATGTTGGTGTGGCAACATCATGGATAGGTAAGGACGTGGAGAAAGGAGACCTCGCATATGTAAGGGGAGCTACGAACACTAGGCAGCAGTAGACCCGGAAATTCTACTTCTAAGTGCACATGATAGAAAATAAATCTTCCATTTGTATGCTAGAAGACAGGTACTAGTATATATATATACTATTTTTTTTTTTTTTTAATATGGAGTTTCACTCTTATTGTCCAGGCTGGAGTGCAGTGGTGAGATCTTGGCTCACCGCAATCTCTGCCTCCCGGGTTCAAGCGATTCTCCTGTCTCAGCCTCCCAAGTAACTAGTATTACAGGCATGCACCACCACGCCTGGCTAATTTTGTGTTTTTAGTAGAGACGGGGTTTTTCCATGTTGGTCAGGCTGGCCTCGAACTCTCCACCTTAGGTGATCTGCCTGCCTCAGCCTCCCAAAGTAGTGGGATTACAGGCATGAGCCACTGGGCCAGGGCTACTTTTTTGTTAGTTTGTTTGTTTGTTTGTGTTTGTTTTTGAGACGGAGTCTCACTGTGTCACCCAGATTGGAGGGCAGTGGCATGATCTCGGCTCACTGCAACCTCCGTCTCCTGGGTTCTAGCGATTCTCCTGCCTCAGCCTCTCAAGTAGCTGAGATTACAGCTGTGTACCACCACACCCAGCTAATTTTTGTATTTTTGATAGAGACAGGGTTTCACATGTTGGCCAGGCTGGTCTTGAACTCCTGACCTCAAGTGATCTGCCCACCTCAGCCTCCCAAAGTGCTGGGATTACAGGCATGAGCCACTGTGCCCAGCTGGTGCTAGAATATTTATTGCAGTACTTTGTAAAAGGCAAGAAAAAAAAGAAACAATATAAATATCAATCAAATGGAGAGTGGATAAATAAATTGTGATGTATTTATAAAATGGAATACTATACAGCAATATAGTAAAAAATAAAACAACATGGAGAAATCTTCAAGAACAAAGATTAGATAAGAAAGCAAGTTATGGAAGGAATTATAACATGTATATAAAATTCAAAAATATGTGGAACAATGCTCTATTTTTTTAAAGAGATATACAAATATAGTAATAGTATAAAAAAATGACACTGAAAAATACCAAATTTGGGATAATGGGTACCTCTGGGGAGGAGGGGCAGGAAAGGAGGAAGGAGCAAGAGAGAAGGTTTAGGATATGAGGGGTTCTGAACACATAACAGGTGTATCACTGAGATTTGATGGCAAGAATAATAAGACTTTTGGCCGGGTGTGGTGGCTCACACCTGTAATACCAGCACTTTGGGAGGCCAAGGCAGATGGATCAATTGAGGTCAGGAGTTCAAGGCCAGCCAGGCCAACATGGTGAAACCCTATCTCTACTAAAAATACAAAAAAGAAACAAAAAACAAAAAACAATTAGCCAGGTGTGGTGGCACATGCCTGTAGTCCCAGCTACTCGGGAGGCTGAGCCAAGAGAATTGCTTGAACCCGGGAGGCTGAGGTTGAAGTGAGCCAAGATCGCGCCTCTGCACTCCAGCCTGGGCAACAGAGAGACTCTGCCTCAAATAAGTAAATAAATATAAATATAAATAAAAGGCTTTTGATGGAGGTGGGAATGGGTACACAAGTGTTTGTTATATTGTTCTTTGTACTTTTCTGTATGTTACAAAATTTCTTAATAAAAGTGTTTAAACTTATAACGATCTCAAAGGGTATTAATAGAAATGTAGCACCAAAGTAGTGGGAATAGGACCTCCACTCTAAGCCAGATGCTATATGAAGTGCTGGCTGCCTACTTGGACACAGATAAACAGATGTTTACCAGTAAACATTGGCCAAGACCTGTCAGAGGACACAAACTAGATCAGAAAAGAAACAGAATGCACCTGGGATGTTTAGCCTGGAGTCAAAGACCTTCTGAAATTTTACAAGCAGTGGGACATGCCAGCAGCTCGTGGAACATGGTCCTGGAGAGTGTTCCATAAAGAGTGTAAGCTCAGAAGAGACACATATGCTGTCCGGGTCCCAGCCTCATCCTTGTTGTAGGGCACCTCTGGCGATACAAATTCATCATGAAAAGATTAACTTCTCTGTTCACTGAGGTAGACACTGACCTAAAAATGCACAGGCCTTTCTCAAAGGGTCCAGATGCCCTCGCTGCCCTCTGAACCCTGAACCATATCCTCTGACATGGGCTGGACTTGGGCTGACTTCTTGGGGCTGGAAGGTAAAACAGCCCCACAGCTAATTAGTTGTCTTGTGTTCTTTCAGACTCATCGGAGTCTTGGTCTTGGTCTGAACCCCAGAATGCTGTGTCTAAGTGCCTAGGAGCAGCAATCTATTCACATTCACTGCAGTGAACCAATAAATGGGCAAAGCGCTGAAGTGTGGCACTAAGTACAGCTTCTCTCTAACATGAACAGTCAACAACGAGCTCCCAATCATTTCTATTCCATTAAACATTGCAAATTGGAGTCCAAGGAGGAAGCTAATTTCCAATCAAACAGAAGAACTGGGGGCCTGAAATCTGTTCTCCAGTTTTTGCCCAGATGGCCACATAGGCAAACTCGCACAGCCCAGTTCACCCACTTCAAAACATAACAGAGCAAAATACGTGGAAATAAACAAGTGACCAGATCCTGTGTCATGGGCTCTTTTGCTTTTATTATAGTCATCTGTTCTTAACACAGCTCAAGGGGCATGATCTGGATGCTCTTATTTTTTGGAAAGGCTCTACAGGTGTCTAAAATGGGTTCGGTTCCTGACTTGGGTCCTCTTTCCCCAAATACCCAGGCAGTCTCATAGCACACTACAATAAAGCCTTGCATTTGAGCCGAACTTACACTCTGCCCAATAAGAGCATGACATCCACCTTTCAGACCAATTTATTGTACTTGAATATAATACGTCTTGTTAATCTCTTCCATCTGTTGTTTATGTGCATGGACAACTTTAATAGGAAATATAAAGGACTGACACAGGATTTACTACTTGGGCCTCTGAGTCCAGGTTTAATTTTGTAAGGCATTACTATTCCTGCAGATGGGACACAGATAGGTAAGAACTGGCTTTTCCCCAGTTGCAAAGACGTTTGTGAGAACTTCCCCATCCGCCCAGGCAGCATTCCCATGGCCAGCACCATGCAGATGTTCCTGTGTCATCCTACCCTGGTATCATCAGAAGTCAAAGGCAGAATAGGATTTCCAGGGAAGGCATTTGCCAACTCTGTTATTCAGGAGCTTTTCTTCTTCCTACCGCCACTGCTTTCAGATCAATTCATTGCTCAATGTACCCACCACCAGGCTCCAGACAGGACAGACAAAAGTCATTGTCAGTCAGTTTTACCACTTGGAAATAGTGCAATTTAAAGTGCTTGTGTGAGAAGATGCTGACATGAAATTAGCTACCCTGAGGATGGGGGATTACTGAGTGCACAGTCTTCCAATTCCCACATCACCAAGGATAATCTGCATCTTTGAGGGAAAATTAACACCTCATGAAAAGCCAATCTGAAAAACACCAAGTATAATTAGATAAGGATAACTATGTGTTTATTAATTCAACAAATATTTGAGAGCCCAATATGTGACGTGCTTTGTGCTAGACGCTTGGCATGCGATGGTAAATGAAGCAGACACAATCCTCACTTGTCTAAATTATTCAATGCTGTTATGGGGTTGAGTCATGTTCTCCAGAAATTCATATGTTGCCGTCCTAACCCACAGTACCTCAGAATGTGATCTTATTTGAAGATAGCATCTTTAAAGAGATAATCAAGTTAAAATGTGGTCATTAGAGGGGGCCCTAATCAAACATGACAAATGTTCTTATAAAAGGGAGAAATTTGGAGACAGACACACATACAGGGAAAACACTACATGAAGATGAAGTCAGAGATTGGGGTATTACTTCTATAACCAAAGGAACATCAAATGTGGCCAGAAAACACAACAAGGCAGGGGAGGGGTCTGGAAGAGATTCTCCCTCACTGCCCTCAGAAAGAACCAACCCTGCCGACATCTTGATCTTGGACTTCCAGCCTCCAAAACTGTGAGGCAATGTGTTTCTGTCGTTTAAGTCACTTAGTCTATGGTTCTTTGCTGCAGCAGTCCTAGCAAACTAAATACAAATGCCTTCTATAAAATAAAGTCACTTAAAAAGGAAGAATTCATGAAAAATTCCAACAAACTTTGTTTCTTTCTCTTCTATTATTGGAGGAATTCGGCTTCCCATAAACATGGAGAACTTCCATCTCTCCCAGCGGTGGCAGTTGTACGGAATCCCAAGACACAGCTCTAGCCTAGCCACCTCTGAAGGAACCCAGGGCCAGAATAAGTGGGGGCTCCTTGGAGTTCCGTGGAGGGACCTCACAGGTCAGTTGGATAAAATGCAATGAATTCTTCCTTTTTAAGTGACTTTATTATATAGGAGAACCTTTCCAAAATTTCTCTAGGGGACCCAGGATTATCCTGCCACTTCATTGTCTCAAAAAATGCTGGAAAACGCTGGCTGGCTTCAAAGATACATATCTAAGTAAATATTTTTCACGAATTTTTAATTATATTTATGTTACCAGTGAATTCTGTGACCTTGGGCAAGCCTTGCCTCCTTCCTGGACCTCAGTTCACTCATTTGCAAAGTGAGAGGTTAGACTAGAGGGTATCTGGGCCTTCTCTTCAGATTGAGTTGCGTTGCAACTTGCAGCTCATTGGTGCCAAACAATCTATGATAACAATAATAATAGTTAAAATGTGAGTGCTTACTTCTACCAAGATTTGATCTATGCAATCTTCCTAAATTAGTGCATTTAGTCTGTGCAACACTTTTATAAGAAAAACAAAAACAAATAAGTTGATTATTCTGAAATTTCTCCACGTACCTGGATTCAGTGGAATAAAAACATTATTATCACAAGAAAGAAAGCCACTGTCTCAGGCAGAGTATAAGGTGGCCTCTAACCTTCAGAATGCCCAAGGGAGTGCTTGGTCTGCCCTGTATGCTAGATGTAGGGCCTGCAGTTTGCTGCAGGAGCAAGCTATCCACACAATGAATGGGCCCATGTAGCCTATTCAATATCTCATAAACTGTCATACAGAGGCCATTGATCAAAAAGCCATTGGCAGAGAAGAGAATGTAGTATGTGATGGAATCATTGCTAATGATTCCACCTAACCCAGACACAAGGTTTCCTAAAATACATTTTCCACAAAAAATTGTTACTCTCAAAAGGGACCAAAGGCCAACCCACTGTAGTGGCTTCCAGGTGCTGCTACGAGATAATGCTTTTGTCTAGAAATGAGAAGCAGTGAAGTAGGTCTGCAATGTCTTAGAGGAAGAAGTCACCAAGGTCCATCTCTCATCCCACAAAGCTGGCCTGTGGGACCAAGATGGCCAGGGACACACCACAGCACCTGCCTGCTGCCAGCAAAGAATATGTCATCCCAGAAAGAATACTTCTTGCATCTCTCTATTGCCAAAATAAGAGACTGTGGTGAAAATTCCGGACTGAGTTCAGCCTTTTAGGCACACGTTTTTTATTTTATTTTATTTTTTTGAGACGGAGTCTCACTCTGTCACCCAGGCTGGAGTACAGTGGCACAATCTCGGCTCACTGCAAGCTCCACCTCCCAGGTTCATGCCATTCTCCTGCCTCAGCCTCCCGAGTAGCTGGGACTACAGGCACTCGCCACCACGCCCCACTAATTTTTTGTATTTTTTAATAGAGACGGGGTTTCACTGTGTTAGCCAGAATGGTCTCAATCACCTGACCTCATGATCTGCCTGCCTAGGCCTCCCAAAGTGCTGGGATTACAGGCGTGAGCCACCACGCCCAGCCTAGGCCCACATATTTAACTCCCTCTTTGTGACGGGAGTACCTTAAAAAATTATACCAGTGAAAGCACTTTGAAAAGTGAATTAAAATATTTTTTACATTCTTATTAATGTTAAAACCAAAAATCCAGTGTACATTGTTTTATAAGAAAAGACAAATAGCTGATTACATTTGGAACAATTATTCATTGATAAATTCAATGGTATTTATTCACCTCTACCAACTAGTAAGTTTGTCTTAAATCCATCATTCTATAATCTGCTCCTTAGAAGGGGTGGTAATCACAATCATAGATCCATGGCTGATAGAGATGGAAGGAATCTTCTAGAACATCTGGTCTAATGTCTCTTTTTCTTTTTGGGGGGACAAATTCTTGCTCTTGTTGCCCAGGCTGGAGTGCAATGGCACAATCTTGGCTCTCCTCCACCTCCCGGGTTCAAGCAATTCTCCTGCCTCAGCCTCCCGAGTAGCTGGGATTACAGTGGGATGTGCCACCATGTCTGACTAATTTTTTGTATTTTCAGTACTGACGGGGTTTCTCCACGTTGGTCAAGCTGGTCTCGAACTCCCAACCTCAGGTGATCCACCCGCCTCGGCCTCCCAAAGTGCCGGGATTATAGGCATGAGCCACCATGCCCAGCCTAATTTCTTATCTTTACATTGAGGATACTCAGTTGTGAAAAGAAACAAAGTGATGTGCCCAAGATTACAGTGCTCAGAGGCAGCACTACAGGAAAACCCACAGCTCCCGACCCCAGGTGGGTGAGGACTCTGAACTATAGCCACACCACTTTCTAAAAGCCCTCACTCTTCCCTGTACCCCCGATCATGACTCTCCACCTGCCTAGTCCTTCCCGTCTATCTTTTATGCATGGAGGCTGGGGACTGACCCTTCACAAAATGGAAGCATTTTGAGATTATATTTTCAAATCTAGAAACATCATTTTAAGTTCCTAGGCTTACAGCCAGATTTTCCCACTGAATAGTACAACTGGATAACTTGCATCCCATTTGCCAGACTTTCTTCGATAATCTCCTTTCCTCTGCCCTTTATTTGGGAGGAAAATAAGTCAGAAAGAAGGAACAAAGAAGTTCTATGTGCACGGAAAAATACAGAATCCATCCCTGGCCATCAAGGCCTGGCTGAAGCCCAGGAGAAGGCTGAGAACTGTTTTAAAGAAACAGGCTCATCTAGAGGGATTCTCAGGCTGACAGGACTTGTTCAGGGTGTGAACTGAAGATCTAGCCTTTGTGGGTAAATTGCTTAGGTCAATGAAGTATGATGGAAAATAATGTCACACTTCATTGTGATAATCCCAAATTGGGAGAGCTCTTAGACATGGCCCAACACAACTCCTTGCACTGTATAATAGATCCTTAGCACTCTGCTGCATGATGTTCTCAGTTGCAGCTGTTGACACATGATCTCAAAATCCATGACATACTCTTTTGTAATTATGAGGGAGTACAAGTTTGAATCCAAGTTTTGAGCCAGTGGTGAAGGAGCAGGTCAGTTGGCTAAAGAGTTGGCCTTGCTAAATGCCCAACTCACATACTTTGCTGGGGCCCTAATATTTTTCTTCTGACCCAAATTTCTAACATTAAATTCTGTTATAACGGTATCTGTATGTGTGGGGATTTCCAAAGTATCTAGTAAGTACTAGTAAATACTCTAGTAAGTATTTTTCCCAAATATCAAAGATTTACTCTGTAAAACCTCTCGCCATGGAATCCCTCAGAGATACTCATTCAGCCTCCGGTTGAAGACTGAAACAGTGAAATCTTTGACCCACTAGCCTTAAAATTCTTTCATCATTCTCTTAGCAGTTTACCTGCTGCCCCTCTTAGTCTTCAGCTATATTCCTTTTCTTTCATTATTGCTTTTTTCCTCACTTGTCTTACCCAATAGTCTTTCACATTGCCACTGGAGGGTCCTTTCAGTGCTTCACAAGTATGGTGGAGGGTCTCAGCTTCCCACAGCAGAGATTCAGATGCATATAGCTTGTTGAGTTAGGTGGCATTCCATACCATAGTATCCTCTATTACCCACTGAGTTCCATCTAGTTAGAAGCACACTAGGGAAAAAAATTGTGATTATGTCTGCATCCGTGGTGTGAGAGGCAGCCCCACTGAGGAGGCCACAGGTGCCTGGGGAGAGCAGCCCTACAAGCAGCAAGCTGTGGTTCTGGCCAGAGTGGGAAGAGAATCCCAAGAGACATATACCCCAGAGGCCAACACAGAGTGGTGGGACAAGAGGCTGCCAAAGATCATTGTCTACATTAAAGATACCTCCAGGGAACTCCCAGGCATTCTACAGGAAGGAGAAGACTAACCTTGAAAGGCTCTTGGGGTTCTACAGTTGACAGGGTGGAAAGATCCAGCATAATTGGGGCCTGGATAGTACTGTGATGTAATCTTATTTTTCTTAACATTTGTGAGGTCAGGCAACATCGAGTTTACCCACCCAGGAAAGGGTTTGTAGACAGTTTCTCAACCATTCATAGAAAGGCGAGTACCTTCATCTCTCTGTCAACCACTGTGTATGGTTTGCACAAATACAGCCATAGAAGAAGTAAATCATAGAAAACAAGCAGGTGTGTAAACTCTTGTTGGGCACCATGGAAAACGTGGTTTGCCACAAGATAGTGGGGCTCAGAAATGATCCCACCAAGAGATATTTAAAACTGGGTGATGCGTGGGCTGGGTGCTGTTTTCAGTGTTTTCTCATTCAGAGGAGCAGCATTTTTGCCTACCTGTGAACTCAGACCCATCAAACCTCTAGTTTACAAATCAAATCCCATGCACTCTGGAATGGACCTGTCTGTCAGTGATGTCAAAGATGTCCCTGAGGGCTTTCAACAAGGTGATGTCACCTTAATGTTTTCGATTTAACACATTTCCTTTCCATTGACTCAGCCCTGACACTGTCTTACGTTCTATGATGAGAAAGCAGGGGAGCAGAGGCCAAGGCTATCTCTTCCTCCTCTGAGGATTGAGGGGACTGTGTATGTGCCAAAAAATAAAAAATAAATGCTGCTTGGCATAGTAGCACGCACCTGTGGTCCCAGCTCCTCGGGAGGCTGAGGTGGGAAGATCATTGAGCCCAGGAGTTCGTGGCTACGGTGAACTATGATTACATCACTGCACTCCAGCCTGGGTGACAGAATGAGACTGTCTCTAAAAAGTATTTTTTATAAGTAAAAATAATAGTAACAAATAAATGTTTATTGTTTTAAAAAAAACTGAAGAGTATAGACATATATAAAAATTAAAATTAAGGCCAGGCACAGTGGCTCACGCCTGTAATCCCAGCACTTTGGGAGGCCAAGTTGGGCGGATCACAGGTCAGGAGTTCGAACAAGCCTGGCCAATATGGTGAAACCCTGTCTCTATTAAAAATACAAAAATTAGCTGGTCATGGTGGCAGGCTCCTGTAGTCCCAGCTACTTGGTAGGCTGAGGCAGGAGAATCGCTTGAACCTGGGAGGCAGAGGTTGCAGTGAGCCAAGATCATGCCACTGCACTCCAGCCCGGGTGAGAGAGCGAGACTCCGTCTCAAAAATAAATAAAAAAATAAAATAAAATAAAAGTCCAATATTTTCCAATAACCCCACCCAAATGCAGACAATTCAGACCCCTAAGGTAGACACTGTTAAGAGATTGGGATGTGTGTTTTTATTTTCTAAGAATATACAAGTACTCCCCACCAACACATCAAAAAAATGTAGTCACACTAAACACATAAAGTGGACATCCTACTGTTTTCTTTTTTCTTTCCTTTTTTTCTTTTTCTTGTTTTTTTTTTTTTTTTTTTTTTTGAAACAGAATCTGGCTCTGTCACCCAGGCTGGAGTACAGTGGCACAATCTCGGCTCACTGAAACCTCCGCCTCCCAGGTTCAAGCAATTCTCCTGCCTCAGCCTCCTGAGTAGCTGGGACTACAGGCGCACACCACCACACCTGGCTAATTTTTGTATTTTTAGTACAGACGGGATTTTACCATGTTAGCCAGGCAGGTCTGGAACTGCTGACATCAGGTGATCCGCCTGCATCGGCCTCCCAAAGTGCTGAGATTACAGGCGTGAGCCACCGCACCCAGCCCATCCTACTGTTTTCAATCAAACTCTGTCTTGGACAGCTCTCCATGTCAGTATCTACAGAGTCTCCTTATTATATTTTTTAATAGCTGCATGGCTATCCCATTCTATATATGAACCATATTTATTTAACCTATCTTTTATTAATAGACATTTAAGTTATTTTGAGTTTTTTGTTATTACACGGAATGCTGCAATACATATCTTTTGTACAGTTATCCTTGGAGATGTGTATAATTTATTTCTATAAAATAAATTTCCTGAAGTAAAATTGCTGGATCAAAGGTGTCTTAGTCCATATGTACTTCTATAACAAAATACCTGAGACTGGGTGCCATGGTTTGACTGTTTATCCCCCTCCAAAACTCATGTTGAAATACATTGCCAATGTAATTGTATTGGGAGATGGAGCCTTTAAGAGGTGATTAAGACACTAAGGCTCCACCCTCATGAGTGGGTTTAACTATTTTTTTTTTTTTTTGAGGCAGGGTCTTGCTGTGTTGCCTAGGCTGGAGTGCAGTGACACGATCATGGCTCATTTCAGTCTCAACATCTTGGGCTCAATCGATCCTCACACCTTAGCCTCACAAGTAGCTGGGACTACAGGTGCTCACCATCATGAATGGCTAATTATTTTATTTTATTTTATTTTATTTTATTTTATTTTATTTTATTTTTATAGAGACAGGGTCTTGCTATGTTGCCCAGGCTGGTCTCAAACTCCTGGGCTCAAGCAAACCTCCCACCTCAGCCTCCCAAAGTGCTGGGATTACAGACATGAGCCACTGCACCTGGCCTAATACCTTAGTAAAAGGACTTTCAACAGTAGGCTGTTTCACTATTCTGCTATGTGAGGGACAGTGTTTCTCCATTCGGGAAGATGCAATGCTCCAGGCACCATCTTGGAAGCAAAGACCAAGCCTTCACCAGACACCAAAACTGCCAGTGCCTTGATCTTGAACTTCCCAGCCTTCAGAACTGTGAGAAACAAACTTCTAATGTTTACAAATCACCCCGTCAGTGGCATTTTGCTATAGCAGCACAAAACAGACTGAGACTTTGGGTAATTTATGAATAATAGAAAAGTATTTCTCACAGTTCTGGAGGCTGGGAAGTCCTAGATCAAGGCACTGGCAGGTGAGACTTGGTGTCTGGTGAGGGCTGCTCTCTGCTTCCAAGATGGCACCTTCTTGCTATGTTCTCACATGGTGGAAGGGGTAAACTCTATGTCATCAGACAGCAAAAGAGATAGAAGGGCCAGGCAGCTCTCTGAAGCCTCTTTTATAGGGGCACTAATTTCATTCACAAGGTCAGGGCCCCCATGGCCTATTCACCTCCAAAATGCTCCACCCCTTAATACTATCACACTGGGTCTTAGATTCCAACATGGATTTTGGACAGACACAAACATTCAAACCATAACAAAGGAGAGGTGTCTATTTTTTTACTTTGATGAATACTTTCAAGAGGCTGTACCAGTTTATAGTCCCTATGAGGTGGCTTTTACAGGTACAGAGAGTGTCATATTTGCAGTAGTGATGTGTCCCAACCTTGCTTACTTGGCTTAGCAGTACAATCCTGTCCTGATCAAGACTGAAAGAACTCTCTGGTGTCTTGGCCTTTGGAAATTCAGCAAGTTTACCTAGCTCTGCCAGTTTATTTATGGACAAGGTGGTCCTCAGCAGTTACGGGGGTGGTGGTGTTTCAGAATGACAGAAGTTTGACACAGTTGGGTCCTTAGGGAGATAATTGAATCAACCACCTCATTTGGCAGCTGAGCAAATGGAGCTGTGGGTGGATGCTGTCTCTGGGTGCATGTCACCCTGTCCCCATCCTCCTGCAACGTGGGTGTGCAACAGTCATGCTCAGAATTTCTGGGTCTTTCCAGCGAAACCTCATGGGGGGAAAACATGCTCTCAGAAGTGCAGCTGCCACTAAAGGTTTGAGAGATGTTCTCAAAATGTACACCATCCCCAGCTGGATATGTAGTACCTGTCTGGTATGATCATAATGATAAGAGTATATTTGTTGAACAACAGATTGAAGTAGAAACTACTTTGTGTGGCATGACTCACCCTTCAGCATGTCATCTAAGGGGAGTATCTCCCATCCAAACCTTCCTGCTTCAGCCCTTAAAGTTGGAACTTCTTCCCTTTCAAAAGACCCTTGCAGAAGTAGGAGAGTAAACATCTACCCATGTTTTCAACTACCAATTTTTCCAACTCTCTCACTCCTCAACAAATCAGGAAGCCTGGTGTCTCTGAGTGGCGTCTCTGAGTGGTCAGATTGGGAAGGAGGAACAGCCAAACCTAGCCCCCTGTCTAGGAAGAGTCTGAAGGGGTCATCGAGCTCTGACTATGGGTACGCATCGGAGTGGGGATGGATGGGTAACTTGATTTGAGCTCATGGTGGCTGTAGTTCCAAGCTGTGTCCTTAGCATAGCTCATCAGTAAGGTAATATTTTCATCTGACCCCTGTTTCTATATCTTGACTGATGCAGAACTCACAGGAAGAAAGGGGTTTTATTTATTGGCTCTCTTTTATCCACAGCATCCTCCCTCAAAGACTCTGGGCCTAGAAGCTCAGGAAATAAGTGCTCCATGGTTTTCTACATGCAGTAGTGCTGGGCCACAGGTCCCCCATTCTCTTTAACTTCAAGGATCAGGCATCAGGTTGAATTGGGTCTCTCAAGTGTGTTCAGTTAGGTGGTACCCCTTTCACCTAGACGGGTAGGATTAGGAGCTAGGAACATCCTGGAACAAATGTAGGCCTATTAACAAGGTGGGCAGAGGTGCCAGCAAAGACAAACTGCAAATAAGACTTGTGAGACCAAATACACACACACACACACACACACACTTGTGGTAGTGGTAGAAAGAGAAAGAAATTAGAAAAGAAAAAAATATACAATTGAGCCATATGTCTTGAATTGTTAGGAATGTTCCCGGTATATCCTGGTGTTGGGGGAGATCCAAAAACAAATTGTAGACTAATGGGTTTACTTCAATTATATTTGGGTAAAAACAAACCAAAAAAGAATCTACCTATATGTAAATGTGCATTTGCATCTGTTTGAAAGAACAAGGGAAAAATTGGAAAGTCTACAACAGGTGTTAGCATTGGCAGCTCAAGGCGATGGGGTTGAAGATGAGGCTAAAGGAGATGATTTGCTTTTACTTTGTGTATCTTTATATGATTTCAATTGTTAGAATAAGCATGTATTACTTTTGTATTTAAAAATATTAATGGCTGGGGGCAGTGGCTCACGCCTGTAATCCCAGCACTTTGGGAGGCTGAGGTGGGTGAATCACCTGAGGTCAGGAGTTCGGGACCAGCCTGGCCAACATGGTGAAACCCCGTCTCTACTAAAAATACAAAAATTAGCCCGGCATTGTGGCCGGCACCTGTAATCCCAGCTACTCGGGAGGCTGAGACAGGAGAATCACTTGAGCCCGGGAGGCAGAGGTTGCAGTGAGCTGAGATTGTGCCATTGCACTCCAGCCTGGGTGACAAGAGCGAGGCTCTGTCTCAAAAAAAAAAAAAAAAGAAAAGAAAAAAGAAAAAGAAAAATATCAATCAATGAAGGAGATTTGGTGAAAATAAAAAGGAAATGTTAGTTTCAAATTTGTATGTTTCTCTGTATTTAGGGGTAAAGTAGAGAAGGAAAAAAAAGGAAAAGTGTAGAATAGTGTCTGTCATATGATCTATTATGTCAACAAAAAAAATTCATTCATATATACAATGGTATATGCATCAAAATATCTTTCAGTATCATTTAAAATATTTGTTGAAGTGTGTAATTCTTTCATTTGTCAAAAAATTGTATTTATAAATAATTTATAATACAAGGAAACAATGCTCATAATGTCTTAAACAAAAGAGTAGTATATGAAACTGCTTATAAAGTAAAATTTCAGTAGTGAGGTAACAGTAGGGGAAAATGCACAAAGGACTAGATGAGAAAAATGCCAAAATGTTAATAATGATGGTGAAATTATAGGTGATGTTTCTGAAAATTAAAAATGTGTCCTCTGACAGGGCACAGTGGCTCATGCCTGTAATCCCAGCACTTTGGGAGTCCGAGGCAGGCGGATCACCTGAGGTCAGGAGTTCAAGACCAGCCTGGACAGCATGGCAAAACCCCGTCTCTACTAAAAATACAAAAATTAGCCAGGCATGGTGGCGCACGCCTGTCATCCCAGCTACTGGGGAGGCTGAGGCATGAGAATCACTTGAACCCCGGAGGCTGAGGTCGCAGTGAGCTGAAATTGTGACACTGCACTCCAGCCTGGGTGACAGAGTGAGACTCTGTTTCAAAACAAACAAACAAAAAAAAAAGTGCCCCATGGGCATGACTTTACCTCTGTTTCAATGAGGTTGGGACAGGCTTTGCCTAGTGGTGGATGGAAGCAAAGTCTAGAACCACAGCATCTATTTGGTATCTCTCTAAGGTCACAAACGATGTCTTAGCCACAGGCTAGAACACGCAAGGGAGGGTACAGTAAATGCTATCCTGGCGGCACAAAGAGAAAGCAGCTACCAGCCTCTGCCCTAATGGCAGGATCAGTACCCTTTGCTCTGAGTACAAGCAACATAATTAAAGACAGAAAAGAATCCACTGGGCTTAATGGAAGTGAGAAATATTCCATGCAAAACAGCTGCCTGGATTCAAATTCCAGGTCTGCAATTTCGATCAGTTGTAAGCTTCTTAATCTCTCCGTATTTCCATTTTTTCATTGGTAAAATGGGAGTAATAATAATCTATGCCTCATAGGATTATTATGAGACCTTAATGAGTTAAGAGATGTGAACACCTAAAGATAATGTTTTTCAAATAGTGTTTGTTATTGTTATTAATATTATTATCCTTTTTACATTTAAAAATGATATTAATACTTGATTTGTCATCATTCCTTTAATAATTACTATGATTTATTGAGCACCTACTATATGCCAGGTACCATGAGGCATTTTGTTTACCTTAGATAGGATTCATCTTTAGGACTACCATTTAAGTATTTAATGTTACAAACCCCATAATAAAAAAAAATGAGGCTCTAAAACAACAGCTCCCAACGTTTTTAGCACCAAGGACCAGTTTTGTGGAAGACAATTTTTCTATGGACCGAGATGGGGGGGATGGTATTAAGATGATTCAAGCCAATTACATTTATTGTGCACTTTATTTCTATTATTATTACATTGTAATATATAATGAAATAATTATACAACTCACCATAACATAGACTCAGTGGAAGCCCTGAGCTTGTTTTCCTGTAACTAGATGGTCCCATCTTGGGGTGATGTGAGACAGTGACAGATCATCGCGCATTAGATTCCCATAAGGAGTCTGCAACCTAAATCCCTCACATGCACAGTTCACAATAGGGCTCGGGGTCCTGTGAGAATCTAATGCCGCTGCCGATCTGACACGAGGCGGAGCTCAAGCAGTAATGCTGGCAGTGGGGAGTGGCTGTAAATATAGATGAAGCTTGGCTCACAGGCCCCTGGCTCACTTCCTGTTGTGTGGTCCAGTTCCTAACAGACTATACAGACTGATACTGGTCCATGGCCCAGGGGTTGGGGACCCCTGCGTTAGAAGATTGTTTTTCTGGGGTCCATACCTAGTAGGTGGCAGAACTAGGATTCAGGTCCAAAAATCTCCACCTCTAAAGTCCAACAAGCTGTGTCTACCATCAACTGTGACTCCTGCACTATCTAAGGTATTTACACATATTCAAACACAGAACATCTCTTTGTCTTTACCATCTGTGAATTAACCAAGAAGAAGCCAGTTTTGCTGTCCTTACTTAAGAACCAAGTGATCTTCTGCCAGGTGTGCTCTCCAGCCACCCAGCCAAGCAGCCAAGGCAGCCTCAGCCCTATCCTTCCACGCGTGACTCGCTGGCACTTGGCTCAGAAGTGCAGGGAAGCTTCACTTTATTCCATTCTGCAAACTTGCAGATAAACTCAATATATCTAATGGACTCACTCTTTAAAATGTAATTTAAGTTCCTATTGGTTAAAAGAAAAAAGTTCACAGCAAACAGGCGATAAAAGAAAAAATAGGTAAGTTGCACTACATCAAAATTCAGAATTTTGAGCATCAAAGGATACTACCAAGAGAATGAAAAGGCAACCTACTGAATAGGAGAAAATATTGCAAGCCACATATCTGATAAGGCATGAATATCCAGAATATATAAAGAACTCTAAAATTCAACAACAAAAAAACTCAGTTCAAAAATGGGCAAAGGACTTTAACAGACATTTCTGCAGAAAAGATATACAAATTTCCAATAAACACACGATAAAATGTTCAACATCACTGGTCATCAGGGAAATGCAGATGAAAACCACAATGTGTAACCACCCAGACCCATTAAAATGGCTATAAACAAATGAACAAATGGAAAAAAAACAAGCTGTGGAGAAACGAGAATCCTTGTACATTGCTGGTGGGAATATAAAATGCTGCAACCGGAAATGAAATAAAACAATAGACACTGAGCCCCCCAAAAATGCTGCAGCCATCGTAGAAAATAGTTTCTCTGTTTCTTAAAAGGTTAAACATAGAACTATCTTTTTTTTTTTTTTGGTGTGGGGGGTGTTATAAATTTAATAAAGAGTTTAGCCAGAAGGCAAAATTTCATAATGAACAGAGGTTTTAAAAGAAGGAAACAAGTCACCCAATAATAAAATTGAAAAAGGCCATGGAAAGATAATTCATAGAAGAGAAAATCCAAATGTTTCACCAAGCATATATTAATGAAAACATGCTCTAACTCACTTGTGGTGAGTTATAAATAAGTAATAAATAAAATAAATCCAAGAGTCTGATTATGAAAGATTTTGTGTGTTCTTCAACTAGAACTATCATATGACTCAGCAATTCCACTCCTAGGTATAAATGCAAAAGAATTGAAAGCAGAGACTGGAGTAGATTGTTTGGTTATCAGAGTTCATAGCAGCATTTGTCACAATAGCTAAAATGTAGAAACAACCCAGGTAACTATCAACAAATGAATGGATAAACAAAATGCCATATAAACATGTAATAGAATATTATTCAACCACAAAAGTGATTCGAATTTTAATATATGCAACAAAATGGATAGGCCTTGAAAACATTATGTTAGTAACACAAGTCAGATATAGAAGGACAAATATTGTATGATTCCACCTATATGAGGTACCCAGAATAGGCAAATTCACAGAGATGGAAAAGGAGGTAGGGGAAAATATCGTGATGCATGTACTACTGTACATTCACATACACAGCAGTACCTGGGGAAAAATATGTTGATACATGTGCTATTGTATACATGAATGTACAATAGTACATGCATCAAAGTATCTTTCAGTATCATTTCAAATATTTGACTCGTGTGTAATTCATTTGTCAAAGAAATTATATTTATAAATAATTTATAATATAAGGAAACTATGCTCACAGTATCTTAAAAGAACAATATAGCAAACCGCTTATATAGTAAAATTTCAGTAGTGAGGTAACAGTAGGGGAAAAGGCTAAATGGAAAAATGCCAAAATAATAATGATGGTAAAATTATAGGTGACATTTCTGAAAATTAAAAATGTGTCCTGTGGGCAGGACTTCACCTGTGCTGCAACAGGGCTGTGACAGGTTTTGCCTGGTTGCTCAAATCCAGAGAGAGAAAAGTAGAGTAGAGGTAACCAGGGGCCGCAGGGAGAGGGAAAGGGAAAATTATTGCTTAATGGGTAAGAAGTTTTGGATGGGAATGATTAAAAGTTTGGGGGTAGCCGGGCGCGGTGGCTCACGCCTGTAATCCCAGCACTTTGGGAGGCCGAGGCGGGCGGATCACGAGGTCAGGAGATCGAGACCATCCTGGCTAACACGGTGAAACCCCGTCTCTACTAAAAATACAAAAAATTAGCCGGGCGTGGTAGCGGGCGCCTGTAGTCCCAGCTACTCGGGAGGCTGAGGCAGGAGAATGGCGTGAACCCGGGAGGCGGAGCTTGCAGTGAGCCGAGATCGCGCCACTGCACTGCAGCCTGGGCGACAGAGCGAGACTCCGTCTCAAAAAAAAAAAAAAAAAAAGTTTGGGGGTATAAATAGCAGAGACAGTTATAAAACATTGTGAGCATATTTAAATTGTACTAATTGTACATTTATGCATGGTAAAAATTATAAATATTATATTCTATATATTTTACTACAACAAAAAAAGAAGTCCAGCAACATATTCCTTTCTAAAAATATTTTTAAAATTTTTATTACAGGAAATAAATGCTTGTTTTTAAAAATTAAAACCATATAAAAATGTAGCATAAAACACATACATACACGCACACACAATCCTACTACCCAGAGGTAATCATTGTCTGCAGTTTATTATAGATTTCTAATTATGCCCCTACAAGGATTTTTTTTTACTTGACAATGGACTGTAGATATCTTACAGCATCAGCTCTTCTAGTATTTACTCTTTTCATGGCTGTGTAGTATTCCATTGATGGATGGGCCATATTTGATGCAGCCACTCTCCTATTGATGAATCTCTGTGTGACACCAAACAGCACTCTATGCACCAGTTAAGTCTCAGTTCTCAAAAATAAGGCAATAAGTATATGCCACTTTTATTTATCATGAGTCATTTCATTCACATAGGTTTGGAAATCATCACCACCTCTGTAGTCCCTACTTCCTACCACACAGTTAGGGTTGAAAACAGAGGTCAAAGTTGTGTCTTGGAAAATACATCAATCTCTTCTGAGAAAGAGCCAGAGGGTTCAAAATAGATAGTATTTGAAGAAAGGAACACAGTCTGTGCTTGTGAACTTCAGAAAGCCTGTCTCATGTTGGTACTTGCCATGCACAAGCTTGGGTTTGAGAAGCTAGGGGTACCATAGAGAATTATTCACTCCAAAAGGTGGTGGAGATAGAGACATTCTCAACAGGCAACACCTCACATCAAACTTTGGGAATTTTCTCTGGTAGATTAGAAGCTTCTGTACTATTTCAATACTTATTACTATTTCAGTAACTAACCAGACCTGAAGCCTTCATTGTATTTCAGGACATGGTCTGTGTGTTTCTTGCAGCCATCCATCACACATTGATTCATTCATGCTGTGAACCTAAGTGAACCAAAGAGAAAATTCTACAACTGATATGTCATTTGCATCTCCTTATATAAATGCACAGATAAGTGACAATATCCACACAAATAAATGAATATATATAAATAGCTTGCATGCAGATACATGTTTTTCCAATATACACTTATAAGTACTACTTACAATATTTATTTATTTGAAATGCCTAATTCCACATCTACCAAGCTCTGTCCAGGTAAAGCCCTTCCTTACTGAGTCCTCCACAAAATGTCCCCTCATCATCTTCAGATCCCATTTATACTCTGTTCTTTGGATTCTTAAAGCTTTTAAAAATTGTTTCAATTATAGACTAACTTGCATTGTTATAGGTGTTTCACATGTGTTTATCCCTCTCATCTTGATAAACTTTTTTTTTTTTTTAAGACAGGGTCTGGCTCTGTTGCCCAGGTTAGAGTGCAGTGGTGCAATCATGACTTGCTACTGCCTCGACACTCCAGGCTCCAGGGTTCCTCCCACCTCAGCCTTCCAGGTAGCTGGGACTACAGGTGCACACCATCAGGTCTGGCTAATTTTTAAAATTTTCTTATAGAGATAGGATCTCACTTTGTTGCCCAGGCTGGTCTCGACATCCTGGGCTCAAGCAATCCTCCTGCCTCAGCCTCCCAAAGTTCTGGGATTACAGGTGTGAGCCACCATACCCGGACTTGATAAACTTTTTGATGATACATGGTGTAAAAGGTTAAATTTACTCTCTCCTACCCTCCCTGCAAAAGCTGAGCATACTATAAAACCCAATATAGAATAGTAGCTTATGGAATTTTAGTCCCAGCAGGGACTTGAATCTGTGGAAGGGACTCCTTTCATAGCTGAAGAACCTGATCAGGCATCAGCTTGTAGGATGACTATTTATCTGAGCTATGGATACTGACAGTAAACACAGATATTCTTTGTTGTTTTTGTTGTTGTTGTTGTTTGTCTTGTTTTTTGTTTTTTGAGATAGAGTCTCACTCTGTCACCCAGGCTGGAGTGCAGTGGCACAATCTCAGCTCACTGCAACCTCTGCCTCCTGGGTTCCAGTGATTCTCGTGCCTCAGTCTCCCTAGTAGCTGGAATTACAGGCATGCTCCACCATGCCCAGCTAATTTTTGTATTTTTAGTAGAGATGGGGGTTTCACCATGTTGGCCAGGCTGGTCTTCAACTCACTCCTGACCTCAAGTGATCTGCCTGCCTCAGTCTCCCAAAGTGCTGGGATTAAAGGCGTGAGCCACTGTGCCTGGCCTCAACTGGGCACTTTCCACTATGACAGTATTAGACACCTTCAGAATCCTAAAGCAATCAGTGGTCAGCCAAAGGAAAACCTAAGAGTTCATTCCGAAACTAACCTAAGATAGGGCTTCTGAGACTTGTAGGTGCTGTTTTTTTTGTTTTTTTGTTTTTGTTTTTGTTTTTTTGTATTGTTTTCCCCTTAGAAACACAAAGGGAAAGCAACAAGATTTTTGTTGTTGTTGTTGTTGTTGTTGTTTGTTTGTTTTTTAAGACTGAGTCTCGCTTTGTCACCCAGGCTGGAGTGCAGTGGTGCAATCTCAGCTCACTGCAACCTCCGCCTCCCGGGTTCAAGTGATTCTCCTGCCTCAGCCTCCCAAGTGCTGGGACTACAGGCTGCCACCACGCCCAGCTGATTTTTTTGTATTTTTAGTAGAGACAGGGTTTCATCACATTGGCCAGGCTGGTCTCAAACTCCCAACCTCAGGTGATCCACCCCACTTGGCCTCCCAAAGTGCTAGGATTACAGGCGTGAGCCACCACGCCCAGCCACAAGTTTTAACTAACCCTAAAGTCTGCCAGTAAACCATGGTAACAAGTTTCCTAGCTCTAACTGCAAAGCACTGTGTTAAAGTGTGACTTAATCCTATTAGCCATACTTATGGCAAAACTCTATGCATGGTTTTATACCTTTTATGCTAATGTATCTCCTTCATAAAATATAAATAGGGCTAAACATTCAGTCCAGCATCATGTCTCACCATTGTATAAGAAAAAAAAAAAAAGCCTTGCTGGCAAGGGGCAGGGGGACACAGACTCCAGAAACTGGGCCCAAATCTTCATTTCCTTCTTCACTAATGAATTCAATGGCACTGGGAACTTAGATCTCATGGCTTCATGTGACTTTGGGGGTAAGCCAAATCTGTGCTTTCCCCCTTGCATATCTGAAACACACACCATAAGAAGGAATTGGATTTGGCTGGTCACCCATAAACCTCGAGTCCTACAGGCTGATTGACAGTCAGAAGTGCTCTTGGCAAGCAGAAAACACTTTGCGACTCTGAGTTTGGTGATTGGGCAATAGCTTCAGAATTCTGCTATGATTAATCACTTAAAAATCTTCTTTCTCTTATCTGCATACCTTAGACTATAAACTGATCAGCGATTATGTGTTATTTATCTCTGCACCGGACTAGCACACAAGTCCGGTAGGTGCTCGAAAGATATTTATTGAGAACCGATTTGAAAGTGAACAGAGTCGACAGCAGGCAGGCTACTGCTCCTGACGTTAACCATCCCTGCCAAAACAACACCTTCCTACTCTCCAGCGTAGAAATCGCCCCTTTTCCTTTTCTCACATATCTCTTAGATTAGCAGGGGGCCCCTGCCTACAGAACAACCCCCAGCTGACTCTCCTTCTGTTTGGAAAACTGATATTTGTTTACAGATGATCCCAGATTACACCATGTTCCCCACTTTCCCAAAAATATCATGGTGTCAAAACGCAGCCTGAATATAGATAGTAAAATGAGCACTGATGTTCCGCCTAAAGGCCTTTCAGAAGCTGCAGGAAGAATATTAATTATGTGTTCTATTTGTTTTCATAGCCTAGAGGGAAACCCAGCAACAGACACCAGCAGATCTTTAATCTTGATGCCATTTCCTGTCTGGGGGAGGGGGAAGCTGGTGTTCTCTCCACTGACTTTCTCACTGAACCTCACCCATTCCATTCAAGCTACTATGAGCCAGCAGAAAGTACTGAGGAATCTGAAACACGATGGGGAAGCCTTTTCCCAATGAGGAGTGGCATTAGTGTAATATAAAAACAAGACCTTACAACAGTTCTAAAATGACTTGCTTTTCCCTCTGTTCGGATACAGGATATTTTTTTTTTTCATAACAGTTTATTACAATGACTATCGGAATATTTTGCCTATGTCAATTTCTGTTTTTCAGACTAAGTTGACCTGTGGCCCAGATTTCATACATGTATTGAATTTGTAGAATTTCAAAAACTCCATCACAGGTGCTAGATAAATAATAATTAAGGATCTTTTTATTTTCAGATCACTGACCTAAAGATATATGTGTTAATGCCCAGTTCTTTCTATAAACATCCTAGGTGTTCATAGTCTTATGTTCCAACGAATGTCCAAAAACATGGAATCGCAGCTGTTTATTTTTGGCATTTATTCTTGGCATTTCTTGAAATTGATTTGACCATCAATTGAGATTTAGAAAGGAAAACATGCTTAAGGAAGGAAGAAATATCTGTCACCCAATGTAACAATCTTCTAAACTTTGAGAAAAATCACTCATTTTCCTAGCAAATTTGGAAACCATTTCTTAAACCAATTTTTAGATAATTTTTAGAGGCAAAATTTTCTGATTATAGTTTGCCAGGCCATAATCTTGGGCAGGCGAAGCCTTACAAGTACTTTATTGACCTAGCCTTTTTTTTTTTTTTTTTTTTTTTTTGAGATGGAGTCTGGCTCTGTCACTCAGGCTGGAGTGCAGTGGCACGATCTCGGCTCAACCTCCCTCTCCCGGATTCAAGCAATTCTCCTGTCTCCGCCTACGGAGCAGCTGGGATTACAGGCATGCGCCACTACACCTGGCTAATTTTTATATTTTTGGTAGAGACGGGGTTTCACCATGTTGGTCAGACTGGTCTCAAACTCCTGACCTCAGGTAATCCGCCCGCCTCAGCCTCCCAATGTGCTGGGATTACAGGCGTGAGCCACTGCACCCAGCTAATCTACCTTTTAAAACACACTCAGCATGAATTGTTCCCACTATTATAGTTCCTTTAAAAGAACATCATAATAGGTTCAATGCATTAAGAAACAATAAAGATTACATAAACTAGTCAATCAAAAAGTACAAATGGGCTTTGCCAAATACCAATGGGTGGCCTAGATTTTGGATGTACATAATTGATCTTACACAGATGTAAGCACGATTGCAGCCAGCTATGCTCAAGGGTGACCGTAGCCCTTTTCAGTGATTTCAGACCACACAGCGTCCTTTCCCATGGTGTCTCTTGTTACAAGTTGCTTAGCACCGTGGTGGCTTGTGGGTGGTGAAATATAAACCATCACCACTAAAACAAAAAACGAAAAACACCACCACATTTCATAATATCCAGTGTCAGCTCTTTCACTTCCAATTATCCCTTCACTGCTTATCACCCCACAAGGGCAGGAGTAGGGTATGGCAAGTGAGGCACATGCCTTGGGACAAAATTTGAGGATACCAAAAAACTCAGTTACTAAGATAACATTTTAATGCATTATTTTTTTAAATGAAATTTAATGCCAAAAAAATCCATGATGCATGAGATATCCAAATTTTAAATAACAAGATCCAACCTGCCCTTGCACAGCCTTGCTTCATTTGCTCCACCCTAATCTCAGCTCTGGTTCCAATAAAACTTTATTTATAAAAACAATCAGCTAGTTTATGGGCCGTGGTTAACCAGTTTGATTTTTTTCCTTAAATGTTTGGTAGAATTCACCAATAAAACTATTTAGGCCTGGTTCTTCTAGTTTTGCAAGGCTATGAATTGTTGATTCAATATTGTAGATAGATTTAGGCCAATTCATGTTATCTATTTCTCCTTGTGTGAATTTTGTTATATTGTATCTTTCAAGGAATTGGTCCATTTCATCTAGGTTATCAAAATTTCGAGCATAGGCCAGCTGCAGTGGCTCACGCCTGTAATCCTAGCACATTGGGAGGCCGAAGCAGGTGGAGCACTTGAGGTCAGGAGTTCGAGATCAGCCTGGCCAACACAGTGAAACCCCGTCTCTACTAAAAATACAAAAATTAGCCTGGCGTGGTGGCAGGCACCTGTAATCCCAGTACTCAGGAGGCTGAGGCAGGAGAATCGCTTGAATCCGGGAGGTAGAGGTTGCAGTGAGCCAAGATCGCACCATTGCACTCCAGCCTGGGGGACATGAGTGAAACTCCATCTCAAACAGAACAAACAAACAAACAAAAAATTTTGAGCATAGAGTTGCTCGTTTATTATTCTTTTCATGTCCATGGGATCAGTAGTTATGTCCTCTTTTTCATTTATGATATAAGTAATTTGTGCCTTTCTTTTTTTCTCTTAGCCCAGGGAGAGGTTTGTCAATATTATTGATCTTATCAAAGAATCAACTTTTGGTTTGGTTGATTGTCTTTATTGGTTTCCTATTTTCAATTTCATTGATCTCTAATTTATATTATTGCTTTTTCTCTGCTTACTTTGGATGTAATTTCCTCATCTTTTTCTACTTTCCTAAAGTGAACACTTATACTGTTTATATTAGGTCTCTCTTCTTTTTTAATATATGCATTCATTGCTCTAAACTTCCCTCTAAATACTGCTCTTGCTGCATCCTACAAGTTGTGGTAGGTGGTATTTTCATACACTTCTGTGAGTTAGTCTGTTTAAAAATAAGGTAAACCATGGCTGGGCGTGGTGGTTCATGCCTGTAAACCTAGCACTTTGGGAGACCACGGCAGCAGGATTGCTTGACCCCAGGAGTTCTGGATCAGCCTGGGCAGCATGATGAAATCCTGTGTCTACAAAAAAATATAAAAATTAGCCAGGTGTGGTGGCACCCACCTGTAGTCCCAGCTACTCAGGAGGCTGACGTGGGAGGATCACCTGAGCCCAGAAGGTTGAGACTATGGTGAGCCATAATTGCATCACTGCACTCCAGCCTGGGTGACAGAGTGAAACCCTGTCTCAAAAAAAAAAAAAAAGGTAAACCAGATATTATCATCTCCAAATACCTACCAATAAACAATTGTTTCTGGAGATTCTTTAAGATTTGAAAAGACAGAATGGGGAGGAAAAGTAATGGACAAGTAGGAGAAACTGTCCTAGACTGACTTTCCTTGAACTAATTATTGTGAAGTGTGACACACATATCTTCTAATACATAGAGTATATGCCAAAGAGCACAGACCGAAAACAGCCACTGTCCTCACACCTCTGCACCTGACCTTTCTTTTTAAAAAAGTGATGTCTGACACCAAATGTTATGGTCTCAGTGTGCTAGAGCCAGCTTGTACCTGCCCTGGACAGTCAATTGCTAACCTGATGGTAGCTTGAAATTGGCAATGGCTGGCAGGGCGCGGTGGCTCATACCTGTAATCCCAGCACTTTGGGAGGCTCAGGCGGGCAGATCATGAGGTCAAGAGATCGAGACCATCCTGACCAACATGGTGAAACCCTGTCTCTACTAAAAATAAAAAAATTAGTTGGGCATGGTGGCGTGCGCCTGTGGTCCCAGCTACTTGGGAGGCTGAGGCAGGAAAATCACTTGAACCTGGGAGGCGGAGGTTTCAGTGAGCCGAGATCGCACCATTGCTCTCCAGCCTGGCAACAGAGCAAGACTCTGTCTAAAAAAAGAGAAAAAAGAAAAAAAGAAATTGGCAATGGTAGGAGTATATGGGAGTCTCTGTAAGAGAAAAATCAGCACGTACTATAGATCAGCACTTTGTTTTGCTTTTTCTTTTTTTTAATTTTTTTTAATTTTTATTTTATGTATATATTTTTATTATACTTTAAGTTCTAGGGTACATGTGCACAACGTGCAGGTTTGTTACATATGTACACATGTGCCATGTTGGTGTGCTGCACCCATTAACTCGTCATTTACATTAGGTATATCTCCTAATGCTATCCCTCCCCTCTTCCCCCACCCCACAACAGGCCCCAGTGTGTGATGTTCCCCTTCCTGTGTCCAAGTGTTCTTATTATTCAATTCCCACCTATGAGTGAGAACATGCAGTGTTTGGTTTTTTCTCCTTGTGATAGTTTGCTGAGAATGATGGTTTCCAGCTTCATCCATGTCCCTACAAAGGACATGAACTCATCATTTTTTATGGCTGCATAGTATTCCATGGTGTATATGTGCCACATTTTCTTAATCCAGTCTGTCATTGTTGGACATTTGGGTTGGTTCCAAGTCTTTGCTATTGTGAATAATGCCACAATAAACATACGTGTGCATGTGTCTTTATAGCAGCATGATTTATAATCTTTTGGGTATATACCCAGTAATGGGATGACTGGGTCAAATGGTATTTCTAGTTCCAGATACCTGAAGAATCGCCACAGTGTCTTCCACAATGGTTGAACTGGTTTACAGTCCCACCAACAGTGTAAAAGTGTTCCTATTTCTCCACATCCTCTCCAGCACCTGTTGTTTCCTGACTTTTTAATAATTGCCATTCTAACTGGTGTGAGATGATATCTCATTGTAGTTTTGATTTGCATTTCTCTGATGGCCAGTGATGATGAGCATTTTTTCATGTGTCTGTTGGCTGCATAAATGTCTTCTTTTGAGAAGTGTCTGTTCATATCCTTTGCCCATTTTTTGATGGAGTTGTTTGTTTTTTTTTCTTGTAAATTTGTTTGAGTTCTTTGTAGATTCTGGAGATTAGCCCTTTGTCAGATGAGTAGATTGCAAAAATTTTCTCCCATTCCATAGGTTGCCTGTTCACTCTGATGGTAGTTTATTTTGCTGTGCAGAAGCTTTTTGGTTTAATTAGATCCCATTTGTCAATTTTGGCTTTTGTTGCCATTGCTTTTGGTGTTTTAGACATGAAGTCCTTGCCCATACCTGTGTCCTGAATGGTATTGCCTAGGTTTTCTTCCAGGGTTTTTATGGTTTTTAGTCTAACATTTAAGTATTTAATCCATCTTGAATTAATTTTTGTATAAGGTGTAAGGAAGGGATCCAGTTTTGGCTTTCTACATATGGCTAGCCAGTTTTCCCAACACCATTTGTTAAATATGGAATCCTTTCCCCATTGCTTGTTTTTGTCAGGTTTGTCAAAGATCAGATAGTTGTAGATGTGTGGTATCATTTCTGAGGGCTCTGTTCTGTTCCATTGGTCTATATCTGTTTTGATACCAGTACCATGCTGTTTTGGTTACTGTAGCCTTATAGTATAGTTTGAAGTCAGGTAGCATGATGCCTCCAGCTTTGTTCTTTTGGCTTAGGATTGACTTGGCAATGCAGGCTCTTTTTTGGTTCCATATGAACTTTAAAGTAGTTTATTCCAATTCTGT
Source organism: Homo sapiens (assembly GCF_000001405.40). Classification (NCBI taxonomy): domain Eukaryota; kingdom Metazoa; phylum Chordata; class Mammalia; order Primates; family Hominidae; genus Homo; species Homo sapiens. The sequence goes on along the minus strand of NC_000008.11, from coordinate 29,453,817 downwards.
GAAGAAAGTCAACGGCGGCTTGATGGGGACGACATTGAATCTATAAATTACCTTGGGCAGTATGGCCATTTTCATGATATTCATTCTTCCTACCCATGAGCATGGAATGTTCTTCCATTTGTTTGTGTCCTCTTTTATTTCGTTGAGCAGTGGTTTGTAGTTCTCCTTGAAGAAGTCCTTCACATCACTTGTAAGTTGGATTCGTAGGTATTTTATTCTCTTTGAAGCAATTGTGAATGGGAGTTCACTCATGATTTGGCTCTCTGTTTGTCTGTTGTTTGTGTATAAGAATGCTTGTGATTTTTGTATATTGATTTTGTATCCTGAGACTTTGCTGAATTTGCTTATCAGCTTAAGGAAATTTTGGGCTGAGATGATGGGGTTTTCTAGATATACAATCATGTCATCTGCAAACAGGGACAATTTGACTTCCTCTTTTCCTAATTGAATACTCTTTATTTCCTTCTCCTGCCTAATTGCCCTGGCCAGAACTTCCAACACTATGTTGATAGGAGTGGTGAGAGAGGGCATCCCTGTCTTGTGCCAGTTTTCAAAGGGAATGCTTCCAGTTTTTGCCCATTCAGTATGATATTGGCTGTGGGTTTGTCATAAATAGCTCTTACTATTTTTAGATACATCCCACCAATACCTAATTTATTGAGAGTTTTTAGCATGAAGGGCTGTTGAATTTTGTCGAAGGCCTTTTCTGCATCTATTGAGATAATCATGTGGCTTTTGTCTTTGGTTCTGTTTATATGCTGGATTACGTTTATTGATTTGCATATGTTGAACCAGCCTTGCATCCCAGGGATGAATCCCACTTGATCATGGTAGATAAGCTTTTTGATGTGCTGCTGGATTTCGTTTGCCAGTATTTTATTGAGGATTTTTGCATCGATGTTCATCAGGGATATTGGTCTAAAATTCTCTTTTTTTGTTGTGTCTCTGCCAGGCTTTGGTATCAGGATGATGCTGGCCTCTTAAAATGAGTTAGGGAGGATTCTCTCTTTTTATATTGATTGGAATAGTTTCAGAATGAATGGTACTAGCTCCTCCTTGTACCTCTGGTAGGTTTCGGCTGTGAATCCGCCTGGTCCTGGACTTGTTTTGGTTGGTAAGCTATTAATTATTGCCTCAATTTCAGAGCCTGTTATTGGTGTATTCAGAGATTCAACTTCTTCCTGGTTTAGTCTTGGGAGGGTATATGTGTCAAGGAATTCATCCATTTCTTCTAGATTTTCTAGTTTATTTGTGTAGAAGTGTTTATAGTATTCTCTGATAGTACTTTGCATTTCTGTGGCATCAGTGGTGATATCCCCTTTATCATTTTTTATTGCGTCTATCTGATTCTTCTCTCTTTTCTTATTAGTCTTGCTAGTGGTCTATCAATTTTGTTGATCTTTTCAAAAAACCAGCTCCTGGATTCATTGATTTATTGAAGGGGTTTTTGTTTCTCTATCTCCTTCAGTTCTGCTCTGATCTTAGTTATTTCTTGCCTTCTGCTAGCTTTTGCATTTGTTTGCTCTTGCTTCTCTAGTTCCTTTAATTGTCATATTAGGGTGTCAATTTTAGATCTTTCCTGCTTTCTCTTGTGGGCATTTAGTGCTATAAATTTCCCTCTACACACTGCTTTAAATGTGTCCCAGAGATTCTGGTATATTGTGTCTTTGTTCTCGTTGGTTTCAAAGAACATCTTTATTTCTGCCTTCATTTCATTATGCACCCAGTAGTCATTCAGGAGCAGGTTGTTCAGTTTCCATGTAGTTGAGTGGTTCTGAGTGAGTTTTTTAATCCTGAGTTCTAGTTTGATTGCACTGTGGTCTAAGAGACAGTTTGTTATAATTTCTGTTCTTTTACATTTGCTGAGGAGTGCTTTACTTCCAACTATGTGGTCAATTTTGGAATAGGTGCAGTGTGGTGCTGAGAAGAATGTATATTCTGTTCATTTGGGGTGGAGAGTTCTGTAGATGTCTATTAGGTCTGCTTGGTGCAGAGCTGAATTCAATTCCTGGATATCCTTGTTAACTTTCTGTCTCTTGATCTGTCTAATGTTGACAGTGGGGTGTTAAAGTCTCCCATTATTATTGTGTGGGAGTCTAAGTCTCTTTGTAGGTCTCTAAGGACTTGGTTTATGAATCTGGGTGCTCCTGTATTGGGTGCATATATATTTAGGATAGTTAGCTCTTCTTGTTGAATTGATCCCTTTACCATTATGTAATGGCCTTCTTTGTCTCTTTTGATCTTTGTTGGTTTAAAGTCTGTTTTATCAGAGACAAGGATTGCAACCCCTGCCTTTTTTTGTTTTCCGTTTGCTTGGTAGATCTTCCTCCATCCATTTATTTTGAGCCTATGTGTGTCTCTGCATGTGAGGGGGGTTTCCTGAATACAGCACACTGATGGGTCTTGACTCTTTATCCAATTTGCCAGTCTGTGTCTTTTAATTGGAGCATTTAGCCCATTTACATTTAAGGTTAATATTGTTATGTGTGAATTTGATCCTGTCATTATAATGTTAGCTGGTTATTTTGCTTGTTAGTTGATGCCGTTTCTTCCTAGCATCAATGGTCTTTACAATTTGGCATGTTTTTGCAGTGGCTGGTACTGGTTGTTCCTTTCCATGTTTAGTGCTTCCTTCAGGAGCTCTTGTAGGGCAGGCCTGGTGGTGACAAAATCTTTCAGCATTTGCTTGTCTGTAAAGCATTTTATTTCTCCTTCCCTTACAAAGCTTAGTTTGGCTGGCTATGAAATTCTGGGTTGAAAATTCTTTTCTTTAAGAATGTTGAATATCGGCCCCCACTCTCTTCTGGCTTGTAGAATTTCTGCCGAGAGATCAGCTGTTAGTCTGATGGGCTTCCCTTTGTGGGTAACCCGACTTTTCTCTCTGGCTGCCCTTAACATATTTTCCTTCATTTCAACTTTGGTGAATCTGACAATTATGTGTCTTGGAGTCGCTCTTCTCGAGGAGTATCTTTGTGGTGTTCTCTGTATTTCCTGAATTTTAATGTTGGCATGACTTGATAGGTTGGGGAAGTTCTCCTGGATAATATCCTGCAGAGTGTTTTCCAACTTGGTTCCATTCTCCCCGTCACTTTCAGGTACACCAATCAGACGTAGATTTGGTCTTTTCACATAGTCCCATATTTCTTGGAGGCTTTGTTCATTTGTTTTTGTTGTTTTTTTCTCTAAACTTCTCTTCTCGCTTCATTTCTTTCATTTGATCTTCCATCACTGATACCCTTTCTTCCAGTTGATCGAATCGGCTACTGAGGCTTGTGCATTTGTCACGTAGTTCTCATGCCATGGTTTGCAGCTCCATCAGGTCCTTTAAGGACTTCTCTGCATTGGTTATTCTAGTTAGCCATTTGTCTAATCTTTTTTCAAGGTTTTTAACTTCTTTGCGATGGGTTCGAACTTCCTCCTTTAGCTTGGAGAAGTTTGATCATCTGAAGCCTTCTTCTCTGAACTTGTCAAAGTCATTCTCCACTCAGCTTTGTTCCATTGCTGGTGAGGAGCTGCATTCCTTTGGAGGAGGAGAGGTGCTCTGATTTTTAGAATTTTCAGTTTTTCTGTTCCATTTTTTCCCCATCTTTGTGGTTTTATCTACCTTTGGTCTTTGATGATAGTGATGCACAGATGGGGTTTTGGTGTGGATGTCCTTTCTGTTTGTTAGTTTTCCTTTTAATAGTCAGGACCCTCAGCTGCAGGTCTGTTGGAGTTTGCTGGAGGTCCACTCCAGACCCTGTTTGCCTGGGTATCAGCAGCGGAGGCTGCAGAACAGCGAATATTGCTGAACAGCAAATGTTGCTGTCTGATCGTTCCTCTGGAGGTTTTGTCTCAGAGGGGTACCCGGCCGTGTGAGGTGTCAGTCTGCCCCTACTGGGGGGTGCCTCCCAGATAGGCTACTTGGGGGTCAGGGACCCACTTGAAGAGGCAGTCTGTCCGTTCTCAGATCTCAAACTCCATGCTGGGAGAACCACTACTCTCTTCAAAGCTGTCAGACAGGGACATTTAAGTCTGCAGAGGTTTCTGCTGCCTTTTGTTCAGCTATGCCCTGCCCCCAGAGGTGGAGTCTACAGAGGCAGGCAGGCCTCCTTGAGCTGTGGTGGGCTCCACCCAGTTTGAGCTTCCTGGCCACTTTGTTTACCTACTCAAGCCTCAGCAATGGCAGGTGCCCCTCCCCCAGCCTTGCTGCCGCCTTGCAGTTTGATCTCAGACAGCTGTGCTAACAATGAGCGAGGCTGTGTGGGCATGGGACCCTCTGAGCTATGCGCGGGATATAATCTCCTGGTGTGCCGTTTGCTAAGACCATTGGAAAAGCGCAGTATTAGGGTGGGAGTGACCCGATTTTCCAGGTGCCATCTGTCACAGCTTTGCTTGGTTATGAAAGGGAATTCCCTGACCTCTTGCACTTCCTGGATGAGGTGATGCCTCACCCTGCTTGTGCTCAAGCTTGGTGCACTGCACCCACTGTCCTGCACCCACTGTCCAACAAGCCCCAGTGAGATGAACCTGGTACCTCAGTTGGAAATGCAGAAATCACCCGTCTTCTGCGTCGCTCATGCTGGGAGCTGTAGACTGGAGCTGTTCCTATTCGTCCATCTTCTGTTTTGCTTTTTCTGTTTGTTTCTTCCTTTGAGAACTGTCCTATTAGCATGCTAGTGCCAAATTACAACACCTAAAAATTCCAATTCCTCTAGCCTTCTAAATTTACTGGATACAACTAAGAAACAAACTATTGCATGTAAAAATTGGAGGATTGGGAGCTTCCAAAAGTTGCTATTACACCAGATGCCATGACTACATCAGATCATCTGAGGAAAGGAACTCTTTCAAGTAGCAATTTAAAATGTAGCTGGGCAATAGTCCAAAATAGATTCTCTAAGAACACTCAAGCTACATATTTTATAAACATGACAAAAATATTCTTCAACCAACTTTCATAGGGTTAAACTTAAACGATTCATCCAAATGTACAAGCTAAAAGGAACCAAAAATGGAAGTCACTCTTGGGTTTATTATTTACTCTGTGGTGGTTGAGATCAAGATTTTCCTGGCAAATCAATATGGTTCACCCACATCAGAATAAGCAATTACCTAAGGCTTGGAGTTTGAAGAGCCTGGGTAATAAGTGAGGGGAAAAGGCCAGGAGGAGAAGAAAAAAATTTCCTACAAAGCTAAAAATAACTTTAGGATCATTATATACTTATTTGTATATAAATCCATATTCCTAATTATAATTTGAACAGACATCTGGTGCTACAATCTAATTACTGCCAGAAGGAAAGAAGAGAGATCAACGATTCTAAAACTAAAGTGACTACTTGTAATTACTTACAAATAAACTTTTTACAAAACAAGTTATCTCATTTAATTACTGTTTTATGTATTTTGCAAACACATGAATACAGGCCACACACACACAGAAACATATGTAAAAATATATCTATGTGCATGTATTACTGGAAAGTGGTCCTGATCCAGACCCCATGAGAGGGTTCTTGGATCTCATGCAAGAAAGAATTTAGGGCAAGTTTGCAGTGCAAAGTGAAAGCAAGTTTATTAAGAAAGTAAAGGAGTAAAAGAATAGCTACTCAAGAGACAGAGCAGACCCGACGGCTGCTGGCTGCCCATTTTTATGGTATTTCCTGATCATATGCTAAACAAGGGGTGGATTATTCATGTCTCCCCTTTTTAGACCAAAGAGGGTAACTTCCTGATGTTGCCATGGCATTTGTAAACTATCATGGCGTTGGTGGGAGTGTAGCAGTGAGGACGACCAGAGGACACTCTAGTGGCCATTTTGGTTTTGGTGAGTTTTAGCCAGTTCCTTTACTGCAAACTGTTTTATCAGCAAGGTCTTTGTGACCTGAATTTTGTGCTGACCTCCTATCTCATCCTGCAACTTAGAATGCCTTAAGCATCTGGGAATGCAGCCCAGTAGGTTTCATCCTCATTTTACGCAGCTCCTATTTAAGATGGAGTGGCCCTGGTTCATACACCTCTGACACATGTCCTCAACTTTCTTCCACCTCTCTACTAAAATTAAATAAAAAGCAATAGTATAGGCAGCCCTCAGTATCCATAGGTTCTGCATCCATAGATTCAACCAACTGCAGATCGAGAATATTTGGGAAAAAAATGTGTTTGTACTGAACATCAACACTTTCTTTGTCATTGTTCCACAAACAATACCATATAATAACTACTAATATAACATTTTTGTATTAGATATTATGAGTAATATAGAGATGATTTAAAGCATAGGAGAGGAGATGCATAATTTATATGCAAACACTATGCCATTTTATATCAGGGACTTGAGCATCCACAGATTTTGGGATTCAAGGGAGGTCCTGGAACCAGTCCTCATGGATAGTGAGGGACACCTGTACTGTTATTTGTGCAGCAATTATGATCTGTGAAGCAGCTTCACAAATACTATCCATTTTCTTATCATTTGTTCATGTCAAAGGACAAAATTGCAACAAATTTAGTTAAATGATTGCATTAGCTTTTATTTTCGATTCATTAGTCAAACAAAGCAGCACCTCCTCTAAAAATTTAGAAAAGGTCCTTGGATAAACTAAGCACAGGAGGTTGACTTTATTGGCAAAAAAAAGGGTTGAAGTACACAGAAACAGGGAAACAAAGCAAATTGGTGGTTTCAAAGTTACTTTCCTTATAGAGTTTAAAATAGAGACTCCCTTGTCATGATGGCTAAAACTGGCCTATTTGAAGATTTGGCTATACTCCCTCCTGGTTTCTCAGAAGGTCAGGTAAACAAGTTAGTTTTGGTTTGATGACATGGAACTTTAGCATGAGTGACTCCATTTTGGTTTGGTCTGTTGGGGCCTAGTGCAGGAGCTCAGGCCAAGTAAATGAACCCTGTAAGTTTTATTTTATATTAATAATGTAAACATCATTAACATCCTAGTTTTACACATGAGGAAACAGCCTCTGAAAGACCAACTGACTTGCTCTAAGTTGCACTGTAGGTTAGCAATGAATCAGGATTGAAATACGATTTTTTAAACTGGAGTCCTTCATTTCCCCTTTATCACAAAACCCTTGCTCCATTTTGCCACTTCCTTCATGGCTGCCCTGAACAAATATTTTGACCAGACTCATCTGTAATGTCATACAATGGGATTAGTCCTGGGCTGAGAATTTTCTTTCTCACTTTCTTATAATCTCTATGCTACGCTGGGTACCAATCCAGAAGAGTTGAGGATTTCTCCTGCAGGTAAGAAATGCGTCTGTATAAGCCTAAAACATGAGTGAGGAGAGAAGAGGGCCTTACTAACTCAACCACACTTATTCTGAGCACAGGCCTCCTTGGGTTTGGTTTTATCTAGTACAAAGAACAGCAGAGTTAATGCTCAACTCAGAGTGCTTAAAAAGAGGGCTTCCACTACATCATGGGTTCCTTTTGGATTCCCCTATACAGACATAGAGAAAACAACTTTTTCAGTCAAATGAGTTGCTAAAAATGAAGTCATTTGAGTTCCTGGTATGTCTAAATCTGCATCTACCTAGCTCATGTTATTTACTTCTACAAAAAAAAAAAAACAAAAAAAATGGATTTCTCAGAAAATGAAAACTACCTAACTAATATCATTGAAAGGCTCTTAAGTCATTCTGGTTGATTTTTTTTCTTTTAATGTTTAAAGATTTTTGTCTGGTTGTGATTACCCATGATTTTTATACGTATGAAATCTTTGACAGTTTTCATACATATCTTTGTCAGTTACTTCCTATGTATCTGACACCTCTTGCAAAGTGTATTGTTCAGATCATAAAATGTAGATTGGAATAAGGACTGTTATCACTACCTATCTCAGAGGCTAAGAATTTATGACAAATTCTAAGAATGGGGAGGAGGGGAAGTGTAGTTTTTTCTTCAAGTATTTTGAATCACAAACTGAATTGAGAAGGATGCTTTTGGGCCGGGCGCGGTGGCTCATGCCTGTAATCCCAGTACTTCGGGAGGTCGAGGTGGGTGGATCACGAGGTCAGGAGATACAGACCATCATGGCCAACATGGTGAAACCCCGTCTCTACTAAAAATACAAAAAAAAATAGCCGGCTGTGGTGGTGCGCGCCTCTAGTCCCAGCTACTTGGGAAGCTGAGGCAGGAGAATTGCTAGAACCTGGGAGGCAGAGGTTGCAGTGAGCCGAGATAACGCCACTGCACTCCAGCCTGGGCGCGACAGAGCGAGACTCCATCAAAAAAAAAAAAAAAAAAAAGGTGCTTTTGGATTTCAAGATTCTCTGGATTTTTTAAATGTACAAACATAGCCAAGTATCCAGGTAAATGTAGAGGAGAAAGGCTAAACAAGCTGGAAACATCCTGGATGAATCACTTGATTAGTGTCTAAATTGCCCAAATGCCCCTTTACTTTGCTTTAGGGGAGAATCTGCTTGTTTTCACCAAAACTATTTGAAACAAAATAGGCCATAAAACAGATGGACTCCCTCCAGGCATTTTATTAAGGTAGCACCTCAAGATATGAGAGGTAGGCTCACAGTTCACTCTCCAACAGGGCAGTGAGGAAAGGCATTTTCCAAAATTAAGCTCTTATGAATTAAATATTCAGAACAGGTTCTCTGAGGAAGGAAAAATGGCATTCTTGCCCTGTTATTTTAATGAATCATAAAGTTTTCCCCCCTGTTCTAAAATGCTTCTTTAGCTGTATAGAATAAAATTAAAAACAGACTGGTCCTCACATTTAAATATAAATTTGCCATGCAAATTATTCCCTGCTTAACTACACTTTGCCAGCCAGGGGTGGAAAAGGGAAGTTGGTTCAGCAGCCCAACACACTGATCTAGTTGGTACTGGCTGGACCCTTACCTTAGGTTAGGTAGCTAACCTAGGATTCCAGAGGGCCCCCACTGATCCCTAAAGAGAGGGAGCTTGGGGTGGGTTATAGAGGGAAGAAGTCTGAGTTGAGTGCTCCTGACATATGCTATTAAAGATGAGCATTCCTTAAGAATCCACCTATCTTAGGAAGACCAATTCCAGGAAAAAGAAAAAAAAAAGAAAGCCTCAGGACTTGCTTTTCTCTTTTTGTTTCAATTTCTCCATTAATGGAAAAGCATTTCCCACAACCACAAGTACCCATTTTCCCTCTTCTTTAAAAGAATTAGGAAAGACACACCCAGGAAATTTCATTTGCATTTTGATGATAGCTTTTGTCCCTTGTTTTACTTCCAAAGCTGATATTGTGTTGCCTAACTTGATTGATAACTGCTTCGTTTACAACCCAAAAGGTTTAAATAAAAAGTGATAAAGGAAATTTACATAGGTAATTCCAACTGAGCTCTCTAACTAGTAGAGAAACCAATTACACTAATCCTGCTATTTTAACTCCCTGGAGTCTCTTCCCATCTCCATCTCCGAACTGTAAACAAAATTTTGTTTTGAAAGTATCTATGCGCATTTTTCCCCGTTGGGAAAGGGTCCAGAGATTTGATCAGATTTTCAAAGATGTCCCAGATCCAGAAGAGTTTAGAACCACCATTGTCAAGTGGAGAAATGGAGCTACAATCAACAAAGGCTGAAAAAAAAAATGAAATCAAGTCGGTGCTTCCCAAACTAAATGGAAGTCTCCCTGGCGCACTGCTCAAGTGAGGAGAAGTAAGGCTGTTAAAACATGTGGCCAGATGAACTTCCTGTGGACTTCCTGTGGGATAACCGTCTCCTGAGAATCGGGGATTTCTTGCCCATGGATGTAGCGTATTTCCATAAAAGCAGCCAGAAACAAATCAAGAAAAAGAAATGAGACCCCTGAAATTATTTATCTAGGAAAGACAGGTAAATCACTACACATGGCTGGATTACATAAGGACTGTCTCACTGTACAAGACATATTAATCTCACTCCTTGCATTAGAAATGACTGAAGCCGGCCAGGCACGGTGGCTCACACCTGTAAGCCTAGCACTTAGGGAGGCCGAGGAAAGAGGATTACCTGAGCCCAGGAGTTTGAGACGAGGCTGGGCAACATGGTAAGACTCGGTCTCTATTTAAAAAATAAATAAATAAATAAAACAAACAAAAAGAAATGACTGAAGCCCTTCTACAGCTAATTCAAATGAAAAGGAACTTTTTTTTTTTTTTTTGAGATGGCGTCTTCCTCTGTTGCCCATGCTGGAGTGCAGTGGTGCCATCTCGGCTCGCTGCAACCTCCACCTCCCCAGTTCAAGCAATTTTCCCCCCTCAGCCTCCTGAGTAGCTGGGGTTACAGGCACACTCCACCATGTCCGGCTAATTTTTGTACTGTTTTAGTAGAGACGGGGTTTCACCATGTTGGCCAGGCTGATCTCAAACTCCTGACCTTGTGATCCACCCACCTCAGCCTCCCAAAGTGCTGGGAATACAGGCGTGAGCCACCTCACCTGGCCAAATAATGTTTTCATTGAAGTATAACAAATATACAAAAAAGTGCACACATTTTAAGTATACATCTTGATAAATTGCCACAAAAGTGAGCACACCCATTTAACCACCACCCAGGTAAATACGTTTACAAAAACATGATCAACATTTTCCTAATGACTAAAGATGATTAATGAGGCTGAACATCTTTCATATCTATATAGTTGCATATGGTTTTCTATATGTGTATGTTATTTGGGTATTCTCTTGTATGGAGAGCCTTTTCAAGTTCTTCGTTCATTTCTTTACTGGGTTATCTGTATTTTCTAACTGGTAAGCAATAATTTGTGTATCTGGATATGAGTCATTTTTCAGTTACATGCTTTGTGAATATCTGCTCCCACGATGTTAGATGTTAGCGGCCCTTCTCTCCCATAAAGATATCTGTGATGAACACAATTTATGTTAATGTTTTGTTTGTTACTTAAGAAATCTTTGCTCACCCCAAGGTCATGAAGATATTCTACTATGTTCTGGAAAACGTATTGAATGACCATTCACATTTAAAGCTACAGTCCACTTGAAATCGATTTTTATATGTATGAGATAGGGGTCAAAATTTTAATTTTTCTTTGTGGATATCTAGTTGACCCAACACTATTTATTAAAGACTGTCATTTACCATGGCTCTGCAGTGTTCCTTTGTGATAAATCCCGTGTCCATATATGTGTGGCTCTTATTGAACTCTGTTCATCAGTTTGGTCTATTTACCTGTCCTTGTACTAGTTACCTACTGTATTAATTTCTGTAGCTAAATAAAATCTTGATATTAGTAGTATAAGTTTTCCACCCTCTCTATTTTTCAAGATTATCTTGGCTACTATTCTTTTCCCTTTGTATTTCCATATAAATTTTAAAATAAAATAATCTCGTCAGTTCCCTCGCACTCAATAGAAGCCAGTTGGGATTACACTGAATCTATGTATCAATATGGGGAGACTTGGAATCTTTACAATACTGAGTCTTCTCTGATTTTATTTGAATTTCCTTCAATTGTTAAAATTTCCCTCAATAATGTTATATGGTTTTCTGTGTAGATGTCCTGGATATCTTTCATTGGATTTATTCCTAAGTAGTTGATTTCATATACTATCCTAAATGGTGATATTTAATAATTTTACTTCTAATTTTTTATTGCTGTAGAAATACTATTAGATTTTTATATGTAGATCTTGTAACTGGTGACCTTACTTAATTCACTCATTCAGTCTGAAAGTGTATCGGGAGATTCAGTTGTAATTTCTATGTATTATCAAGTTATCTACGAATAATGACTTTTTTTCCCTTTTTGTCTAACAAATGCTAATGCCTCTCACCTCTCTTCCTCCTCCTCCTTCATTGAATAGGACTTCGGTACAACATTGAGTAGAAATGGTTCCAGTGAGCATTCTTGTCTCAGTCCCAATTTCAAGGGGAAATGCCAGAATTTTACTATCAAATATAATGTTTGTTTTGAGATTTTTTTGTAGACACACATTATAAGATTAAGGGCATTCTCTTTTGTGGAAGTCAGCATCTAAGATGGCCCCAATAATTCTCACCTCCAAGTCCAAGTTCTTGTATAGTATTCTGCCACACTGAACCATGGCTAACCTGTGTGTTGAAAAGAATATGGCAGAAACAATGGGTGACTTCCAAAATTATGTCATCAAAGACATTTCTGTGTCCATCTCTTCTCTCTAGTGTTTCTTAATCTTTCTTGAATTACTTACCCAGAGGGAAACCAGCCATTATGTCTTGAGAAGACTGAAGCAGTCCAATAAAGAGGTTCACATGTAATAATAATGAATAAAGAATAATGTCTCCCACCAACAACCAACACCAAGTTGCCAGCCATGTGAGTGAGCCACCTTGGAATCAGATCCTCCAAGTCAAGCCTTGCTATAACTGTGACCCTTACCAAAATGTTGATTAAAGCCTCATTGAGAGATCCAGAGCAAGAATTCCAACCTAAGCTGCTCCCAGATTCCTGATCCAGAGAATATGTAAGGATGATAGGCATTTATTTGTTGTTTTGAGTCATGAAGTTTTGGGTAATTTCTTATGCAGCAATAGTTACTACAACTGCTGTTCTTACTTTACCAATAATTTTATTTTAAATAAGTGTTAATTTAGCCAAATGTTTTTTTCTGCATCTATTAAGTTATCATAAAATTTTTCTCATATTTTGCACAATGTGCGAGTAGAACACATTTCCAGAAAGAAAATTTTTGACTCAAAGATAATGTGCATTTTTAGTTTTGATAGCTGTGACCAAACAGGCCCTCAAAGAGGGTATATCAACTTATACTCTCACTGCTAATGCCTGTTACCTCATAGCCTTGACAACAGAGTGATATTAACTTACTCATTGTCTAATATGATAAGGTTAAAAAGGGTATTTTTTATTTTTTTATTTGTATTTTCTTAATATGAATAAGATTGAGTATGAGTGCAATTAAGTGCATACAATTTAGAATTATTACGTTTTCTTAGTTGGTTACCCTTTTATCACTCTGCTCTATCCTGTCATTAACTTTTATTGTTATGAACCTCTAACTTTAATACTGCTTCTTTTCTTAAAGCTTGTTTTGTTTGATATAGCACTTCATCTAGTATATTGCATGATATAGCTTTTTTTCATTCTTTTACTTCCAGCTTTTCAGTATCCTTAGCTTTGGTGTGTGATTCTTAGAAGGCAGCATGTAATTTGAGTGTTTCTGAATCCATTCTGATAATCTTCATCTTTTAATTGGAGTAATCTCTTTATATTTAATATAATTACTGATACATTAGATTTTAATATACTACCTTACTGTCTACTTTCTATTTGTTCCACCCATCCTGTGTTCCTTTTCTTCTCTTTTTCTTTTTCATGTCTTCCTTTGGATTAATTGCTTTTTATTACTCTATTTTCCCTGCATTTGCTTGTTCATCATACTTTTCAAAAAACGATTCTTTCAGTGGCTACTCTAGAGATTATAGCATTCACCCTTGATTTATTAAAGCAAAATATAGGCTGGGCACTGTGGCCCACACCTGTAATCCCGGCACTTTGGGAGGCTGAGGTGGGAGGATTGTTTGAGCTCAAGACTTTGAGACCAGCCTGGGCAACACAGTGAGACTCCATCTCTACAAAAAAAAATTAACTGAACATGGTGGCACATGCTTGTAGTCCCAGCTACTTGGAAGGCTGAGGTGGTAGAATCACTTGAGCCCAGGAGATCAAGACAGCAGTGAGCCATGATTGTGCCACAGCAGCACTCCAGCCTGGATGACAGAGCAAGACCCTATTTTTTTTTTAAAGTAAAATATAAATTGGCACTTCATCACTTCCCAGACAATGCAATGACCTTAGAACATTTCAACTCCATTTAATTCTTCCTGCCTTTTATACCATTGTTTTGTGACTTTAAATTCTATACATAGTTAAAACCTCACAAAATACTTCAATTATTGTTTTAGGTATCACTTTTTATTTGGATTTATTTAAATATTTAGCCTGTATGTTTTCTTCTTTCAGAATCTGCAAAGTCCAATCTGAGAATTATTTTCCTTCTACCTAAAACATTCCCTTTACTATTTCCTTGAGTGCAGGTTTGCTGCTGATGAATTCTCTCCATTTTTTATAATAATGACATCGTTTTCTCTTCATTTCTCAATTTTTTTAATTGGACCTGGAATTCTGAGTTTCCAGTTACTTTCAGAGCATTGAATTCATCTTTCCGTTGTCCTCTGGTTTCCATTCCCATGGCTGAGAAGTTAGCTGTCAGTCTAGCTGTTGCTCCTTTGAGGGTAATACATCTTTTTTGCTCAGGCTGCTTTTTAGGATTTTGCACTTGTTTTTGGGACCTATATCACAAATGGCTGCTACAAATTGATAAGAATCATATATATAAAGACCTTCCACAAAGCATTAAGAAAGCTACAACTAAAATGGGAAAAGAAGGGGAATGAAGTTTACAGATGAATAAATGACTTTTAAACACATGAAAGATGATTAATCTCGCTCATATTAAGAGACATGCTAAGTAAAATGACAAAGAAATGCCTTTTTTAAAACCTATCATATTAGACAAATCAGTAAGTTGATGTCACTGTGCTGGAAGGCTATGGGGAAACAGGCATTAGTGGTGAGAGTATAAATTGATAAACCCTCTTTGAGGTCCTATTTGGCTATCAAAATTTTAAATATGCATTACCTGATGATTCTGAAATTTCATTTCTGGGAATTTATCCTACCCACACATGTACAAACTAACATTTTTGGTTTGTTTTGAGACAGGGTCTTGCTCTGTCACCCAGGCTGGAGTGCAGTGGTGCAATCAGAGCTCACTGCAGCCTCGAATTTCTGAGCTTAAGCAATCCTCCTGCCTCAGCCTCCCAAGTAGCTGGGACTACAGGCACACACCACCACACCCAGAGTCTTACTATGTTTCCCAGACTGGTCTCAAACTCCTGGGCTCAAAAAATCCTCCTCCCTCTGCCTCCCCAAGTGCTGGGATTACAGGTGTGAGCCACCACACCCAGTCAAAATAACATTTTGTATTAAAATGTACCTTGTTTTCATAAGGTTTAATAAGACACAGAAATGACTGTCATGAAAGAAATTTTTACTCACAGTTTCCTAGAAACAAAAGGCACATCCATTGTACCACACAGGGCCACCTGGGGAAGCATCAGGATCAGTCAGAAGGTAAAGGGAGGAGAGGAAAGCATAGATGAGAGTCTTTACTGTGGTTTTCATGGAAAGGAATAAATAAAACTGCCTAAGCAGGATAGATAGGTTTAGGATTGGCTAATATGAAGAATTTCAGTGGGCTCTGGAGCAGTCTCTGAAATTAGCCCCCTAAGTTGTCTGGCACCTGGTCCTGGGGTGATTAGGGGAGATGGATCGTGGCTGGGAGTGTAAGAGCTCAGTAAAGGAGGTAGTTGGAGGATGGGCTGTGGATTGGTTGGTTTATGTTTGAAAGGTGCACTCCCAGGGGAGTAATTTGCTATCTCTAAGAATTGGCTAGTCCTGGAGAGGCAGTTTCCCCTGGGTCAGTGAGGCCGCAGGTGCCAGAGCATCAATAATGCAAAAAATATAAAATATAGTTAATACGTATTTATACAAGGTTATTCGTTGCAGCATTGTTTGCACTAGCAAAAATGGAAACAGCCTTAAGTCCATCAGTAGGGAACAGATAAATACGTTGTGAAGCATCCACTCAATGAACTACTATAAAAATAAATAAGGCCGGGCATGGTAGCTCACACCTGTAATGCCAGCACTTTGGGAGGCCGAGGCAGGTGGATCACCTGAGGTCAGGAGTTTGAGACCACCCTGGCCAACATGGTGAAACCCCGTCTCTACTAAAAATACAAAAATCAGACAGACGTGGTGGCATGCACCTGTAATCCCAGCTTCTAGGGAGGCCGAGGCAGGAGAATCGCTTGAACCAGGGAGGTGGAAATTGCAGTGAGCCAAGATCACACCACTGCACTCCAGCCTGGACGACAGAGGAAGACTTTGTCTCAAAAAATAATAATAATAATAAATAAAATAAAAATAAATAAATAAATAAATAAAAACTAGCTGTAATCCAGCACTTTGTGAGGCCACAGTGGGTGGATTGCTTTAGGTCAGGATATCGAGATCAGCCTGGGCAACATGGCAAAACCTTATCTCTACCAAAAAATATAATAATAATAATACAAAAAATTAGCTGGGTGTGGTGGCACATGCCTGTGGTCCTAGCTGGGGAGGCTGAGGTGGGAGGATTGGCTGAGCCCAGGAGGCAGAGGTTGCAGTGAACCAAGATTGTGCCACTGCACTCCAGGCTGGGTGAGAGTGAGACTCCAACTCAAAATAAATAAGTAAATAAAAACTCACACTTTCTGTACTAATTTGAGAGGCGATCTAGTTCCGTGGTTAAGAGAATGAGCTCTTAAGACAATAAGATTATGGAGCAGCTTCACCACTTTTAAAAAGGTTTTTAAACAGAAATTTAAAGGATTGTTACATAGTAGAGAAAGTCAATCCTCAAAGAAAATAACACTCACTCCCTTTTCACCTGGGTGTTTTCGTGGAGGACAATTGACCATGCTCAGTTGTCTGGGTTTGTAATTTCAGAGGACCAAGGAATGGCTCCCAGATAATCCATAGAAAAAGCAGAACTTGGTAAGGCCAATATTGAGATAAGACTGAGATACTTACCATGAACAAACTAGAACACATTCCAGGAAGTACATGTGAACTCCCCAGTGCAATGCATCAAACCACCGGCCTTGATTCTAGCAGCAAGAAGCAACTGTAAGAGCGTAGGCTATAAATATAAAGTATCTGAAGCAAAAATAGAGCAAGGTGTTAACACGTCTCCTCCAGACTTCATTCCACTGTCTTCACATTCTTGATATTTTCTCTGTCCTTCCAATTTTTGTCAGATATTTCAGAAGATCTCATTATTAGAATTTCTTGTTGGTTTTCAAAATCCTTTACAATAGAGGACTGAAGTTATGTGGTAAAATGGAAAGAGCTGGGGACTTGGAGAAGGAAGACTTGGTTTAATTATTAACTTTGGGATTTTGTTTTGTTTTGAGACTGCGTCTTGCTCTGTCACCCGGGCTGGAGTGCAGTGATGTCATCACAGCTCACTGCAGCCTTGACATCCCGGGCTCAAGTGATCCTCCCATCCCAGCCTCCTGAGCAGCTGGGACTACAGGGTGTGCAACCACGCCCAGCTAATTTTTGTATTTTTTGTAGAGATACGGTTTTGTCATGTTGACCAGGCCAATCTCAAACTCCCGGGCTCAAGTATTCCACCTGCCTTGGCCTCCCAAAATGTTGGGATTACAGGTGTGACCCACTGCACCTGGCCTAATTACTAACTTTGTGATAAACGATCTCTATGACCTCTCTGAGCCTCAGTTTCTTCTGCTGTAGAATGGACCACAGCGAAACCTGCTCTGCTTCACGGAACTGCTATTAATATAAAAATGACTTAAGGCAGATATATATGTAAATGCTAATGCACTATACAATCATGAGGTATGATCTGTCCATCCATCAATTCAGCCATGGACAAGACTAAAAGCTGTCTATCTAAAATCTGTTTTCTCCATTTCACTTACTAACAGCAACCCCGTTTTGTGGGGGAGGGAAAGTCATTGTGCTCGGGTTAAAAACTACATCTCCGAGGCCGGGCACAGTGGCTCATGCCTGCAATCCCATTACTTTGGGAGGCCGAGGAGGGTGGATCACCTGAGGCCAGGAGTTTGAGACCAGCCTGACCAACATGGAGAAACGCCATCTCTACTAAAAATACAAAATTAGCTGGGCATGGTGGTGCATGCCTGTAATCCCAGCTACTCAGGAGGCTGAGGCAGGAGAATCGCTTAAACCCAGGAGGTGGAGTTTGCAGTGAGCCGAGATTGCGCCACTGCACTCCAACCTGGGAAACCAGAGTGAAACTCCATCTCAAAAACAAACAAACAAACAAAAACTACATCTCCTATACCTTCTTGAATCTCAGAAGTCTGCTAGAGACTTCTTGGAAATACTTGTTTTCTAAATATGGGGACTACCTCTTCCCTTTTGTGCCTTCCTTCTTCTTCCTGCTGAAAATGTGGACGTAATGTTAAGAACAGCAGAGATATCTTAGAACTATGAGGGAAAAGCAGAGACCTCAGCCCTGATACTCTTGGGCCATTGAACTAACGGTAACCACTGCCTGTGCCCAGATTTCATGGTGCATGAGAAATCAAAATAAACAACCAAACGTGGCATTTAAGCATTGATAAGTGTCAGCTCCTGGCTCTTGGAGGTTGGGGGTGGGGGTGTGAAGCCCTGATTTTTAGCATTTGTTATTTTTGTGGTATAAATTCTTTCATTTAGGGCTGATTTCAAAAATAAAAAGAGATGTACAATAGCACACTATTATATAGTATTCCAATCACATGGATAATGTAAATAACATATTTACATATCTAATTTTCAATAATGGCTGTTTTTAACAATTGGCATGCAAAACTTCTGAAAATTCAAGAAACAGCTCTCGTACAACACACTGTTGGGTTTAAGCCAGCATTCATTGCATTATCTGTTTCTCTAGGAGAAGACAATCTAAATTAATACATCAGCCAATGTTTTCTTTCCTGTCATTCTTCAATTTTTCCCTACTACATAATCCAGATCAGTTCCTCGCCTAGTTCATTCTTGCCTTCATGCTTTCTATCACACGTTCCTTTCATTATTTTCTATCTTTCTGTCTTTTTTTTTTTTTTTTTTTTTTTTGAGACAGAGTCTTGCCCTGTCGTCCAGTTGGAGCGCAGTGGCGCAATCTTGGCTTACTGTGCAACCCCTGCCCCCTGGGCTCAAGCTATTGTCCTGCCTCAGCCTCCCAAGTAGCTGCAATTATAAACATGTGCCACCCCGCCTAGCTAATTTTTGTATTTTTAGTAGAGACGGGGTTTTCACCATGTTGACCAGGCTGTTCTCGAACTCCTGACCTCAGGTGATCCACTCCCATCAGCCTCTTAAAGTGCTGCGATTATAGGCATGAGCCACTGCTCCAGGCTTATTTTCTATCTTTCAAAAGGATAAAATTCCATCCTCACTGGAGATGAATACATTGATTACTGCTGTCTGGATATATTCAGACCTGTCCTGTTCCAAGCTTAGCAATTGAATGACAACACATTCTTGAGATGCATATGCAACAGGAAGTCAGGAGGGATGACTTTTTTTTTTTTTAATGCTAGAATAGAGGAGGATAGTAAGCAAAACATCTCATTTTGTTGTTGTTGTTGTTGTTGTTTTGGAGATAGTGAAGATAATGGGTATGATAATGAAGATAAGATAGGGGATAAATGCAAAGTATCTTCAGGTTCAAAACAATAGAATGTGGAAGAGCTCAAAGATCAGCAATATGGATAATCAACAATCTGAAACAGTTGATCACAGAATGAATCATTAGTCAATAAACCTATGAATATGTAAGTTGAAGAAAAGCCCTGGCCAAGAAGGAAGAAAGAGGAGTTTGGAGTAAGCCTCATTCTTTGCAGCTTCAGAAAATACAGAATCAGGAATACTAGGTAGAAAGTATTACATGGCCTATTTTGGCATAAGGGATAATGTTCTAACAACAAGCGTTGAAAGAAACAAACTCAAAGTATGATGAATTCCTCTTAGAATAATTCAAGCTGAAGCTAGCTAGGTACTCACTAGAGATGCTACAAAGGAGATTTCTGAAGAAAGAAGTAGGTGAATTCGCCATCTTCTAAAGTGCCATCTACAAATATGACTCTTTGGTAAGGAGTATATTGCTCTAAAGAGATGTAAGAAAGTTGCTGATTGTGGTTCTTACAGAATCCAATTTGAAGATGTAGAATCACTTTTAAAACTTGGTGTGGCTGGCCAGGTGTGGTTGCTCACTTGTAATCCTAGCACTTTGGGAGGTCGAGGCGGGCGGATGACGAGGTCAAGAGATCGAGACCATCCTAGCCAATATAGTGAAAGCCCATCTGTACTAAAAATACAAAAATTAGCTGGGTGTGGTGGCACACACCTGTAATCCCAGCTACTTGGGAGGCTAAGGCAGGAGAATCACTTGAACCCAGGAGCCAGAGACTGAAGTGAGCCAAGATCATGCCATGGCGACAGAGCAAGACTCCATTTCAAAAAAAACTTAGTGTGGCTTTGATTTGATCATCAAGGCCTACAGCATTGCATGTCTCACGTTCTTTTCTACGTACTCAGCAAGGCCAATCTCAGTATAGCTAATTGTATCTTATCTATTGGTGCATAGCAAGCCAACATTTTGTGGCTTTAAATAAAAACGATTTTATTTTCTCACAAGTCTGCGGGCCAATATTTTGGACTGGTTTCAAGTGAGCAGGTGACTTTTGCTGGTGTTATCTGAAGTTATCCATTGAGGCTACGGCCCTGGTGGATTGTCTGGGGGCTGCTTGATCTAGAGGGTCTCAACTAGGATAGCACCTCTGTTCTACAGAGTTTAATTCTCCAATAGACTAGCCTAGGCTTCTTCATACAGCAATGGTAGCATTTCAAGGTGATAAGAACAGAAGCTGCCAGACTTGGAAGTCATATAATATCACCTCTCCAACATTCTATTAGTCAAAGCAAGTCACAAGGCCAGCCCAACTTGAAGAGGTGTGGATATAGATTTCACTTCTTGATGAGAGGAACTGTAGATTTTGTGGCCATCTTACATCTACCATATTAGTAAATCCACCTAATTTTATTATGTTTTATACAGATGCCTAGTCTGCTATCTGTGTTTGCTGGTGATGATATTTCAACAGAATGGGAGTGGAAATCTTTTCCAAAAAAGATCCAATGAGGCAGTTGTCACCCCCTTACTTTTTCCGTAGTTGTTGATAAGGCCAGCCATATCAAACCTTTTCTAAAACCGTCTGTCACCAGCATCTTGTATGAAGAGGAGGCAGAATGGTCCCAATCTGCTACCTACAACAGATTGCCAGAGAAATGGTTGCTTTCTTTACACTCAAGTGCCCTTTCCCCAGCACCCTTGCTGATAAGCCAGCTTTCGCCAAAGACCAATAAGTATGCTGACATTTCACTAAGAGTTGTTATCTCTAGATACCTGTGGATAAATGTGCTAATAAGAGGGTTTCCTTAAGGGCTCTTCTATCCATGATTATTCCAAGCCACAGTTGAATACAAACATCATCAGAACAGGGGGTTATGCTTCATAGCCTAGAATGCTTCTGTAATACTTAATCCTCTTTACGCTTGTGACAGATCAGCCTCTGAAATAGGAGCACAGCCCTAGGGGAGAGAGTGGCTTAATCATCAAGCTTCAGGTAGGAGAGCACCAACGGGTAATGACTCTGCAGCCCCATGGCGCTCATAGTCTATATATTAACAGTCCAATCAAGCCAGAAACCCAAGTAATTATTTACCATCAAACTTTGCTATTCAAATCATTTATGGAATAATTCTCAGAGAGGGGTTAGTTGTTTCTTACACTTTCTTGGTAGAGAAAGAAGTCAATGAAAAGAAGTTTTCATATCATGCAAAGGCTTTACTCCAAGACACTTACTTGGTCCCCCATGCTGCTCAAACAAGCCCAATGACCAAATATCTGAAGTTTGTTCAAGTTTCTTTCTTTCTTTCTCTCTTTCTTTTCTTTCTTTCTTTTTTCCCTTTCTTTCTTTCTTTTTTCTGTTTCCCTTCCTTCCCTCCTTCCTTCTTTCCTTTCTTCTTTCTTTCTTTCTTTCCTTTCTTCCTTCCTTTCTTTCTTTCTCTCTTTCTCTTTCTCCTTTCTCTTTCTTTCTTTCTTTCTTTCTTTCTTTCTTTCTTTTTCTTTCTCTCTCTCTCTCTCTCTTTCTTTCCTTCCTCCCTTCCTTCCTTCACAGGATCTGGCTCTGTTACCCAGGCTAAAGCGCAGTGACATGACAATAGCTCACTACAGCCTTGACCTCCTGGGTTCAAGGGATCTTCCCACCTCAGTCTCCTGAGTAGTTAGGACTACAGGTGGGTGTCACAATGCCCAGCTAATTTTTAATTTTTTTTGTAGAGAAAGGTCTCACTATGTTGCCCAGCCTGGTCTCGGTTTTCTTTTTTTTCTTTTCTTTTTTTTTTTTTTTTTTTGAGATGGAGTTTTTGTTCTTGTCACCCAGGCTGGAGTGCAGTGGCACGATCTCAGCTCACTGCAACCTCTGCCTCCAGGGTTCAAGCGATTCTCCTGCCTCAGCCTCCCGAGTTGCTGGGACTACAGGCACGCGCCACCACACCCCGCTAATTTTTGTATTTTTAGTAGAGACGGGGTTTCACCATGTTGGCCAGGCTGGTCTCAAACTCCTGACCTCGTGATCCACGTGCCTTGGCCTTCCAAAGTGCTGGGATTACAGGTGTGAGCCACAGCGCCCGGCTGGTCTTGGTTTTCAGAGCTCAAGTGATCCTCCCACCTTGGCCTCCTAAAGTGCTGAGATTACAGGGGTGTGCCACTGCACCCAGCCATTTGTTCAAGTTTCTAGAAAATTTTACTTGTCACTTCTTGAGTTTTTCATGTTCTGTCTGGACTGTCAGCAGCTGTAGGTGTTACTTTATCAGGCACATAAACATGCCTTTATTTATTTATTTATTTATGTATAGATGAGGTCCTGCTATGTTGCTGGTCATGAACTCCTGGCCTCCAGCAATCCTCCCACCTTGGCCTCCCAAAGTGTTGGGATTACAGGTGTGAGTCACCACTCCTGGCCTAACGTTACCTTCTGCCTCTCCTTCCTCTTGCAACTCTACCTCTCAGCATCCCCTTCTTTTTTATCTGCTCCCGTTTTTCCATTATCCTAATAGGTCTTGCTTACTGTTTAAAGTAGAATCTAGCATTTGAAACAGAATCTACTCAGTATTTTAAACACAAAGAGATGTCATTATAGAAGTGGTAGAAAGGTTGGAGAAATGGGATCTCAGATGAAGCTCCAGGAGAACGCCCAGAATGCCAACGAATTGACCACCAGGGAGGTTCTTCCTCTGCTAAAATCAGGAAAGTTGCAAATCCGAAGGCTGTTCCAGAAACTACTGTGTTCAAGAACATATCACCAAAGCTGCAATCCAGGGATGAAGAAATAGAAATCTGAAAACCAGGATCAAAAAATTATTGCTTCTGGCCAAGCGCGGTGCCTCATGCATGTAATCCCAGCACTTTGGGAGGCCAAGGCGGGCAGATCACCTGAGATCAGGAGTTCAAGACCAGCCTGAACAGTATGGTGAAACCCCATCTCTACTAAAAATACAAAAATTAGCAGGGTGTGGTGGCGGACGCCTGTAATTTCAGCTACTCAGGAGGCTGAGGCAGGAGTATTGCTTGAATCCGGGAGGTGGAGGTTGCAGTGAGCTGAGATCGTATCACCGCACTCCAGCATGGGTGACAGAGCAAGACTCTGTCTCAAAAATAAAAGAAAAAAAAAGTTATTGCTTCTTACCACCTATAAAGCTAGACCAGTGCTCCATTAAATTCCATAATCCCGTGACCTTGTTTGCCTGCAGAAAATAGCCAAAAGCATCATGCAATTGGCCACCATATCATCTTGTCCTTGTAAATATCCTGTAAGTATCTCTGATGAAAGGAAACAATTTTCTGGCTGAAAGCCTGTCTGGGAAGTCCAGTCATTTTTAGTTTTCTAATCTCTGCAGTAAGGGAAGACATTTTAGAAGGAGGTGAACATGAGTACCTATTGACCAAATCCTACAGGGGACTCTCAGTGGTTACCCTTCCCTCTAATAACCTCAATTAGAATGTTTAACAAATAAGCACATGCCAGGCACTCCACTCATTTTCAACATGCTTCCATTGAATGCTAACATCACTCCCATAAATTAAACATGATAATGACTCCAGTTTTCTAGATGAAGAAACAGAGGCTCAGGAATTTAAGTAATTTACCCCAGAATACTCAGCAGTAAGGGAAGAGCTGATAATCAAACCCAGCTTTATGCAATGCCAAAGAAGATCTGCATCAAAACCTATCTCACCTTAACTACTATGATAGACCACGTTACAGAGTTGTTGACTCCCTCCCCAGACCATGGGCTCACCCAACGGAGCACATAAGAATAGTCTTCCACTCTCCTTTCTAGAATGAGGCTGATTGCTTCATTCATTTAACCCACTCCAGCAAGCCCTGGATCCAGGAGTAGACACTGGCCAAGTAGAGGACTGACAATACCCTTACGATATGATGTTCATGGTGGTTTTGCCACCCCTACACCAACTGGTTTTCTTAGAAACAAATATCTTTGCAGAGAAATCTAAAAAGACAGAATTTAATGACATAAAAAAAGAGCTTGAAAATGGTTTTTAGCTTAGCATTTATAATCATCCCATGCACAATAAATACCATTCACAAATGTTAGGGAAAAGAACACAGACCCTCTAATATGCTGCAGACCCAATGAATTGCCTTTGGCAGGTGAAAGTCAATATAAAGGTATAGACTCACCCACTAATGGGATGCAAAAACAATTAAAGCACTTTTTTTTTCTATTCTGATAAAGAATATAGTTTAGGATCTGATGGTGAATTCCTCCTCTGTAGGTATTTGAAGTATCTTTCTGTCACAGCTGAGTACCAGTGTTTATATCAAGAAAACAAAAACACAAAAATATTGCTCCTGGTCTAGTACTTGTTTTTTTTGTTTTCATTCTAATTCAGTCAAGGTTTAAATCCTCTCAACAGAGGAATTCTTCATTCAAATAGAATGCTGCATCAAATCCACAGTGAAGGTGTGGGGGAGGCAACAGGTTACCTCCCACCTCCTAGAGCCTCCAGCAGGGCCTGAGAATTAAATTGACATAGGACAGATTAACAGGAGAGAAGCACACTGATTTTATTTCTGTGGGACCCCAGGTTGGAGTGCAGTGGCTCAATCTTGGCATGGAAGCCCACATAGGAAAATAAAGACCCAAAGAAGTGGCAAAACCCAAGTGCTTATGTACTGAGTTGAACGAAGAATAGTTAATAGTGAAAACATGGCAGGACAAATGGGCTCAGGCTTGGGTAGTTAATTGTGGAGAGAACTAGGAAGATAAGAATTAGTTTAAGAAGGTTTGTCTGTACAGTTGGCCTGCTCTATCTGCATCTGCAGATTCAGCCAATCATGGATCAAAAATATTCAAATAGGCCAGGCATGGTGGCTCACACCTGTAATCCCAAAACTTTGGGAGGCTAATTCTAGATGATTACTTGACCCCAGGAATTTGAGACCAGCCTGGGCAACAGAGTGAGACCCCATTTCAACAACAAAAAAAATTTTTTTTTAATTAGCTGGGTGTGGTGAACTGTGTCTGTGGTCCCAGCTACTCAGAAGGCTGAGGTGGAGGGACTGCTTGAGTCCAGGAGGTTGAGGCTGCAGTGAGTTGTGATCGTGCCACTGCACTCCAGCCTGGGCAACACGGCAAGACGCTGTCTCAAAAAAAAAATCTTTAAATAAAAACACTAGTAAGAAATAACAGTACAAAAATAAAAAATAATACAATTAAAAAGCAATTTAATAATACAATACAATAATAGTACAACAAGTATTTATATAGTATTTACATTGTATTAAGTATTATAAGTAATCTGGAGATAATTTAAAGTATGTAGGAAGATGTACATAGGTTATATGAAAAAACTACTTACTTTGCAAATACTACCATATGCAAATACTACTATATGTTATATGATTTTGGTATCCGCAGGGGGTCCTGGAACCAATCTCCTGCCCATACCGAGGGACAATTGTACAGATTTCTCTCAGCCTCAAGTCCTCCTCCCTGGTGATACAACTGTTTCCTTCCCCCTGGTCTCAAAAGGACGTCTTCCATATGGAGGTTTCATCCCCTGCTTTCAGGAGGAAAGGGGAGGTCAGGGAGCCCTTCTTGCACCTGCTGTTTTCCAAGCTCAAAATAATCCTTCTGCCAAACTGGCTTATTTAGGGCAGCACATTCTGCCACCCTTCAGATGTAAGTGTGCCACAACTGAGTCATTCACCTGACTCAGTACCGGGCCAGTCCTTCTGGTAATGGACAGGCTTGCCGCCTCCAGCCTCCAGAGAGTTCCTTCTCAGACACGAGTGCTGTGAGACAGCTTCTGGTTCTCAGAGGGAATTTCACTTTACACACACAAATTGATCAGTAAATAGTACTTTCAGTCTGGGCATAGTGGCTCACCTCTGTATTCCCAGCACTTTGGAAGGCCAAGGCAGGAGGATCACTTGAGCCCAGGAGTTGGAGACCAGCCTGGGCAACATAGCAAAACCCTGTCTCTACAAAAAATACAAAAATTATCCGGGCATGATGGCGCATGCCTGTAGTCCCAGCTACTCAGGAGGCTGAAGAGGGAGGATTGTTTGAGCCCAGGAGGTCAAGGCTGTAGTGAGCCAAGATTGAGCTACTGCACTCCAGCCTGGGTGACAGAATGAGACCCTGTCTCAAAAAACGGAAAGGAAAGGAAAGGAAGAAAAGAAGGAAGGAGGGAAGGAGGGAAGGAAGGAAGGAAGCAAGGAAGGAAGGAAGAAAAGAAAGAAAGAAAGAAAAAGAAACAAAGAAACAAAGAAACAAAGAAACAAAGAAAGAAGAAAGAAACAAGAAAGAAAGAAAGAAAGAAAGAAAGAAAGAAAGAAAGAAAGAAAGAAAGAAAGAAAGAAGTGCTTTCAGAACTACCAGTTCTTTAAAAATGGAAAAAATGTTACAAAAAAAGCAGGGGGGCGGTATTTTTATCTGAGGAGTCCCATGTCCTACACCCTCCTACAAAGGATATGTTAATGAAAATGAAAACACACCTTATTTCTCCCTCTTTAAGGCTCTCATGAACAAACAGTACATGTTCTTATTAGTTGTGAAGTACTCTTTCTGCCTGAAAATCACCCCAGCCCATGTGGGCATTTACTCAACATTACAGTGTTGATGACGTATGGGTAACAGTCAAAGCTTCAGCACCATCTAGAGAGGATAGGTCCTCCTTTTATTGGTCAGGGTATCTGCTCTTCACATTTCAACAGATTATAATATAATATCCTGCAGCAGCACCCACACACTCAACTCCTTTTTTGGTTTCTACTATAATTATCTGGAAATTCTTCCTAATTCCCATGCAATACACCTATCCCAGTGGGAATGGTTTATATTTAAATATAAACCATTTTTACATAAACTATATTAAATATAAACTATATTTAAATATAAACCAGTGTTTATTAGATTGAATGTCCAATCTAAGTAATTCTAGTTCATTTGGCTTTTCCTCGCTCTCTGACATGGAAAGTGAGCTTTGTGAATCATCTGTACACTCTCTCTTGTTCTGCGTGTTCCTGTTCCCTGAAATCCAGAGCAAGTTTTAATCCTCTAGGGACGCAAAGCTTCACACAATTCTGGCTTCATTATGTATAAGAAAAATATTACCTGAGCTAAAAAGGGATCAATCCTTCTTTACAAACAGAATTAAATTAGCAAAAGAATGTATCAGTGCAATTTACCTGACAATGGAGAGGTAAACGATAGAATTGGAGCCTGAGCTCAAATCAGGATAACGCCAAAAATATACCGTAGGTGCCTGGCATACACCCAACTGAATATCTGGTGCAAATCCAAGGACACTGATTCAAAACCTTTTTTCCATTCCAAAAATTCCTTTTCCAGCTAATTTTTCCAATGTCTCTTTTGTAAAATATGTTCCTTTAAAATTAAGGAACAGGTGATCCTCCTGAGTAGCTGGGACTACAGGCGCACGCCACCACGCCTGGCAAAATTTTGTATTTTTTATAGAGATGGGGTTTCGCCATGTTGGCCAGGCTGGTCTCAAACTCCTGGGCTCAAGAAATTTTCCCATGTCAGTATCCCAAAGCGCTGGGATTACAGGCATGAGCCACTGCATCCAGCCCCGGTTATACCAATATAATAAAAGAAAACATATATCCATCATATATTACATCATTAAATGTAAATTTATTTATGTTTAATCTGTTTGAAATACAGTGTTTAAATATTTTAGCTTAATGGATGGTTAGCATTTTGCTAAAACTTAGTATCTACTCATGGGTATTCAAAATATATCAGCTATTTAATTTTAAAAAATGTTTTCTCATAAAATGAATGGCAAATATTATCTGAAGGAAACCACAGCTTGATCATGCTCTGCTCATAATACAAGGTTGTAGCTGTCTCTAAGGGTGGGTTATTTTATTAAATCCTGACATGAGCTGACATAAAATTTATAAAACAATCTAAGAACAAATGGTATAACCAACCATCCAGGGGGTATGGAATATACAGAAATAAACTAATCAGTCTGTCACTTGGATTAAAAAAAAGGAAAGGATGAAGAAAAAGAAGTTACTTCCCCTCATATGCCTGTGAATGAATATTTAATTTCCTTAGTCATCCATTCCCTCCCCATAGCTAGGATGAGGTGAAAGGGTTATACTGTATCATTACCCTCTGGCCATGCTGTTTTAAAAACTAAAAAACACTACATCTGTGATTTTCCATCCCCTTTCCTACCTCAGTGTTTACTTAGATGCATCATCCATGAAATGAGCTGCTTTCATGTAAAGCCCCAAAGAAGTCAACTGATTTTTTAAAAATCTGATAGATGTATGTTTTCTTTTATTATATTCGTATAACCAGGGCTGGAGGCAGGGGCTCACACCTGTAAATCCCAACACTTTGGGAGGCCAAGGTGGGTGGATTGCTTGAGTCCAGGAGTTGAAGATCAGCCTGAGAAACATGGCAAAACCCCCTCTCTACAAAGAATACAAAAATTATCCAGGCATGGAGGCATGCACCTGTAGTCTTAGCTACTCAGGAGGCTGAGGTGGGAAGATCGCTTGATCCTGGGAGTTTGAGTTTGCAGTGCTACACTGCACTCCAGCCTGGATGAGAGAGGGAGACCCTGTCTCAAAAAAAATGAATAAATAAATAAATAAATAAAAAGAAAAAGAAGAAAAAGAAAAGAAAAAGTATAACAATAATAGGTTTGTTGCCCAATGTGCACAGCATGTCAATACACAAAGACACCAGGTTGCAGCAGAGAAAGAAGTTTAATTGTAGGGCCATCGAACAAGGAGAAGAACTTCAGATCTATCTCCCTAAGGAATTTGGGGCTAGGCTAGGCTTTTTAAGGGTTTTGGAGTGGACAGAAGCATGGAGATTGTTGATTGGTGGGACAGAGAGAGGAAGAAACTGATTCAGTTCCTCTTTGGGGGTCTTTAAACTGGTTGGTGTCAGCAGTTCTACTAGAATTCAGGATCTGCTTAAGCAACTCTTAAAAGCTTTACAATTCTAATATCAGAAATCCTATCTGTAGGAACAATGGGGATGAAAATGGTCAGTACCTAGTGCTACGTGACTTCAGGTTATAAAGAAGTAGGTCAAAGTGCAGTCTGATTAATGTTTAATTATAACTATTAATTCTTGATAACTGTGAGGGTGACTTCATTGGAAAGTATCACAATGGTACTGGTTGATTTGAATATTAAATGTCATCAGCATAAAATGTTTGTTGTTCATATTTACTGCTCATACCTGTTTAACGAATTCCCAGAACACTAAGCATTTGCTATTAATGTTCCAATCTGTCCTCAGCAAGTCTAACCGCACACTCACCATCATGGAAACCATGTTTTTAAGAGTTTATTTCCGAAGAAACTTGGATGACTTTTCACATTTCTGCTCATCAAATGCACCAATATCTATCTATCAGAGTTTTTGGTGAGTGTGAGATGAGCAGAATTCTGTAATAAGTTGATACAAATCCAGTCAAGAGCAAGGAATCTTGAGATTTAAATTAACTTGCAGCCCTACTCTAGGTCAATGGAAAGTTAAAGAACCAGTTCATCTCATCCCCACCACACCTGACTCCCACAATTTCTTCCTTTATAGTATTGCAAGGATGAAGGGACTCTCAGCCTAGAACCTCTGTTCTAGGAGATAGAGCTGCAGAAGCTTTTTCTTAGATCATTCTTCTACCCAGTAATCCCCAGGGCCCCAGTACAAGACCTGTGAAGAGCATGAAAAAAACAAAGTTATTTCCACTAGAAGCTAAGAGGCAACCGAACCAAATTAATCTGGAACCCACACTGCAGATGGAATTTTGTTGTGGTTGATGATGATTAGGAGGAAGGATTGTTTTTATTATTGTTATTTTACTCTGCTTTTTCCTCCCATAATGTTCTCTTATTGAATGATTATGGGGACAGTTTGATGACCATTATTTCAGTTACTCTTTTACCTGATTCTCTTCCTTTTTCCTCTATCTTCCATCCCCCAACCTCTCACAAAAATCCCAATTGCCTTAAAAGGATCTACTCTTTCATGGATATTTTCCCCCTCCTCCTGCCATCTAGCAACAGGACTGAGGTCTTTGGGGGCTTTGTAATGAGGTGCAGATCCTGGAAGGGTTGAAGCTGAGATGCTTACAGCACATGGAATTACACACTTGCCTCTGCTGATTTGCATGGGGACTGGGATTCTCTAGGGCTCAGACATTTTCAGGCACATCCAGAGACTGGGGATTTGGAGATTGGGGAATAGATAGAAGTGAGATGAGAAAAGAGGATTTTAGGTCTCTGAGAAGAAAATACAACTTAAGAGAAGGAGACAAATTATCCTAACTCTCAGTACCTGATAGTAGGAGGCACAGTGTAGTTCTAGAAACAATATAGTAGCTGAAGGAGTTAAAAATATGCCTCTCTGCTGTACTAATTATTTTGAGCTAAAAGCAATTGAAAAAAAAAAAGACAAAAACAAAAAACAGGTGCAAGAAGAGCACTCTGAACTTCTTTCTGTTTCTTCAAAGCGGGAGATGAAATTTCCATGTGAAAGATGCCTCCCTACACAAAAAGAAACATCATTCTTATTATCAAAGATGGGAACTTGAGGTGGTGGGAAATCTGCACCAAAAAAACTTTGTTAGATGAACCCTAATCCTCCTAGCTACCTCTCTATGCAATTAACTGCCCTACCCCAAACCCCTTGGCCTTGTCACATTTTTACAATGTACTGCTCTTTGTCCAATTCGGGGTGTAAGTGTTCAACTCTGACTGCATCTTTGGGGTCTTCATTGCCTTATGCAGGCTCCTGAGCCACGTAAAACTTTCATATTAAATAAATTTGTCTGCTCTTCTGTTAGTCTGACTTATGTTATTTTAATTCTCAGATGCAGCAAAAACAAACAAACAAACAACAACAACAGGAAAAAAAAAACACACACACACACCCTGAAAGAGTAGAGGTAAAATTTTGCCTCCGTATGTAAGTCTGACCTAATCCCTTCCTATCTGGGCATCCCACCAGCCTATGCATCTTTCAGAAACGAACATTGTGGAAGAAGTGTACAGGCTCCTCTACAAGGTGGGAGGAGAGAGTATGTGGGAGGAGAGAGTACAGAAAAGAAGCCATTCCCAAGCCTCCTGTTGTGGTGTCTTCTGTGGGCTCCGCATCCTCAGCCTATCCCCAAAATGCTGGTTTTTGTTTTTTGGTTTTTTGAAACAGTGTATCACTCTGTCGCCAGGCTGGAGCACAGTGGC
Source organism: Homo sapiens (assembly GCF_000001405.40). Lineage (NCBI taxonomy): Eukaryota > Metazoa > Chordata > Mammalia > Primates > Hominidae > Homo > Homo sapiens. The sequence goes on along the minus strand of NC_000008.11, from coordinate 29,422,364 downwards.
ATGATCTGGGCTCACTGCAACCTTCGCCTCCCAGGTTCAAGCGATTCTCCTGCCTCAGCCTCCTGAGTAGTTGGGATTACAGGCACCTGCCACCACGCCCAGTTAATTTTGTGTATGTTTAGAAGAGATGGGGTTTCACCATGTTGGTCAGGCTGGTCTCGAACTCCTGACCTCAGATGATCTGCCTGCCTCAGCCTCCCAAAGTGCTGGGATTACAGGCTTGAGCCACCGCACCCAGCCATATCCCCAAGATGTTGATACCACCCAGGGTCATGTCTGTGGCCCTGTTCCCACCTCACTCCACCAGGATTGTCACATTCTGTCTCTTAACACATCCAAACCGAAATTGTTTTCTTATCCCCTCCACATTCCTTTCCTTCAACCATGTGTTCTTTCTCCTATGTTCCCCACATGCTGAATGGTGCAATATCGTCAATGAATAAACCAAAAACCCATAGAGCTTTAAACAAAAGTATTCCCTCAAGAGGGAAACATTAGATCTTTTTAAGTACTAGAAAGGGGGAATATGTAATAATTATCCTAATGGAAGGATTGAAAATTATCAGTCTGTACTGGATAAAGTGAGCCTGCAGATCTGCAAACAGCTGGTTAAAAACAAGGCTCATAATGTCATCAGAAACAAGTCTTCCCTTAGGTCTGGGGTATGGGGACCACTGAAAGTGCATGGTCCTTATCCGCTTGGGCCGATCAGAATCAGTAGCACTGAAACTCGACAATCAACTTTGATATCTCCTGGGCAAGTGCTCCACTAAGTGAAAAACTTTCTTTTTACAACTTCTACTCATTCACCCTAGCAGGAAACGTGAGGGCTGGCACAAATGTCTCCATCCCATGCACGCTGCCTTTCATCAGCCCTGATTGTCTCTTGCAATCAGATTTCTGGAATCATCTCCTGACTTGCACACTCAAAGTGTGGCGGAGGAACATGCAGCATCAGCATCACTTGAGAGGCTGTTAGAAATGTAGTTAGGCTCCACCTCACACCTTAGTAGGGTCAGCCTTTTAACACTACCCCCAGGTGATTCATGAGCACAGAAAATTTTGAGAAGCACTGTCCCCTTCTGAGTGCCTCCCTAACTCATCCTCCAACTCCTTTAGATCTTTCTAAAATATAAGTATGACCAAATACACTCTGTACAGCTTTATTAGTGTAATATCCTATGCCCCAACTCCCTGTTGCCTAAATCTGGTGTTTCTCACTCTGGCTAAACCATAAAATCACCTGGGCTGCTCTCAAGACTGTCAATATCTTCATCCCCATCCCTGAAATTCTGATGTAAGTGGCGATAGGGGATTAGTATAATGTTGTTGCCCCAAGTGATCTTAATAGGTCACCAAGTGTTGAGAGTTATTGACCCAAGAATGAAGTTGCAGTTTCTTCTTAGGACAGGTAAGTTCCTTTAGGGACTGAGCCCCTCGCTGGCCTCCTCACTCTCATCACATTGGTATCCCTCAGACCATGAGCTCAGCTTTAATAAACACACACAAGAACACTTTCCCCCAGCACCTCCAGGCCCCTGCTCATGGATAAATATCCCCCATCTTCTCCTGTCCACCCTAACTTCCACTAGCCAACATCTACTGCTTTTCTAAGGTTAAACTTGCTCCACCGCCCAGGTAACCTTGCCTCCTGTCTCCCTCTTCTCCCACTCTGTTGGAGGTATTTACACAACTGCCTCTCTTCCCACAGAGCTATATGCCTCCCAGAGCCAGATCCCAAATCTAATCCTAGCATCCTAGCACATATACTACATAAGGCCAGAGATGTGTGTGTGTGTGTGTGTGTGTGTGTGTGTGTGTGTGTGTGTATGTTTTGCTCCTCAAGACGGGCTACAGCATTTGCAGGGCCAGTGCTAAATGAAAATGCAGACCCTCTTGTTAAAAAACATTGAGAATTTCAAGAAGGCACCAACAGAGCATTAAATCAACAGGGCCCTTCTGCTTGTACATAGCTGGTGCTCAAAAAGGTCTGTTGAAGGAATTTTTTTTTTCAGGTTTTGCACCTGGTATAATGATTTGTGGAAAGCACGTGTACCCCTGCGTTCTGAGAAAGGCACACACGCTGTGGCTGCAGTGGTAGAAAGAAAGAAGGGAGGATGGGAGAGGCGTTGCACAATTTATGATGAAGCAAATGCCTCATTTAACAACATCCAGACACTGCAAACAACCATGCAGGATTCCTCTTTATGGTCCTATTGATGATTGCACGTAGCAACAGATAATCTACTCCCAGACTGGCAGGCAGAACATGAAGTGGGTCTCTCTACCCAGTCAAATATTTTCTGCTTTTAATTGGATAGCAACATAACAAAAAGAGCTTTGCAAAAGGCATTTGATCCTGGGGAGAAAAAACATATATTTTTAAAATTTCGCAAATAGCTTTATTTTTTTTTCCATTTGCTAAAATGTAACGTGCTTGTTTTTGTAATTATTACTCTATTCTGAACAGGTAGAGAGGTTCCTTCTAATCGCACCTTTTACACAAAATGACTCTTATGATTTTGGTTTATTTCATGGTTTGTTTGTTTGTTTGTTTTGTTTGTTTGTTTTTTGAGACAGAGTTTCACTCTTGTTGCCCAGGCTGGAGTCCAATGGCACGATCTCAGCTCACCACAACCTCCGCCTCCCAGGTTCAGGTGATTCTACTGCCTCAGCCTCCCAGGTAGCTGGGATTACAGGCATGTGCCACTGCGCCTGGCTAATTTTGTAGTTTTAGTAGACAGGGTTTCTTCATGTTGGTCAGGCTGGTCTCGAACTCCCAACCTCAGGTGATCTGCCCACCTCGGCCTGCCAAAGTGCTGGGATTACAGGTGTGAGCCACCACGCCAAATGCACAGCAGCATGACCTTTCATTTCTCCACATATCTCTTAAAAATTGGGACATGGCTGGGCCTGGTGGCTCACACCTGTAATCCCAGTGCTTTGGGAGGCCAAGCCAGGCAGATCGCTTGAGCTCAGGAGTTTGAGACCAGCCTGGGCAACATGGTGAAATTCCATCTGTACAAAACATACAAAAATTAGCCAGGCACAGTGGTGCTCACCTGTAGTCCCAGCTTCTTGGGAGGCTTAGGAGGGGGAATCACTTGAACCTGGGAAGTTGAGGCTTCAATGAACAGAAATCATGTCACTGCACTCCAGCCTGGGTGACACAGAGTGAGACCCTGCCTCAAAACAAGGGGGGGGGGAACATTACTTACATACCATAAAGCTGCAGAAAGTCCAGAACCATTCATGTTATTATGTTAACAAAACCATAACTGTATTGCCATTACCATACCTAACAAAATTATCCTTAATCCTTTCATATGTATCACCTGATTCTCTCTTGAACAAGTCCACCAGATTCCATCTTTATTAAGATGGACTATCACCCCTAAAATCTGCGTGTCCTGCTATGTCCACTTAGAATGGATTATCTGGAAAACTACTGCCTGGGAATACCCAGCTTCAAGGGAAGAATGAGTCATGTCAAAAGTGTGTTGTCATGTCCATTCCTGCTTTATCCACCACTCTGGGTAGAAACGTCTTAATATTCTGATATCTGGGAGGTTAGGCACCTACCTAGTTTTTCTCTTAAAGAGGAAAATCAGCATTTCAGCTAACTGTCTTTATCCTCCAATATTGAATGGACTTTTCTCTAATCATTGATTTACTTTTATGTCTCACCGTGCCCACATTTCTCCTCTCCTTCTTGCTCATCCTCCTCCTCACCTGATGAAGACTGATAACGTGGTGCTAAAAATACCAAGTTTCATTCACAAACCCTTCTTCAGAAAACTTAGATTTGATTTGCAGTACAAGGGTTTTCTTAATCATTCTGTTCTCAGTCTTAAACACATTCTATTAATCATTCCATTAGTAGTGATGCATCCCACTAGCCTCTTTCCCTTCAGGACAAATCCACTGAGCAGACGGTGGGCTTTCCTCTGAGACTCATTAAAGGAGAACAGCATTTAACGTCTAAATTGATTTTTAAATATAAAATAACACGAACACTAAATTAATTCCATACAGGGATGCTCTGTGCATAGTTGGAAAAAGATTATTGCCAACAAAAGTCCAGAAACGTTGGGACCCATCAAAGGCCAATCCCAGAGTTGGTTTTCTATAGAAGCAAACACATTGTGTTTAGAATTCTACCCTGAAATTTAAAATAAGGCTAACATTTAGTTAGCAATTTACCATGTCTTTACTCATCTTTGAAGCAACCCTATGAGGTAGGTACGATTATGCTCATTTAAAAAAAGTTATTTTTTGGAGAGAGAGGATCTCACTATGTTGCCCAGGCTGGTCTCAAATTCCGGGTGATATGGTTTAGCTATGTCTCCACCCAAATCTCACCTTGAATTTTAGCTCCCATAATCCCCACGTGTCCTGGGAGGGACCTGGTGGGATTGAATCATTGGGGTGGTGTTTCCTGTGCTGTTTTCATGATAGTGAATAAGTCTCATGAGAGCTGGTGATTTTATAATGGGGAGTTCCCCACCTGCACATGCTCTCTTGCCTGCCGCCATGTAAGACGTGGCTTTGCTACTCCTTCACCTTCTGCCATGATTGTGAGGTCTCCCCAGCTATGTGGAAATGTGAGTCCATTAAACCCCTTTTTGTTTATAAATTACCCAGTCTCAGGTATGTCTTTATTAGCCATGTGAGAACACACTAATACACCTGGCCTCAAGCAATCCTCCCACCTCAGCCTCCAGGAGAGATTAGTTTTTCTGGGAAGGATTGTTTCTAGAAATGAAAATTCAGAATAGCAGTTCAGACAAAAATTGTGTTACTGCTTCAGTCTGTTCAGAGGACAACAGTAATAGAGTGAGATACACAAATCCCTGTCTGTAGGTTTATTACCAATTCAACGAACACTGATAAAGACACTTTTGCTTTCATAGCCTGTGGATTTTTTTTTTTTTTTTTACCACTAGAGCTATTCTATAAGCCAAACCTGTGTCCCAGAGAGTAAATAACTGCTTACCTGGGAGGCCAGACAGCCAGAAAGAGAAGGATGAGATTAAATCATGGGCACACAGGCCAGTGAAATTGAAAATGATCATTGGCCACCTGAAGAAAAAACAATAATAAGGGAGGGTGGGGCAGGAAGGATATGTGTGTTTGATGGGTAGATGGGAGTTGAAGGAGTGCTAAATTCTCGTCGCACATAGTGGAAGATCAATTGATAAATGCTCACAACTGAAAAAGCCAGGAATATAATATTGTGATATAGAGATACTATAAGTTGTGGCTAAAAGAATTGAAGGGGATTCCCCCAAGAAATCCCTTTCTCTTAGAAGAATAGATGGGCCTTTGTGAGTCCACTGTTATACAAAGAAAGGCTTGTAGAACTACTTGACTCTTTTAAAAACTAATCAGATTTACTGAATTTGTATACAGTATAATTTGCTTATAATTTACATACAATAAACAACCTTTTTTAAGTGTACATTTTAGTGAGTTTTGATTACATATGCAGTCATGTAGCCACAATCACAACAAGATATAAAAATTTCCATGACCTCAAAATGATTCCTAGTGCCCCTTTGCAGTTAATCCCTCCCCCCAGTTCCCAGTTCCTACACTCACTGATGTGATTCTTCCCTGTAACCTTTTTTAGAATGTCATATAAATGGAATCATCCAATACATAGCCTTTTATGTCTGCCTTCTTTGCCACTTAGCGTGTTTTGAGATTCACCCGTATTGCTATGTGTATCAGTAGTTCATTCTTTTTTTTAATTTCTGAGTGTATTTCATCATACAGACGTACAATTTTTTTTTACCAGTTGAAGTACATTTGCATTGTTTCCAATTTGGATCCATTACAAATAAAGCTGCAAAAAACTTTTGCATACAGGTTTCATGGTAGGCATATGTTGTATATATCTTGGGTAAATACTTAGGAGTGGATTTGCTAAGTCATATGATAAGTGTATGTTTAACTTTAAAGAAATTACCAAGCTCCTTTTCAAAATGGCTGCACCATTTTGTATTCCCACCAGTAAAGCAAAGCACAAGAGTTCAGGTAAATTCACATCCTTGCCAACACTTGATAAAATCAATCTTTCTAATGTTAGCCTAGAATGTTACACTAGAATGTGGGTGTGTAGTCATATCTCACTGTGGTTTCAATTTACATTTTCCTAATGTCTAATGGTATTGAGTATCTTTTCACATGCTATTTTCCATGGTGAAGTGTTTCTTAAACCTTATCTTCATTTGTTAATGGGGTTGTGTAATTTCTTATAATTGAATTGTAAAAGTCTCTATGTATTCTGGATACAAGTCCTTTATCATATATATATTCTGCAAATAATTTCATCCAGTTCTTGGCTTTTTAAATTCTTTTACAAGTGTCTTTTGAAAAACAGTTTATAATATTGATGAAGTTAAATTTATCATTTTTTTCATTCATGCTTTGTACTATTTTTGTGTCCTACCCAAGACATTTTTTACTAATTCACTGTCACGAAAATTTTCTGTTTTCTTCTAGTAGTTTTATAACTTTAGCTTTTATATTTAGGCCTATGATTCATTTTAAGTTAAATTTTGTAATACAGTGTGAGGTAAGGGTCAGGGCTGTTTGTTTTTTGTGCTTTTGTTTTTGTTTTTTTGGCATATGAAAATCCAGTTGTTCCAGCCCTATTCGTTCAAAAGATTATCACTTCTTCATTGAATTGCCTTGGCAACTCTGTTACTGGAAAGGGATCCCAATCTAGATCCCAAGAGAGAGTTTTTGGATCTCACACAAGAAGGAATTCAGAGTGAGTCCATAGAGTAAAATGAAGGTAAGTTTATTAGGAAAGTAAAGGAATAAACAATGGTCACTCCATAGGCAGAGCAGCCCCAAGGGCTGCTGGTTGCCCATTTTTATGATTATTTCTTGATTATATCCTAAATATAGGATGGATTATTCATTTCTCCCCTTTTTAGACCATATTGAGCATTTGTAAACTGTCATGGCACTGGTGGGAGTGTAGCAGTGAGGATGACCAGAGGTCACTCTTGTCACCATCGTAGTTTGGATGGGTTTTAGCTGGCTTCTTTACTGCAGCCTGTTTTATCAGCAGGGCCTTTATGACCTGTATCTTGTGCTGACCTCCTATCTCATCCTGTGACCTAGAATGCCTTAACCATCTGGGAAAGCAGCCCAGTAGGTCTCAGCCTTATTTTACCCAGCCCATATTCAAGATGGAGTTGCTCTGGTTCAAACACCTCTGACAACTCTGCTGGAAATCTGTTGACTATGTATGTGTGGATCTACTTCCAGACTCTCTCTTCTGTCACATTTATCTTTATGTCCGTCTGAATACTAATGCCTCACTAAGTTACTTATTATTACAACTTTATATTGTCTTAAAATTAGGTAATGTAAGTCCTCCAACTTTGATGTACCCTTTCAAAAAATTAGTTTAGTCTTTATTAGATTTTTACTTATAAACGATTTTATTATAAAAATTAAAATTAAAAATTAAACACCACAAGGAAAGGAAAAAGACAAGCCAAGAACTTAGAGAAGACATTGGTAGCCCATATAAAAAACAACAGATCTTTTATCTATAATATATACATTGTTCATACATTCAATAAGAAAAATACACACAAACCCAAATAAAATCCGATAAAGAACCTGTAAACACTTAGCAGAAAACAAAGCACTAATAGCAAATAAACATTTGGGTGAAAAAATTCTAAACTACCTTGATGGCTGGGCGTGGTGGCTCACGCCTGTAATCCCAGCACTTTGGGAGGCCAAGGTGGGTGGATCATGAGGTCAGGCGTTCAAGACCAGCCTGGCCAACATAGTGAAATCCCATCTCTACTAAAAATACAAAAAATTAGCCAGGCATGGTCGTGGGCGCCTGTGATCCCAGCTACTTGGGAGGCTGAGGCAGGAGAATTGCTTGAACCTGGAAGGCGGAGGTTGCAGTGAGCCAAGATTGTGCCACTGCACCCCAGCCCTGGCGACAGTGCAAGACTCCGTCTCAAAAAATAAATAAATAAATAAATAAACTACCTTGATAATTAGTAAAAAGCAAATTAAAATGACAATAGGCTATCAGTTTACAATGTAGCAAATTTTACAACTTGGGAAAAATTAAGAAATTGACAATATTAACTATTTGCAGAAATGGGAAGCAACAGAAACTCTTAACACTGCTGGAAAGATTGTAAATTGGTAAAACTCCTTAAAAAAACACTTGACATTACAGTGGTCCCCCCTTATCTGAGGGAGATATGTTCCAAGACCCCCAGTGGATGTCATAAACTATAGATAGTATGGAACCCTATATATACTATGTTTTTTTCTATCCATAACATACCTATGATAAATTCAGGTTATAAATTAGGCACAGTAAAAGATTAACAATAACTAATAATAAAATAGAACAATTAGGCACAGTAAGAGATTAACAATAACTAGTAATAAAATAGAACAATTTTAACAATATATTATAATAAAAGTTGTGTGAATGTGCTTTCCCTCTCTCTCTTTCTCAAAATATCTTCTTGTACATAATATTTTTGGATCACAGTTAACCACAGGCAACTGAAACTGCAGAAAGTGAAACCTCAGAAAAAGAGGGACTTCTGTATCTAATGTAGTTAAACCATAAAATTTTAAATCAGGAAAAAAAGACAGAATAATATACAGATGTTCCTCAGTGTACAATGAGGTTACATACTGATAACCCTATTGTAAACAGAAAATGCATTTAATACAACTAACATATGGAACATCATAGCTTAGGTTAGACTACCTTGAATGTGCTCAGAACACTATGGGCAAAATCATCTGGCATCACTGCACACTGTAGTGTCAGTTGTCCCCCCTGTGGTCATGTGGCTGACTAGGAGCTGTAGGCGCTGCGGCTCACTGCTCCTGCTCAGCATCTCAAGGATGCTATTGCGCTTTCTACTGAATGCATATGGCTCTCACATCATCACAAAGTTGAAAAATCATTAAACTTGAATTCTCACAAGTTGGGTTTATCTGTATTATTTAGTGGTGTATACATATACATAAAGAAAAGTGGGGTCAGGCATGATGGCTTATGACTGTAATCCCAGCAATTTGGGAGGCAAAGGTGGGCAGATTGCTTGAGCCCAGAGTTCAAGATGAGCCTGAACAACATTGTGAGACCTCTTCTCTACAAAAAATACAAAAATTAGCCAAGCATGGTGGCATATGCCTGTAGTCCCAGCTACTCAAGAAGCTGAAATGGGAGGATCATTTGAGCCTGGAAGGTCAAGGCTGCAGTGAGCTATGATCATGCCACTACACTCCAGCCTGGGCAATACAGCAAGACCCTATCTCGAAAAAAAAAAGAAAGAAAGAAAAGAAAAGTTGGAGAGACAAAGATTAAATCAGAAAAGGACATACAGAGAACTTCGAATGTCTTGTCAATATTCTAATTTCAAAGATAAATAGTACATACAGCATTATTTCATTGATTTGTGACTGTTTTATTATGATTATTATTTAAAATTTATATTTGAAAGGTGGTAAGCAAAGCAATACTAGGCAAATGTAAAGCAAAAGGAAATTGGAGTAGAGATATGAATCTCAGACAAAATGAAATTTAAATTTATAACCACTGAATAAAATAGAGGAACATAAAATTCAAATGTCAGAAATGTTTTGCTTTCTTTCTTCCCACTTATACTAGGTGGACATTATCTGAGAAAAAAGAAAGAGAGAGACAGAAGGAATTAAGTATGGACTCTATTTCCTTGGAGCAGTATTGTAAATCTTGGTTGATTATCTTGCCAGATTAGATTGATGACCTAGAAGCTTCATTGAGTTAACTTTGTATTGAAATATAATATCAGCAGAGAAAAATGTACATATCAGAAGTATCAATGAGGTTGGGCGTGGTGGCTCACTTCTATAATACCTGCACTTTGGGAGACTGAAGTGGGTGGATCACTTAAGGTAAGGAGTTCAAGACCAGCCTGGCCAACATAGTAAAACCCCATCTCTACTTAAAATATAAAAATTGGCTGGGTGTGGTGGTGTGCACCTGTAATCCCAGCTACTCAGGAGGTTGAGGCAGGAGAATTGCTTGAACTGGGAAAGCAGAGGTTGCAGTGAACCATGATTACACCACTGCACTCCAGACTGGGTGACACAGCAACACTCCTTCTCCTCCCTCCCCTCAAAAAAGAAGTATACAGCTCAAATAATTTTTAACATTTTTAAATTTTTAAAATGTATTTATTTTTGAGCTAGCACCTTACTCTGTCACCTAGGCTGGAGTGCAGTGGCATGCTCATAGCTCATTGCAACCTCCAGCTGCTGAGTTCAATCATCCTCCCTCCTTAGCTGGGACTACAGGTGTGGGCCACCACACCTGGCTAATTTTATTTTATTTTATTTTTGTAGAGATGGGGTCTTGATACATTGCCCAGGTGGGTCTCAAACTCCTAGTCTCAAGCAATCCTCTCACCTCAGCTCCCCGAAGTGCTTGGATTAAAGGCATGAGCCACTATGGCCAGCCCTAATGAATTTTTCAAAAATGAAACATCTGTGTAATTAGTCCCAGACTAAAAAAAACAGAACATTACTAGCACATTAGAAGTACCCCATGTGACCCTTCCAGTGACCACCTTGCACACAAGGAAACCATTATCCTGACTTCTCACATCATAGATAAGTGTTGCCTGTTTAGCAGGTCTATGTTTAACCACATTCAGAAGTAATACATGTAATTTTGCGTGGCACCTGGAATAGAGACTGGTTGCATTCCTCACTATCCCATCTGTACTCCAAGACACAAGGAATAAATTGAAGTGATTATTTAATGCTAAATGTGCATCTAGTCACCCTACACATATGTCAAAAAGCCAACAAATTAATACAACGGTGGGGTGCCTTCACACTCAGCCCAACTTAGAAATTTTTAAAATATCAAGGGCTTGCTATGTGCTAGGTACTGTGCTGAGTCCTTTACATATATAATCTTATTTTATCTTCATAGACATTCCCTTAAAGGTGAGTTCTGTTATTTTTCTTACTTTCCAAATTCAGAAACTGAGCCTCACAGATACTGAACAACTTCACTAAGGTCACACAGGTAATAAGTGGATCTTTCTTACTCAAAAGGCCATGCTCTTGGTTACTGTACTATTAGACCTTCTAGAGATAGTTGATCTCTCAGTGTGTAGATAAGAAAATCAGAAATAGCTTCAAAGTCCCCTGAGTCTATACAAGCTGTGTGATAAGCTTCACTCCTGACTATAAGAGAGGACATATTCATTATTTTAGAGTTGATATACACAGAGGAAGAAGCCAAGATAATAGCCCCAAATGACCCCCGTCTATAGGGCTATACAGAATCCAATACCATTTCTAATCATCTCACCCCACAATCCACCCCCAACCCCACATATCCCTGAGATGCCTGGAAGAGGGAAATTCCCTTCACACTTCCAGACACAACCAATGATTAATATCTGTAGGAACTGAGTTATGCTTAAATTTGATTTTCATCTCTATCTTTCAACCCGAAGTAGGTACCTCCTTGTGGCTCATAGAACTAAGATATGAATTGGGCATTCCAGTCTGTTTACTGTCTTTTATAAAGAAGATTGGATGAGACTTTCATGTAGTGGCAAATAGCTTCTAACACTTTAATTCTACAAAGACAAGATGACTGAAAATAATTTCATTGTGCATTGAATGAATATGTTTATTTTCTACTCTTGTAAGCATTCAGCACTTTACAGAGTTAGGAAATGAACTTATGGATTCCATTTGGTTTATTTCCCAGAAACTTACATCTGCCAAAAAGGATACATGGGAACCTTATCTGGTCAAATTCCAGCTGACCTATGCCACTGGCCCATACTCAATGATGAAAATGAGTAAGAACTTTTCTCCACTATCCACAGATCCCCACCTAGTAATCATCCCAGCAGAGCTTGAAACTCTACTGTCTGGTCTTCAACCGCTGCAGTTCAACTCTTCAAACCAGATGAGTCTGTGGTGTTTTGGCAAAGAAAGGAATTGGGACAATATTATTCACCACTTAAGAATAGGATGGATCCAAGCATACTAGGGTGATGAGCCTTCTTGAGGCATTCATCCTCTTGATCAGAGAGTAGCTTCCTAACCAACCTATGTGTGGTTGAGAAACTCCCATGACTAGGGGGCTGTAAAAATTGCATCTAGAAAGAAAACCATCCTGACACGTGTAAAAGAATCAGGATCAGACATGATATTCCTTCTGACAAGGTCCCGGGGCCTTTCTATCATTGCCCAAGATAAATTCCTGATGAGAAGCCTAATGTAGGAGCAAACACAATGACTTGAGGCCATGCTAAGCCTAATAATCACCAGTCACCACTAACTGCCTCTCGTGATAAAAATCATTTTTATATAAATCATTTCATTTGACCTCTATGTCCTATGGATGTCATTAGTGCCCTCTGCCAAATATTTCTGGATCTACCCTTTACCAGGCACGTGATACAATTGCACTTTCTGGCTCCCTTGTAGTTAGTTGGGGCCATGGGGATAGTTCTGGTCAATGAGTTGTGACGAAAGAGAAGTGGGTGACTTCCACTTTAAATGGTTTCATTACACATAAGTAGCAACATTCGAGATAGGAACAGCTTCATCAGCCCCGGCCTTTGAGTAACTGTGAGGAGTGAAGTGGAGCCCCCGCCCCCGCATCCCCCTCCCCCGCCAACCTTTGATGGACATCAAGTAAGAATACAAGAAACAGACCTGTGTTTTGAACTGCTGAAACTTTGGGGTTGCTTTTTCCACATTATGACCTAGCTCATCCCAATTTATGCCACTATTAGGTGGAAGAGACAATTGTTATAATCATTTTACAGTTTCATTCATTCTTTTATGCAGCAAGCATTTACTGAGCCCCTACTTTGTACCAGGAATTGTACCAGCTCATCAGTACTGCACAAAGCAGACCTAGTCCTTTACCCTAGATCTGTGGCTACAGATATAAAAATGTGGAGAGAAAAATACCTTCATTTAAGTGACTTGGCTTGTCAATTAGCCTCTCTGAGGTTAGTCCTCTAATCTGTGAAATATGTATATATATTACCTACCTTACAATATTTTTGTAAAGATTAGCAAAATGGCATATGAGAGGGGAAAACCAAACAGCCATAAATATTTCTTTCACATTTCATAACAAATTATTTTTGACAAAGAAGAAAGGATTGCTGAAAATGAGAATTTAAATTCTCTGAGCATCAATTGCCACTTTCACATTCATCCTTACTCAGGGGTGTCTCGGCATTTGTTTCTTTTTTAATTTAGTACTTGGCACAGTTTATCTTCCAGCCTTTTTCTAACAATAAACTCCAAAGTCTATAAACAATAGCTTCGGTTTTCTTTGGAGACAAAGTATCTCGGAGAGGCCCCTGTGTTTCCATAGGCTGAGCTTTTTACTAAGGACAAGCAACACCTTCCTCCAGATTCTCAGGAGTCCCTGAGCAGAGAAGGAACTCTGATTTGTTATGGTCTTTTCTGCATTAAAATCAGCCCAAAGGTGAGGAATGTGGGGAAGACAGAGAGAAAAGGTTTCCAGAGGCTTTTCCAGTCCATAGGCTGGACAGAGGGACTTGAGGTAGCAGGATGTTTGCCTGTGACCTACATGATCATTTTCACAGGCATCAGTGTGTCTCCGTGAGTGGGCAAACATGACTCAGGCCACGCCTGTGTGCCTAAGGATTTGCGTGATTTAGAAGCTCTCACCAACTTCCTCAGTGTCAAACAGAAAGTGAGAAGAGAAGAGGCCTGCACATGGAGTGCGTTTTCTTGAGATAATCATCATCACCATCTCAAAATAGTCCCTCAACCTTCTAGGCGATAGTGATGACATTTGGACCGTCTAGAAAACATGCAAAATAGCTGTGAATCTACGTACTCTTTAGGAAGTGAGCGGTAATGAAGAAACAAATGTCTGACACCTACACCTTGGGAAGTTAATGAAAGCCAGTAGGCTATTGACTGACAAACCTAAGAAATGAATGGATCTTCAGGTGGGAAGAGCATGCCTTCAGTTTGAGGATGCAATGAATTGAAGGTGTCCATGAAGCTGTTGAGTAGGCAGTTAGAACTATGAATCTAAGCTAAGATGAAACATTTGGGCAGAAGATAATTATTTAGTAGTCATCTTTATATGAATGGTAATTGAATACTGGCAAATAATTGAAACTAATCTAGATTCTAGACCAGGGGTATCCAATTTTTTGGCTTCCCTGGGCCACACTGGAAGAATTGTCTTGGGCCACACATAAAATACACTAAGGCTAACGATAACCAATGAGCTATAAAAAGAAATTGCAAAATAATCTCACGATGTTTTAAGAAAGCTTATGTATTTGTGTTGGGCCACATTCAAAGATATCCTTGGCCATGTGTGGCCCACAGGCCACAGGTTGGACAAGCTTGTTCTAGACAATGAAGGCAGAAGAGGTGAAGAATAGTGTGAAACCCATTGAGATGGCCAGGGGCAGTGGCTCACCCAGCACTTTGGGAGGCTGAGGCAGGTGGACCACTTGAGCCCAGAAGTTTGAGACCAGCCTGGGCAACATGGTAAAACCTTTGTCTCTACAAAAAAATACAAAAAAATTACCTGGATGTAGCTAGTGCAGGCCCAGCTACACAGGAGGCTGAGGTGGGAGAATCACCTGAGCCCAGGAGGTCAAGGCTGCAGTGAACTATGATCATGCCACTATACTCCAGCCTGGGCAACAGAGTGATGGGAAGGGAAGGGAAGGGAAGGGAAGGGAAGGGAAGGGAAGGGAAGGGAAGGGAGAAAGGGAGAAGGGGAGAAGGGGAGAAGGGGAGGAAAGGAGAGGAAAGGAAAGGAAAGGGAGAAAAAGAAAGGAAGAGAGAGAGAAAGAAAACAAGCCATTGAGATTACTCAGAACCTCGAGCCTCCTGCTTGGTCCTGCTAGAAAAGAAACTAAGAAAACTAATGGAGAACACTGGGGCTTGTCCCTTTATTCTGTTCTAGCCATTAAAGGCATAAACATGCCAGTTCTACCTAGACAATATAAATGTAAAAGTTAAGATCATTAGGTTTTAGAATCAGATAGACCAGGATTTGAATCTCAGTTCCAAAATTTACTAGATGTATGCCCTTGGGCAAGTGATTTAATCTCTTAGTTTCAATGTCATCATTTATAAAACATATTAATAATATCCACAATGAATAGCTACCTGTGAGAATTAAATTAGATAGTACATCTATACACAGTACAGCACCTCCTATGTAAGTGTTCAGAAGGTGATATATAAAAACATTATGATTGTGGCCATAAGACAATGACAGCTATGTGTCCAACAAATATCCAGGCTCCACTTCTGCAGTGTAGAGTTCTTGCCACAAAGTGGAAGCTCAGCCAGGGGCTACACTTCCCAGGATCCCTTGCAGTTAGGTGGCCATGTGGCTGAGTCCTGGCCATGGAATGTGAGCAGGACTGGCCCTTAGAAGCAGGCAATGCAACACTCCTCCATGATCTTTGTCTCCTTCCAACTACATGGGAGTAGAGGTAACCTCCAGGCAAGCTTGAAAGTCATGAAGTGTAGAGTAGGGTCAGCAAAGCCTGGGTCCCAGAATTATTATGTGGAAGAGGGTCACCCTGCTGAACTGTTCACCCACTTGTTATATGAGCAAGAAATAAATTTTGAATGCACTAGAACCATTATACACTCGGAGGTCTATTTGTTACATCAGTTAACTTACCCTAATGGATTTTATTTTTCAGTGGCATGGCTCTTGAGAATCAAGTATCTAAGAGGCACTGCTAGATAATAGTTCATTGTAGGGCCTTTGTGTCCTACTCGTATTCTCTGCAGGGTATCAAATACTCAGATTTATACTCTTTCTAAAAATCTTTTCTGGGATGGTGGCAAATGCCTGTAGTCCCAACTATCTGGGAGGCTGAGGTGGAAGGATTTGAGCCCAGGAGTCCTAGGCTGACTTGACCAACAAAGCAAGAGCCTTTCTGTTAAAAACAACAAAAAACAAAAGCTTTTTGAAAGGAGAGAAAAGGTCACTAGCATTAAGGATAGATAGCAGAGGCTGTCTATATGACAGGACACACGTAGGATTCACAGCTATAATGCGCCATAAGAAAGCAATGTTGGCTCTAAAAAGGCTATGGGAGATTGGAATCTGCAGAGATGTGGTCAGTAAGGAATTTCTGGTAGCAATGTGCCAGAAGGATTTCTGAAAACACAGATGTCCAATATTTATTTTTAAGTTACTTGCATTGCCATTATAGAAACCCATCTTCTCAAAACCTCAACAAGTTTGATATGTACATACACACACACACACACACACACACACGTCACACATTAAAAAGAGAACAATATTGACCTATACATCCAACAAAGGTCCAATATCCAGAGTCTATAAGGAACTTAAGCAATTCAACAAGCAAAAAACAAATAACCCCATTTAAATGTGGGCAAAAGACATGAGCAGACACTTCTCAAAGGAAGACAAACAAGCAGCAAACAAACATGAAAAAATGATCAACGTCACTAATCATCAGAAAAATGCAAATCAAAACCACAATGAGATACCATCTCACACCACTCAGAATGGCTATTACTAAAAAGTTAAAAAACAACAGATGCTGGCGAAGCTGTGGAGAAAGAAATGTTTATACAGTGCTGAGGTGGAATGTAAATTAGTTCAGCCCCTGTGGAAAGCAGTTTGAAGATTTCTCAACTACCATTCAACCCAGCAATCACATTATTGTGTATATACCCAAATGAATAGAAATTGTTCTACCAAAAAGACACATACACTCGTATGTTCATCACAGCACAATTCACAATAGCAAAGACATGGAGCCAACCTAGGTGCCCCCCAGTGGTGAACTGGATAAAGGAAATGTGGTACATATACACCACAGAATACTACACAGCCATAAAAAAGAACAAAATCATGTCCTTTCCAGCAACATGGATGCAGCCAAAGGCCATTATCCTCAGTGAATTAATGCAGGAACAGAAAACCAAATACCACTTGTTCTCACTTATAAGTGGGAGCTAAACATTGTGTACTCATGGACATAAAGATGGCAACAATAGACATTGGGGGCTACTAGAGGGGAGAAGGAGGGAGGGGGATAAGTGTTGTAAAGCTGTTGGGTACTATGCTCAGTACCTGGGTGACGAGATCATTCATACCCTAAACCTCAGCATTATGCAATATACCAAGGTAAGAAATCTGCACATGTACCCCCTGAATCTAAAGTAAAAATTGGAAGTATTATTATTATTATTTGAAACAGAGTCTCACTCTGTCACCCAGGCTGGAGTGCAGTGGCACGATCTTGGCTCACTGCAGCCTCTGCCTCCTGGATTCAAGCAGTTCTCTACCTCAGCCTCCCAAGTAGCTGGGACTACAGGCACATGCCACCACGCCTGGCTAATTGTATTTTTCGTAGAGATGGGGTTTCACTATGTTGGCCAGGCTGGTCTCGAACTCCTGACCTCAAGTGTTCTGCCCATCTCGGCCTCCCAAAGTGCTGGGATTACAGGTGTGAACCACCATGTCCAGCCAAATTGAAATTATTAAAAAAAAAAAAAAAAGAGAGAGAGAGAGAAGGCCAGCAATGTTGAAAGGGCAGTTCTGTTCTTCCCTGGACCACTGGTCACTGATAAACATCAGGAAAAAACAAAGGGGGATGAGATGTTATTCAGATTTTTCAAATTACTGGTCTATGCCATGGGTATAAAAGTAAGGCAGCTTAATTCAGTGTAACAGCATACATTAATCTGAAGGCACACAGACCTTTGCCCTTCAGAATAAAGTTATCTTCTCAGAGTTATATTGGTTAAACACACACAAAATACATTCCTAAAAATAACACAATTTTCTGTAAAAATATGGCTGAACAGCTTTGGGAAAGCTAAAATATAACCTTGGCAACTTAGATATGGTCTCAGATATATGCTTACTAAAATATGAGTCTAACTAAAAAGACAAAGTCTCATTAAGTACGTTATATCCCAAAGGAAGGGAAATGGTAAACACGTGAAACCTGACTAGGTGGAGAAGGTGGTGTTAAAAACAAGAGTCAAGAGTATGTCAGTGTTGATCAGTATCCAGGAAGAAAGCCACTGGGCCCAGGTGACAAGACCGTTCTATTCATAAGAGATCTCTATTCCATTGCAAGGATAGGTATTTTATCAGAGTGCCTCATGCTGAAAATATCCCTTAAATCATCTCATTCATTTCAGCACTTTTTGTAATAGCAAAAGATTGTAAGCACAGACATGCCCATCAAATTATGGTACATCCCTACAATGGAAAAAGTAAGATATCGTGGAAAGATGCCCAAGATATAATGTCAAGTGAAAAAAGTAAGACATATAACAGTGTATGCAGAGTATTGCCATATGTACACATAAAATGCAAGTGGAAGAAACAGACACACGTGTATGTTTCCACACATATAGAATATCTCTGTAATGAAGCATGAGAAATTAGGAACTACGGGTAGGAATTGGAGAACTGGAGACAAAGGGGGAAGTATGATTCTGTTTTCACTGTATACCCTTTGTACTATTTGAATTTTTTAGCATGGGCATGTTTATTATTACTATTTGAAAATAATAATAAATAGTAAATAAAGAAATAGGTGACAGATAACCTGTAAAGCTTCTTTGGTTTTGTTTTTACTTAAGCAAGTCTGCTACGCACACATGGAAACACTAGAGAACAATGAAGGGGTAAATAAAACTGGATATAGATTTTTAAATCCACCTCTTTTTCCTCTGATTCTAGTTTTACCAAGGCCCTTCCTAAAATTATAATTGGCTTCACACATATATAAGTCTACATGGAGAAGATGAGCTGGTTAGTGAACTGTCCGCTGGTCCTCCTGTGGTTGCATTTCTTATTCTAAATTGATAATATCCTCTTGAGACTTTTGACCATTGTGATGATTATGTTTCTCTTTGCCTAAATCAGAATATCTGGATTCTGAAACTCCAACCAGAAGACCAGATCCTGATTGGGGGATCTGCCCTTGAGGTATTACTGGTGAGGTCAGCAGGTCTAATCCATGACAGGACATGGCCGGCTGATCCAACTGGAACACTCCATCCACCATGGAGGTGGAAGAGACAGGGCAGCTCCGAAGCCGTATGCTGGTGTCAGCCTCCACCCCCCGTTAAGGGGATCCTCCTTCTCTGCTCTAGAAGATCTAGCCCATCTCCAGGAGGAGAGGGAAACATGCACATTTTGGTCAATATCCAAAGGTTCTGTACCTCATTTGAAGGCTGAAATATTAGCAAAGGACTGATTAAGAACCAAAACAAACAACAACAACAACAACAAAAACCCACAGAAGCAGCAAGCCTGAGCTATTTTTGAGTTCTTGTCATTAGAAATGATTTCATCAGCACTCGGCTGGCGCCGAGGTCATGATTTACACGAGGCAGGCAGCCTCCCTGGGTGGGAGCTCCTTTTTAATAAATGATAGTGAGTAGGCTTAATCCGACCTGTGACTATGAGTCACTATATTTGAAGCTGAATGATAAACCCCATCAGGAACAGACAGATGACCTTGTCCAGGGGACTTTTTCTTTCAAGAAAAACCAAATACATTTCCTGACAGTGACACGAAGCACAAAAGTCTCAAATCAGATCAGTGAGAGTGGCGTGGGCCTGTGAATTGAGAGGACCAGACCAAATCGTCGCCATGGTCCCCCTTTCCTCCCTCCCCAGAGTCTGTGATTCACTGCACTGGGGAACTGGGTAGGAGGAACAGCATTTAATTCAGACTAAAACCGAGCTGCTGTGGGAGAGAAGGGCAAATTACTTTTTGAAAAAAGTTGTAACCCTGTGATTCCTGCTGTCACTAATAATCCTACAAATTAATAACAGGCTGATCGCTCAGCCACTGGTTTTGGCTTCCGGTTCCCTTTGATTGCTACAGAATGCCTTTTCCAAGAGTGAAATGGAGAGGAGGTTCAAAGGCACCCAGGACACCTATGATGCATCAGGGCCATGGGCCAGGGACATGAAAGAGGAAGTCTGTGAGCCCCGACAGAGGTAGGAGGGCGAAAGGCCATAAAGTCACCTCCTTGAAGGACATTCGTGTTCCATGGTCTATGAGCTGCAGAGCACAGCTTGGGAGGTGCTTAGGCAGGCTTCCTGGAGGCCGTGTCAACCTGCCCCCTCCTTCTCTTCTGCCCCATCTGTTCTGCAGTTTTGCCTCTTGCTGTACCACTCTATCATCTAATATTCAATTGCAGGGGAAGGAGGAAGAAGAAATAAGATCAGAAATAAATAGGAGTGGCTATTTCTCTCTGATAAAGAGAGGGAAGAGGGAGGGAGGAAGGGAGGAGAAAATGGTAGAGATTAGAATCTGAGTGAGAAGTCAGAAGTCCTAGTCCCAAAGGAAAAGATAAAAGATAGTGCAGTTAGGTCAGCCCAACATAGAGTAAGCCAAAATACACTTTATTTCCAGTCTTTTTGTTCTTCTTTTGACCCCTAATTGTTGCATGCCTCTCTCTCTCTCTCTCTCTCTCTCTCTCTCTGTGTGTGTGGCGGGGGGGCGGGGGGCGGCGGGCGGGGGCGGCGTTGCTTGCTTAAATAAACAAGAAAAGTCTCTGGAAAAATACATAAGAAACTGATAACACTGTTTGCTTCCAGGAAGGGAACTTCTTGTACCTTCTGAATGTCAAGTGAAGTGGAAGTACTACCTATGCAATCGATATATAAATAAAATGTATAAAAAGCAGAATGGTTCTCAACTCGTGGGATAAGGACACAGTGGTCCGTGTCTTAGAAGTAGTGAATGTCAGGTTGTAGGTGACAATTTATTAGTGAATGAAACATTTCTAAATGATAATCACAATGGGAGATCTCACAATCTCACATTCACACACACACCACTTCCAATATATGGCAAAGAGGTTTTAGTTTTGAATCGAGAAGATGTAAATCTTGTTTTTGAGACAGTGTCTCGGTGTCGTCCAGGCTGGAGTGCAGTGGCGTGATCTCAGCTCACTGCAACCTCTGCCTCCCGGGTTCAAGCAAGTCTCCTGCCTCAGCCTCTGGAGTAGCTGGGATTTCAGGCATGCGCCACCATACCTGGCTAATTTTTTTTATTTTTAGTAGAGACAGGGTTTCACCGTGTTGGCCAGGCTGGTCTCGAGCTCCTGAGCTCAAGTGATCCACCTGCCTGAGCCTCCCAAAGTGCTGGGATTACGGCGTGAACCACCATGCCTGGCCGTAAATCTTTAATAATACTTCTATTTTAATAATTGTTAAAATAACACATACCAAATATAGAAAAGATTTTTAAATATTCTTTAAAAAATAAAAGTAACTTTAATCCCATAACCAGAATTAGTTATTTCAAGTACTCACTCTGCCCAGACAGGATAGATGGATATCACAGACCATTCATTGGTCATATCTGACTTAACCTCAATATGAAATTGGCCCAGAAAGAGATAATTTCTTTTTAAAGAATCTGCCAGCCTGAATCCATAGCTTGATATTCTGAATATTCTGAATATTTTTTATTTAGCATCCTTCAACAAATAGAGCTACAATTTTTTAGCTGTCTTGAGGTAGGCAAATATCTGTTTTTGGTGTTGTTTGTTGTTGTTGTTTGAGACAGAGTCTCCCTCTGTTGCCCAGATTGGAGTGCAGTGGTGCAATCTCAGCTCACTGCAATCTCTGCT
Organism: Homo sapiens; assembly: GCF_000001405.40. Classification (NCBI taxonomy): domain Eukaryota; kingdom Metazoa; phylum Chordata; class Mammalia; order Primates; family Hominidae; genus Homo; species Homo sapiens. Next base: position 29,400,644 of record NC_000008.11, on the reverse strand, counting down.
TCCCAGGTTCAAGTGATTCTCCTGCCTCAGCCTCCCGAGTAGCTGGGACTATACGCGTGCACCACCACACCTGGCTAATTTTTCTATTTTTGTAGAGACGGGGTTTCACCAGGTTGGCCAGGCTGGTCTCGAACTACTGACCTCAAGTGATCCACCTACCTCGGCCTCCCAAAGTGTTGGAATTACAGGCATGAGCCACTGTGCCTGGCCGAGGTAGGTAAATATCTGATTCCCGCAGTACAGGAGATTCTCTAAGATCCCCTCAGAAAGTAGACTTTTCCTAATCTGGATGGATTGAGGTCAAGCTTTTCCAGAAAAGAAGTGGTCACAGTCAACCATACCAACCATAGGATCTTCCGTGGCCCACTGCTGATGGAGAAGTTCCAACCTTGAACAAGGTCATCTGCAACCCTTCACTGCCAGTTGATATCCACTCAACACTCCCTCCAAAGAAAGAAACATTCAGCTTATTTTACTGCTTTATATCCCTTAAGGTAAACTCCCTTTGGAAGGCTAAAGGAAATCCAGGGATGCCACAAGCAGAAGCAATGCAAAGCGTATTGTTTAGCACTATTTGAAGGTGCAGTCCCCCAGTACATCACACAAAGTATTGATAGCATTTGCGAGAATTGGGCTCACTTTCCTTTTTATCACTATTTGGGAAAGTAAACCCATGAAAGGCAAGGCTTTGGAGTCAAATAGATGAGGACCCAATTCCTGGTGCAGCCAATTATTTAACTGAGACTTTGGGCAAGATTTTTAATCTCTTTAAGTTTCTATTTCCTCATCCATGAAATAAGGATAATAACGCCTTCCTTATAGAGTTTTTGTGAGGTATAAATGAGAGGATATAAAAAAAATTAACCCAGTGCATACTACGTGGTGCACTGAACAACTCTTATCTGTTATCATTGTCCACATATTGTGGAAAAAAGGGTGCCTGTCTCGTAGGTGAGTAAACACTACTCAAAGTTTCCAGGGACTCAAACTCTTATATTCTATGCCTCTGGGCTCTAAAGCAGTTGACTTTTTAGAGCCAGCAAAGTAACAGCTGGTATCTTGGGCTCCATCTAGTTCTATCCTAAACTCCTATACCCCACATCCCATAAGAGAGCTAGCAATACATTCACATAAAGGAATGAATTTTATCATTTAGGATTTAAGTGGATCACGGGTAAGCTGTCGTTAAGAGTACTCTGAACAAATAAAAAGTTGTTGGTTTTAACATCTTTTTCTAAAACCCCAAACAGCCTGGGAAGCTTTGCAAAGAGAATGCAGGGATTTAAAAAAAAATCCCATTGGTCGCATTTAAAAATCAAGGGCTACTAACATCAGCTGCCATCTTCCCCAGACACAAAGAGGGCATCTCAGCCCCTAAAGGACTGAGCAAGTGACTTCAGGGGACTTGGGAGTTCCCACTCTCTCTTTTCTACATCTTTGTGCTGAAGGTCTCAAGGTCACAGAATTTATAACTTTTTAAAATGACAAACAAAGCACATTTCCTATATTCCACAGCAGTGAAAAATGTCAGCATATAAGGCACTTGTGTTCAAAATGAACATTTTCCCACCGATATAAAGAGAGAGCAAGGCACATTGGCTAAATTCCAACTTGCTTGATATGTTCTGTAAATTCTTCCACTCTGTTCCTGAAAGGAGTCCATGAGAATATGTACTATACTCCCACAGCTTTTCCCTTTTTCCCTGTACCTTCATTCCCACCCCACCCCTACCAAATAACAATAACTAAGAAAAAAAATTAAGATGTCTTGCATTTGTGTGATCGGTTTTTGTTTAAGTAGGTTATATCCTGTTTATTTTATGAGTAGAGAAATTAGAATGAAGTAATTCAGGTCATTTATACGAGGCATTGTTGTACTGAAAAATATAAAGACTATAGGACCAAAAGTTAAGTTCTACCTTCAATATTTCAATGTAAATTGAATGACTTAAGGACACACACACACAAGCCAAAAAAAACCAGTATATCTAATCCCAGTAAAAATTTCTTTTTAATAGAAATTAACATGAATCTATAAGCTATGAGTCAGCTACCTGTAGGAAACCTGTTGAGAAGGCACAACCGGTACAAGGGAGAAGGGGCAGAATCCCAGGTGATTCCTCCATTAGGAGCCAGTGACATCCCAGCGTCATATCCCTTGGTAGTGTGACCGTACAATCCATTTGCCAGGTACAATCATGGCTTATGCCTGCAGCCCCAATTTAAAGAAGGACCCCTCCTTCACCCTACTGATGGGGAACATTATAAAGGTGTCGAACGTTCCATAGGGGGGTGACAGAGAGAGGATTTGTTTCTCAGTGCAGACAAAATATAGGTGAGTTGATATTGCGCAGAGAATGATGAAAGGCATGAACAGCAATAGAGCAGAGCTAATGTTGCACAGGAAAGGGTCTAGGAGGGTTACTGTCCCACAGGGCCATCATAGCATGTTATAACCCTTTGCCCTTTGAACTCTGTGTGTTTTGTGCTTTGGGCATTTACAGCATTCTCTGTCATACTTGTAGCTTTGTGTCTGTATCCACACAGAGAGTATTTCTTCTAATAAGATGCAGATTCCTTATGGAAGAGATAATCCTTTTTTTTCTTTAGTATCCTTCACCCCACAGTGACAGGAAGAGGTTTGTATGCAGAGAAGCAGGTAATAAGCTATTATGTCTCCCATCAGAATGTTGTAATTGAGGTTGTTCACTGCCTACCATTTCATACTGGTGTCTGGGCACAGAAGCCAACCGCATTTCCCAGACTCCCTTATGGTTCAGAGTGTCATGTGACTCAGTTCTCACCCAACAGACTGTGAATGGAAATGACATGTGTCACTTCTAGGCTTGAGCGTTAGAAAGTGGCCATGCCTTTTCTGAATTATTTTGTCTTTCCTACCAGCAAACCTACTCACCACCCAAGCTTCAACCATGTAGCAATGACAAGACCATAGTTGATGGTGGAGTAACCCAGTAGAAGGAAACTGGGTCCTTGATAGCTGGTGTGGAGCAGAGCTGCCTGCCAACTGGAGTGTCTCTTTGGACTATTATATGAGAGAGGAACACAGTTCTAACTTTAACCACCAAATTATTGCTGAGTCTCAATTACTATAGCTAACCCTAAACCAACTCAGAGAAATACGAACTCCAATAGGTCAGGGATCTTACCTGCCTTGTTTATACCTGGCAGAAATAGGCATTAACAACTATTTGTTGAACTAATAAATGAAATCGCCCCCCAGAAATGTGAATGAGGAAAAATTTATGGATGAGACTAATAGGCCCTTCCTAGATGTCACTAGGAAACTTACGTAAAATGGAAACATTGCTAAGCACATTATTAGCTTAGAATTGTAATTTTTAATTGTGAAAATAAAATAATATGATGAAGTTGAGTATTGAAGGGAAAAATCTGGACGTACTGATTGGCCCATTCTTCTCCAACACCATTAATAGGAGACAGTCCCTGACCCAGTCTGCTTGACATATATAGCTGTGTAGAGAAGAGAATGAAGGATAAACCTAGCACAGATTGATGAAAACATGCTAATATTATCCAACTCTTTTTGTTCTGCTTATGATTTCACTGAGTGATCTTCCCATATTCTTTGATTTTCTAAGCAAACTTTCCCATTAGAAGATGAAGAAAAAAAGAAGCACTTATTCACCACTGCATATCAGATCAATTGTTACCTATATTCATGTATCGGTTAGGATCAACTAGGTTCTGTTGCAATAACAAAAATTCTAAAATCTACATGCTATACTGGAATAAAGTTTTAATTACTGCTAATGCTTACATGTCCATTATAGGTTCATGAGTAGGCAGTCTATGCTCATTGTAATGATCCAGGGACCTAGGATGATAGGGTACTCACTACCTCAAATGTTGTCAGTTTCTGTGCCGGAAGGAAACAGAGTGAGTTGTGGAGGGTCTTGAACCAGCAATTAAATGTTCCAGCTAATGTGACAATTGGCTTAGCTTGCTGGGGACTGTCCTGATTTAGCACTGTAATTCTCACATCCTGGGAAACCCCTCAGTCTCAGGAAACTAGGACACTTGGTCACCTTCGCTGTAGCCCAGATGTGACATATCACATTTCTACTCACAACTTAATGTCAAGACCCTGTTGTGTGTATCCTCTGCCCAACTACATGGGGGCCGAGAGGTACAATCTGAAAATGTGCCCAGAAGTAGAAAGAACCAGAAATAGTTGACAAGCAGTATGAGCATAAACTCTGATCATAAATTGGTATTCTGATTTATAAATCACTCTCTCATGAATTTATTTTTTTACTCCTTATTTTTGATTTCAGGGGAACTTGGCTATATGAGTCAATTCTGAATTTCTATCTCTATGCTAAATTATGCAGGAGCTGTAGAGATAAGTAAGCTTTAAGTCTTGCCCTCAATAGAGTTTTAAATTAATAGGGGAAAGAAGATACTAACATTATAAGATGAATGCAAAAGTACATAGAAAAGGCTGAGATGTTAACAGTAGAGAGGAATCACACCCAGTTGAAAAGTCAGTCAGGCGAATAATTCAAAAGGAATAATATTACCCCATATGATAGTATTCATCAGAGATATCAGCACACAAAAAATCAGAACCATACCATCAAGCCCTCCAAGAAACCTTGCCCAATTATCAAACCCTCCACCAAATCTTCCAAATTTAAGACTATTAAAACTGATCCCAAAGGCTGGGTTTGTTACTTACATGTTATTATCCTAGCCTTCGTATTTTACAAACCTTTGAAAAAAATTTATTTTCACTCACTCAATACTTATAGCACGCTATGTCATTTTACCAGTGTTATTTTTGCCATCACTTTTAGGAAATCTCTGCATTATTCTAAAATTCTTCAATAACATCCCTATAAGTGAAAACTGGCATTGATGTGTGGGGATGTTTTGTTCTCTGATAATTATTCTTAATAAAAATGACGAGTCTGTACACTGCCTACTTGCAGTTGACAGGGGAGGTGTTGTGCATGTTACCACAATTAACCAACTAGTGACTTAGAAACAGATTTAAAAGAAAGAGATGTCAACCGGCCTTGGTGGCTCATGCCTGTAATACCAGCATTTTGGGAGGCCAAGGCAGGAGGATCACATGAGGCCAGGAGTTTGAGACCAGCCTGGGCGAGAGTGAGACCCTGTCTCTACAAAAAATACAAAAATTAGCTTCACATGGTGGCATGTGCCTGTAGTCCCAGCTACACAGGAGGCTGTAGCAGGAGGATCACTTGAGCCAGGAAGGTTAAGCCTGCAGTGAGCCGTGTTCCTGCCACTGCACTCCAGCCTGAGTGAGTAAGCAAGATTCTGTCTGGAAAAGGAAAAAAGAGAGAGAGGGAGGGAGGGAGAGAAAGAGAGAGAGGGAGGGAAAGAGAGAGAGAAAGAAGGAAAGAAAGAAGAAAGAAAGAAAGAAAGAAAGAAAGAAAGAAAGAAAGAAAGAAAGAAAGAAAGAAAGAAAGAAAGAAAGAAAGAAAGAAAGAAAATGTCTTCATGTTCCTCTCTGTGTGGGACCAGGAGGGGCTTGCAGTAATCAGGCAAGATTTTCTACATTTTCTATCAACAGATCATTGGTGGAAGGCCCTTTTTCCAGCCAGATTTTGGGAATGCAGTCCTGGAAAATGGCATCTGCAGTGGGTGAGGCTCATGGCCCTGTTTGCAGTTTCCTCCAGGATCTCAGGAGAATCTGTCACCCAGACAGGCAACTAGTACTTGAAAGTGTTTCCAGTTCTTCCACAGCTTTCAGGCTGCAAACAACTGTGGAATGGAAATCTGTTGCACAAATTGAGAAAGGGCCAGATGCAACCCGATAAAGGGATTTAAACTTTTTTGGGAGCCTCGTGTCCCTCAGCGAAAGGCAGTTGGCAGTCTCCTGCCCCCATCTCACTCCGTGTCCTCCCTCAGTGTCTTTCTACTCCCAGACGGTCATTCCACAAGTCCCCCCAGTCAGCTCCCCTCCAGCAACACAACAATAGCATAAACCTGGACTCCCAAAGGAGATGAGGCAGCCTCTGTATATATGAGTCTCATTATCCAAAAGCTTCAGGGAAAATCCTTCATTCACAAACACTTACTGGCCCCTACTAGGGATCAGACACTGTGCGATAAGCCTGGGGCACAAAGATAATCAAGACATGGTCCCTGACACTAGAGATCCCTTCAGACTTACAGGATAGACAGAAAAACAAGTGAGTCCAATGTGGAAAGAGCTATAATAGTGATGCAAACCAAGTGCCAATCCAGGAGAGGAGTGGTGTTTGACCTAGGTCTTCAAAGATAGTGGAATGGTAACTGAGAAAGGGGCCCTTCTTGGCAAAGCAAATAGCATGGAGGTAGAAAAGAGCATGGCATATTTGAAAAGCTGCAAGAAGTTTGGGATGGTGGCAGTACCAAGGGACAATGAGAAGGGGAAAAGTTTTTTCATTCATTCAGCAAATATTTACTGGATGTCCTGCTGAATCTCATGTTTGGTGTTAGAGATATAACAGAGAATAAGACAAGGCTTAGACCTTGAGCTTCTAGTAGAAGGAGATGGTCAAGAAACGAGCAAAAAAATAAAGACGAATTTCAGGCCGGGTGCAGTGGTTCACGCCTGTAATCCCAGCGCTTTGAGAGGCCAAGGTGAGCAGATCACTTGAGGTCAGAAGTTTGAGACCAGCCTGGCCAATATGGTGAAACCCCATCTCTACTAAAAATACAAAAGTTAGCCGGGCGTGGTGGTGCATGCCTATAATCCCAGCTACTTGGGAGGCTGAGGCAGGAGAATCACTTGAACCTGGGAGGCAGAGGTTGTACTGAACCAAGATTGCACCACTGCACTCCAGCCTGGGGTACAAAGTGAGATTCCGTCTCAAAAAAAAAAGAAAAAAAAGATGAATTTCAGAAGGAGATAACAGCAAGAAAGATAATAAAACAGAAAAATGTGAGGGCGATGGAAAGGGACCGTTGTTAGACAGCGGTGAGAGATGGCCCTAATGCAAGGAGTGCACATTTTGGCTAGGAACCTGATACAAAAGAGGCAATGACATAACGTCATAGGGAGAGAGATTCCAAGCAGCCTGAACAAGCAAGTGGGAAGATGGTGGAGTGAGGAAGATGGTGGAGTGAGGAAGACAGTGGAGTGAATAGCCTTGCCCACTATGATGATTGCTTAGAAATTCAAGGTCTTATTCATAATTGGCTCATCAATGGCAAAAAGAGTGATAATTTTGGAGGTCTATTCAGTTGGTGGCCCTATAACATACCCAGAACATATACAAATAATCTCTAACAGGGCCGAGCAAGGTGGCTCACGTCTGTAATCCCAGCACTTTGGGAGGCTGATGTGAGTAGATCACCTGAGGCCAGGAATTTGAGAGCAGCCTGGCCAACATGGAGAAATCCCATCTCTACCAAAAATACAAAAATTAACCACATGTGGTGGCGCACGCCTGTAATCCCGGCTACTCAGGAGGCTGAGGCGAGAGAATCACTTGAACCTGGGAGGTGGAGGCTGCAGTGAGCCAAGATCGCACCACTGCACTCCAGCCTGGGGGAGAGAGGGAGACTCTGTCTCAAAATAGATAAATAGATAAAAATAAAACCCCTGACAGAGCTAAACATCAACCTTCTAACACCTAGGTACTTAAAATTCTTATTTGAAGAATTTTCTAAAGAAAATGCTACCACCTATGCAGCCACTCAAGAAAGGAGGTCAGTGCTAATAAGGTATAATGTAAAAAGGACTAAAAAGGAGAATAATCATTCTATAACCCAAGCAGACGGAATCTTAAAAATTGTCAAATCTAACCATTCCCCTAAAACCCCATTTCACAGATGGAAAAAAAAAAGGATCAGAGTGTTCAAGTCACAAACTAAATCAATGGCAGAGCTAGAACCAGATAGGACCCAGGTCTCTTAACTTCCAGGTTTAATTCTCTTGTTAGTTTGTTTTAGAAAAACTCAAGCACTTAAGCAACATTAACCTACCGAACTGAACTAAGAAAGAACATATACTACTCCCATTCATTTCCATTTAAATAGAATCACCAACAATAGCAGGGCACAGAAGAGTTTATCTATGAACAGACTTGGACTTTATTAGATAGACTGTATCTCTCTTTCCTCTGCCCCACTCCCACCTGCAAGCACAGAAACAGCACCTGCTAGCAAGGACTTTGGAGAGTGAAGTTTTACTGTGTACTCAGTTTCAGAGGTGGAAAAATCAACTCTAAAATCAATAATCATTTTGCAATCAAGTAGGAGACCTTAAAATGGAAGTATTTCTTACTCTTGGGGAAGGATTCTCTCCACCGTTTTCATCAGACGGTAGTAGCCACAGAAACGTACTTTCCTTATACGAGTTGAAAAGCCATTTCCAACTTCTCCATATGGAAAATGAAGAAAATATTTTGCCTTGAGAAACTTTTGGCATTTTCCCTTCCTGGTTGTGATCCATGCAGCCTGAGAAAAGCCAGTGTCATACATACTATTTTGGTAGATCTAACGCCAGTGCTGAAAGAAGTAAAATTAACTACAAGTGAGGGAGAGAGATTCAACTGTAAGTTGTGTTCGAACTGGTTTCCATTTGTTTTTGCGGTGGAGAGGCAGTCTTGGTTCCTGCACAGGCTTTTGGGTTATTTCATAAATGCTCTCCTTCGAAGCCCTGTGAGGTTCTTCTATGTGATTAAAGTCACCAAGAAGTTTTATGATTGAAAACTCCCCTTGGCTTAGGATTTATTTAGATACTCCTCTGACATGCTCTTGCTAACTCTGTAGCTCCGGTGGGAATTGTACAAGGAAATTTACTCATAAGTCACGAAACCAAGCTAATATGACAAGCAGAGAAGAGCCATCTGGCAAATTGTTTCTAAAACACTTTCCTCATATTTGTTCAATCCTGTTTCCCTGCAAGGCATTTAACAAAAGATCCAGCATACGCAGTTAAACCAATTCTGAAAGTTCCCCAAAGCTTTTTGGGTGGGTATCTAGGGTGAGAAATTATTTAAAGACTTCCAGGTATAAAATAAAGTCTTAAGAATAAAGACAGAGTCCTCAGTGCTGGGAGACTTAATTATGGAATTGTGAAAGAGATTTGGGCATTATGAAAGGGTCCAGAGGTTTCTAGGACTCCCAGTGAGTGATGAAACAAAACCAGCCTTTGGTAGATTGAGTGCTAGACTGTACTTCCCTTGAAGTTCACAACAGGCCCTGAATAAGGGGAAAAGAAGGCTTACGGGAGCGCCACTCCCCCAGCCTTACGAGGCAGAACCAGCATTTGCAGCACATCATTCTACCTGAGTGAAGAGGGATGAAAATAAAAAGGTTCCAGGCTCCCATTCCAGCCAATAGTGGATAGGGAGCAGAAACCATTAGACAAGATAGAATCAAGCTCTGAAAAGTCTTTAACTAATAAGGTACCAGACCTACTCCATTTCAAAATGCAAAAATGGTTTACATCACTCTAGATACCCTGTTTAGGCCCTGGGACTCTGAAATGCTTACAGCCTTCAAACGGGTCTTGTTTTAGCATCTGATCATTAACAAGTACAATCCCCCCTCCACCGTTTTTTAGAGATCATGTCTTGTTCTATTGCCCAGGCTGGAGTGCATTGGCATGATCGTGGTTCAACGCAGCTTCTAAATCCTGGCCTCAAGCAATCCTCCCACCTCAGCCTCCCAAGTAGCTGGGACTACACGCACGTGCCTCTGCTTCTGGCCATGCAGTCCCCATTTCTTACTTTGGTTTTAATTCATGGCTTAATTAGTGAAGTCCTCATTGACTCTTCTGGTTTGGAATACCAAAGTTGAACTTCACCCCACACCCCGCCCCTGAGTTTGCCTCCCCTATGTCTCTGCCCTTTCCTCCCCATACCTCATTCCAGCCTCACCTCAGAAACACAGGTGTGGACCTGTTCCCAGAGTCAGCTGCTCTGACCACTCAGCAGCTGACAGCACGAGCTGATGGTGCTGACAGCTGTTATTACCCAGAGCTCCTAAGGAGAGATGCCAGAGGTAGAGACCTGCCAAGCAGGTAAAATTTGTTTAAGCAAAGCAAAGTGAAGAATCTACAAAACAGGAGCCTCTGGCCCAGGGTGAATGAAGGGTTTCAGCAGAGTCCCCAGCTCTCATCTCTCCCCTACGTGTGGGAAATCCCCAGGACTGCTTGATCACGCTGACCATTCCTGGATTCTCTCCACTCAAAGGTGAGCGGTGAGCCTCATGAATCTATTAGTGCTGGGAATACAACAGGAAAGGGTGCTGGTTATATGTTCAAGTGTCCACTGTCCCAGAAGGAAGCAGTCTGGCTTAAATTCTCATATCAAGGACCGTAAATGTTCCTACTTCAATTTCTCATCTCTTAGGTAGAGATGATCAGAGCTCACCCCACAATCCTCTCTGCACCCACTCTCTCCACAACTTTAGGCCTGTCACCCTTTGGAGAGGAAGAATTTACTTTTTAAAGAAAAATATCTATAAATAGGATAACTGGGAGGAATTGGAAAGTTTTAAAATTGAACAACTTTGTTTCAAATAAAGTGACCAATTTCTAGACATTCTTATACTGGCCTCCCAAGACGGCTTGATACGTAATATGCATCTTGACAATGTATTTTTCCAGTAGCTATCTACACATGCATTGTCGATTTTCTTTTTTTTTATTTTATTATTATTATACTTTAAGTTTTAGGGTACATGTGCACAATGTGCAGGTTTGTTACATATGTATACATGTGCCATGTTGGTGTGCTGCACCCATTAACTCGTCATTTAGCATTAGGTATATCTCCTAATGCTATCCCTCCCCTCTCCCCCCACCCCACAACCATCCCCAGTGTGTGATGTTCCCCTTCCTGTGTCCATGTGTTCTCGTTGTTCAATTCCCACCTATGAGTGAGAACATGCGGTGTTTGGTTTTTTTGTCCTTGCGATAGTTTGCTGAGAATGATGGTTTCCAGCTTCATCCATGTCCCTACAAAGGACAACTCATCATTTTTTATGGCTGCATAGTATTCCATGACATGCATAGTCAATTTTCTAATTACCTATTTTGATAAGGGTTAGGGATAGTCTGATGACCTAAAACTTTAAGATTGAGTAGTGCTCTAACTTATTTTCTTCCTTTTTTTATTTTTATTTATTTATTTTTTTTGAGACGGAGTCTCACTCTATCGCCCTGGCTGGAGTGCAGTGGCATGATCTCGGCTCACTGCAGCCTCCGTCTCCCAGGTTCAAGTGATTCTCCTGCCTTAGCCTTCTGAGTAGCTAGGACTACAGGCACTAGACACCACACCTGGCTAAATTTTATATTTTTAGTAGAGACGGGGTTTCACCATGTTGGCCAGACCGGTCTCAAACTCCTGACTTTGAGTGATCCGCCTGCCTCAGCCTCCCAAAGTACTGGGATTCCAGGCATGAGCCACTGCGCCTAGCCCTCTAACTTATTTTCAAAGCAAATAAATGTCATCCCGTTTGATCTTCTCATCTGTCACCTGAGGGAGGAAGGAGAATAAACTGGGTAATAAACCCAGACGTGCCCGCTATTCCAGAAGTGGTCTCAAGTTTTCTGCTTATTCAGCGTTCACAGTTTCACTAGCCTCTCTGAGATTCTCCAAACCACATTTCCACCCATGAGGCCAAACTCCATTTTCATACATTCACTAGAGATGCCTCCTGGCTTGAAGGTCAGAAGTTTTTTTCCCCTGCATTCCCTGTCTATCCTCTGGGTGGGTTGAAAGAGTGAGTAAATTGTAAAAACAGGGCCAAGAAGAAAATCATCTCTCTGGTGGCTCTTCTGGCCCCTCTAGCCTGCCCCTCATCCACCACATCCAACCCCAAATGATCCGTTCTCACCAAATCAGGCTTTAAAAAGCAGGACAGAGCACGGACTACCAGAAGAGCGGAGAGGAAGTGATCAGAGAGTTCTGCTGAGCGTTACCTACACTGGGGAATCCAAAGAGCCCATCAATGCCTTACTGGAATGTGAAGAAGTAAATTCAGATCATCAAGTGTCCCGGATGCCAAGTGCACTACAGGTGCTGGAAGACAATGCGTGTTTTGAGACAGAAGAGTTCAAACCAGAAGAGAAAGCACTGTCAGAGGGCCTGTGAGATCTGGCTGCAGTCAGCCCCTGGCTAGATACCTGGCTGGGGCCTGGCCGAACAGCAGCCTTTAAAGGATTGTGAAGAAGACGAGTGTTTCAATATGGACAGTGGAAGAAGAAACGTTTGCATTTTGTCCAGGGAATTTGCATCTTTTTCTTTGTTCTACTCACAGTATAACAGGCCCCTGACATAGTTGGGAAATAAACACAAACACAAAGTGCCCTAAAAGAAATGAAATTTGTGAAAACAGGAGGTGATGCGGGGTGAGGCAAAGAGGAGACACTGACAATACATGCAGTGCCCAGCAATTTTCCCCTTCTGAAAATGTGTTCTCAGAACTCACTGGACAAATACATATGAGCAAATAGACATTATTACATTATCTTAGCATTATCTCTAACAGCAAAAAAACTATTACTAGGATACGAGTTAAATCAATTGTGATGTATCCATAAAATAAAATACTATTGAACTATTTTAAAACAATATTATAAAAACAATGGTCTGGGTGCAGTGGTTCACTCTTGTAATCCCAGTGCTTTGGGAGGGCCAAGGCAAGAGGACCACTTGAGCCCAGGTATTCGAGACCAGCCTGGGCAACATGGTGTAACCTCGTCTCTACCAAAAAAAAAAAAAAAAAAAAATAAGCCAGGTATAGTGGCATGCACATGTAGTCCCAGCTACTCGGGAGGCTGAGGTGGGAAGATCACTTGAGCCCGGGAGACAGAGATTTCATTGAGCCATGATTGCATCACCACACTTCAGCCTGGGCCACAGGCCACAGAGCAAGACCCTATCTCAAAAAATAAAAACAAAAAACCAACAATAACAACATTGTAAATCTATATATCAACATGGTTAAATGTCTACAACATGGTAAGTTAAAAATCAAGGTACCAAGTTTGTAGTATGATTCCATGTTTTGGTTGTTAAAAAATAAGCACTTGCGTGATGTAATTTTTTGTTTAAAAAACTGTCTATATATTATAATGAGACAGGGAAGATACATACTGTAATGTTATTAGTAATTATGGGTAGACAGTGGGATTCTTTTTTATGCACAGAATGTCATTTTTTTTTTTTTGAAATGGAGTCTTGCTCTGTCGCCCAGGCTGGAGCGCAGAGGTGGCACCGTCTCTATTTACTGCAACCTACGCTCCCAGGTTCAAGTGATCCTCCTGCCTCAGCCTCCTGAGTAGCTGTGATCACAGGCACCTGCCACCCAGCCTGGCCAATTTTTTGCATTTTTAGTAGAGACAGAGTTTCACCATGTTGACCAGGCTGTTCTCCAACTCCTGACTTCAAGTGATCTGCCTGCCTTGGCCTCACAAAGTGCTGGGATTATGGGCAAAATGTCTTACTAGTCTGAACTTTTTTTTTTTTTTTTTTTTTGAGACAGGGTCTCACCCAGGCTGGAGTGCAGTGGCACGATCTCGGCTCACTGCAACCTCTGCCTCCCTGGTTCAAGCGATTCTCCTGCCTCAGCCTCTCAAGTAGCTGGGATTACAGGCTCATGCCACCATGCTTGACTAATTTTTTGCATTTTTAGTAGAGACAGGGATTCATCATGTTGGCCAGGGTGGTCTCAAACTCCTGGCCTCAGATGATCTGCTCACCTTGGCCTCCCAAAGTGCTGGGATTACAGGTGTGAGCCACTGCACCTGACTGAACTTTTTATAATGAACATATATTAGCCATATATTCGCACACTCCCAATCTAAGTTAATTTCCCTTTATAAGAAAGCCGGGCCTGGGCTTGCTTCTGGAGCACACATACTGTGCACACCAGCTTGTGGGGGTCACCTGTGCGTGTCCCTCCGCCCTATCGTGTGGCTGTCACCCATGCCTGGAACATAGGATGCTCTGAGGACTCTGCTTCTGCTCTCAGCTATTTTTTGGAACAGACTTGAAGACTTGTCATTTTGGTCACCTATCAGAGGAAAAGAAAAACAGCAAATGAGTCAGAGAAACCACATATAAGGAAAAATAAAATATGCTCCCTAACCTCAAGTACACAAATATGAATTTGGATGCCATGTAATTCCCCCCGGGGATCAAGTTTGTAGTGATTGGCAAAAGAGAGAGAGAGAAAAAAAGAGAGAGAGAACCTGGTTTCAGGTGTATAAAGATCAGATAAAGCAAGGCTTTATTTGAAGTAAAACAAACACAAAAGTAGAAAATTATGTATTGCGACATTTTATGAGGATCTCGTCTTCCTTTTCTTCCCCTCAACTCTCAACTGCCAAGCTCTTTAAAGTATGGCTTGCCCTGGGTGGTGGCATATTATAATTTCTGTGATTTCCCCAAGCAAAGACCTGGACAGATAGATAAAACTTTTCTTGGGCAGGAGGATGTGAAGAATTAGGGGTAAGGTAGGCACAGAGGGGAAAGGGAAACAGAAACAAAAAAAGCTAGAGGCAGACCTGAGTATCCTGAGCTGAAATTGGGGGTTGTTTGGGTTTTTGTTAAACAAAGCTGAAGAGTGAAGACACAGGGTGGACCCCAAATTCTGAAGTCCTGGTGCATCTAAAGCCCATCACTTAGTCCTGGTGCAGTGGCTCATGCCTGTAATCCCAGCCCTTTGAGAGGCTGAGGTGGGAGGATCACTTGAGGCCAGGAGTTTGAGACCAGTCTGGGCAAATGAGTGAGATCCCCATCTGTACAAAAATTTTAAAAAATAGCAGATCGTGATGTCACATGCCTGTAGTCCCAGCTACCCAGGAGGCTGAGATGGGAGGATTGCTTGAGCCCAAGAGTTGGAGACTGCAGTGAGCTATGGTTGTGCCACTGCACTCCAGCCTGGGTGACAGAGTAAGATCCCGTCTGGTTAAGAAAAAGCCCAGAATTTTACATGAAAGAGGGAGGCATCTGTGTGTGAGTGTGAAACAATGAACTCCATCATTTCACAGTATGTGAAAGAGAAAGAATCATCCAAGATTCCACAGAGAAGGAGAAAAAGAAGAAAACTGAATTTCTCTCCAAAACCTCTGCACAGACAAGTCCCTTTCTGGAACCAAGGCAAGGGGTGGTGTGGGTAAGCCCGGGTCTGTCCAGAGCCCTGGAGAAGGTACAGCTTACCTCGTTGGCCCCCGCGATGGATGCTATGGCATTAGAGGCTTCAGCAGTGCGCAGGGACTCTGCAACTGTTTGTTGCTCAGAGACAACCAAAGGCCTCCAACCAAAGGCCTCAAACCAAAGAGTGGGATGAGAGGCAGGGGACGGTCTGAGAGCGGGATGGGAGGTGGAGGACGGTTTTTTTTTTTTAAAGAAAGGAGATGCCTCTTTTACTTTCCTTCCTTTTTAAGGAAGGAAATTTCTGGTTGTTGTTCACTCCCAATTTCCTTTCCTGTTATTTCCACTTCCTATTCCCACACATCTTCTTAAGAAACAGAGCTTCCTCCCTAAACAACTGCCCTGATCTGAGGCCTTATCCTGCTGTCTGACACAATCTTGACTTTTTCATGCCAAAACTTAAAAATCAGAGGAGGAGATGGTTAATAGGTACAAAAAAAAAAATAGAGTGAATAAGATCTAGTATTTAATAGCACAACAGGGTGACCATATTCAGTATGTATGTATGTATGTATGTATGTATGTATGTATGTATGTATGTATTTTTTGAGATGGGGTCTCGCTCTGTCACCCAGTCTAGAGTGCAGTAATGTGATCACGGCTCACTGCAGCCTCGAGCTCCTGGGCTCAAGTGAAACTCCTACCTCAGCATCCCAAGCAGCTTTGATCACAAGCACACACCACCACACCCAGCTCATTTTTTAAATTTTTTGTAGAGATGGGATCTCACTATGTTGCCCAGGCTGGTCTTGACCTCCTGAGTATAAGCAATCCCCCTGTCTTGGCCTCCCAAAATGCTGGGATGAGGCGTGAGCCAGCACACCCAGTCTCAATAATAATTTAATTGTACATTTTTAAAATAACTAAAAGGCTGGGCGTGGTGGCTCACATCTGTAATCCCAGCACTTTAGGAGTCTGAGGCGAGTAGATCACCCGAGGTCAGGAGTTCAAGACCAGCCTGACCGACATGGAGAAAACTTGTCTCTACTAAAAATACAAAATTAGCCTGGCGTGGTGGCACATTCCTGTAAATCTCAGCTACTTGGAAGGCTGAGGCAGGAGAATTGCTTGAGTCTGGGAGGTGGAGGTTGCGGTGAGCTGAGATTGTGCCACTTCACTTTAGCCTGGGTGACAGAGGAAGACTTCCTCTCAAAAAAATAAAAAAATTAAAATAAAATAACTAAAAGAGTATAATTGGATTGTTTGTAATGCAAAGGATAAATGCTTGAGGGGATGCATGTCTCATTTACCCTGATGTAATTATTATGCATTGTATGCCTTTATCAAAATATCCCATATACCTCATTAATATAAACACCTACTATTTAAAAATTTTTTAATTAAAAAATTAAAAATCAGAAAATCAGTCTTCAGAAAAAAAGTTCTTTAACAAATTTCAGCAAATGGTTTGTCAAAGTCAAACATTCCCAATGCCACCCGCTACAACCCTGTGAACTAAGTGTGTCTTTTGTGTTGTTGTTGTTGTTGCTTTTGTTTTTGTTTTTGTTTTTGTTTTGAGACAGAATCTTACTGTGTCGCCCAGGCTGGAGTGCAGTGGTAGGATGTCAGCTCACTGCAATCTCTGCCTCCCGGGTTCAAGTGATTCTTGAGCCTCAGCCTCCCAAATAGCTGGGATTACAGGCATGCACACCACACCCAGCTAATTTTTGTATTTTTCATAGAAACAAGTTTTCACCATGTTGGCCAGGCTGGTCTCAAACTCCTGGCCTCAAGTGATCTGCCCACCTCAGCCTCCCAAAGTGCTGGGATTACAGGTGTGAGCAACCATGCCTGGCTGTGAAGTAGATTTTGTTATGCCCCATGTTTACAGGAAGAATGTGAGGCTCAGGGAAGTTTGTGAGCATCATGAGTAAGGATAATTCACAATGACACCCGAGGCCAGGCTGTTGCACAGCCCCAGAGGCCTCAGTCTCTCCTTTGTAATCTGATAAGGACCTATCACTCCGAGGCATTAGGGTAATGGACATCTGGAATATTTTTGATGAAAAACTCAGAGGGAAACCTCTTTGAAAAATTCCTGAGTCTCTCTGTTTTGCTGAATTTCCCTCTTAATGTTAATTTCTACCAGGGGACATTTCTAAAAGAAGGCTGGGAGATGCCTCTGATGATCTTAAAGAATCCTTCAGGTTTCCTCTGGCTTCCACTATTCCGTATCTGTGCTTCCTTATCCCACCCTGTCACGTTCTCCTTTTCATTCCTTAGATATCTTAAGAGGGAAGTGCAGAGGATTCACATTTAGAAATACTATGTGCCTGTCACTCATGTGCACACCCCCACACACATGCACACCCCCACACACATGAACACCCCCACACACATGCACACAAAATTGTATGTGTGTGTATTGGTTTATTTTCTATACATTTGTTTCCTTTAATGCTCACAGTATGCCCTTACAAGATAATGATATTGCCATTCCACAGATGGGGAACAGGAATCTTCAAGAGGTTAAGTAATTTGTCCTTGGTCACTGCTGCATTGCTTTTGCAGTAGTTAACTCACTCTAAAATTAAAGTAAATTACCGCCCTGGCTGGAGTGCAGTGGCACGATCATAGCTTACTGCAGCCTCCAACTCCTGGGCTCAAGCTATCCTCCTGCCCCAGCTTCCAAAGTAGCTGGGACTACAGACATGCACCACCACACCCAGCTAACTTGTTTTGTTTTTTGTAGAGATGGGAACTCACTGTGTTGCCTAGGCTGGACTTGAACTCCTGGGCTCATGCGATCCTCCCTCCTTAGCCTCCCAAAATGCTGGGAGTACAGGTGGGAGCCACTGTATCCAGCCAACTTTAAAAATACGCCCATAAAAACAGTGTGATACTTGTACAAGATGCTTCTAATTTATACACTGCGGGCAGTTAGTGAGCATTCAAGGACAAATCAGGACCTAGCCTTCCAGGAGTGGTTAACAGATGAAGTGACTTAATCAAGGATCAATATCTTCAAAGGTAGTTACTTAGCATTTAAGTTATAGTATGAAAAGCTACACTAGAGAGTTTATTAGCATAAGGGATGCTAGAAATAGTTGTATTGGCTACATGAATAGGTGATTCATTCTAAAAGAGGTCATTGGTTAGAAATATTACACAGCCTCCAGTGGCCTTGCATATTTGAGGCTAAAAAGGCAAGTCAGGCATTTTCATGCCAGGGGACATTCCTATTGATTCTGTCTTTCCCATTCCCTGTGGACCTAACAAAAATGTGCCCTGCACTTCTGAGCAAACCTTCCAGGCAAGGCACCTGTCTGAGTGACACAGGACAGGTTGGGTGACCAGGTTGCAGGACTCTTTATACCAGCTTGCTAATAAATATTTGTATGCTTAGTAGAATTTAGTTGAAGACTCGCTTTCATCGTTATCCACTATTAGGAACATGGCTGAGGAAAGAGACCTCAGCCCACTTATCTCAGAAGGTCGTGGTCTTTGCCAGGTGACCCCTGCTGCTTGCTGAGTGTCTGGACTTGCTTAGGTGTGTCAGCAACAGTCCCACAGCTGGTGAGGGACAAAGGCAGAATTTGGGACCAGCTCCATCTTCTCCAAACCCCAGCTGCCCCTTGAAAGAAAGGATGGTGCTGTTGAGGCTCAGAAACGGATACCTAAAAAACGGCACTTTGACATGCTGGACTACAGAAGCAGCCTCCAGGTCTCTCTGACCTCCCCCTCCTGTCTCTCAATCTTCTCTCTGTCCCAAAGTGCAGGATGAAGCTGTTCTCTGAAGTTCCCTTATCTGCCTAAAGTCTGCACCCACCAAAGAAGAAAACAATCACTTCTGGTCCCTTCCCTGAGTTTTCATTAACCAAGCTCATATCGCAGGAAGAAAGGCTGAAGCTTATCAACACACCTGGACAGACTTGTCACAAACCATTGTCTTCTGCTTCAGTCCCATTCAGTATTTCAAAGAGAATATTTTACCAGCCATTGTCTGCTCTGTGGACCCAACAGACATTGTCCCAGGCCATCGTATGTTCTCCAAGCCCATTGAATTATCCTAAAAATCATTTACTATACCTCTCAAAGCCGTCCACATTTCTCCAGCTTTCCCCTATGAAGGGTATATAAGCATCTGTAACCCATCAGGTTACGGGGTCATTGATTTCCTATGGTTCCCCCCATTGCAGGTTAAAATAAATTCTATATGCCTTTTTTCCTGTGAATCTGCCTCTTGTCAGTTGGTGTTCTGCAAACCTTCAGAGCGTGGCGAGAAAGTTTTCCCTTGGCCCCTGCAGTTTTGGCACTGTGAGCAGGACAACCAAATCCACTCTGCTTTTCTGGAAGCTGCAGTCAAGGGAACCCAGGACCTGACAAGCTGGCAGAAGGGTAAGAAATTCTTACCGGTCAGATTCCTGGTCTCTTTTATGTGGAATCCAGTTGAGCGGATGATAAAAGTCACTGTTTGTCTCTTTTTCTTTTTCCAAGTTTAAGATGAATGGGAGAAAAGTATTTGTGTAACTAGTGTTAGGTTTAGCGACTCTGATGTATTTATTGTTAAGAATATTCATAGTCTGATCTTTTTCCCCCCAGAAATAGTCCTTGTTTTTCCTGTCTTTGTCTTCCTGTGTCATTTTGTCACAAAGAGGGGTATCATAGGGTAGGGCATGAGCCTAATGCCCCTCTAAACCTGTTCCTTGAGCCCTTAAAGATTGATGATTTTTGTTCTCATCAGACTAGCAAATTGTACTGTGGGTCTCTGAGATAAAGATCGGATGAGGTTCACCTCTCATCTTGTTTGATGTCCTTGAGAGCTTGATTTGTGACCAAGTGGGAGCCCCCCACCATCTGCTATCCGAGGGGCATGATTTTCAAGTCATGTCTGGTGGCCAGTCCAAAAGCACTGGGGATGACAAGACATGTTCAAATTTTAAGCAGCACACTCTCTGTTCCTAGCATGCCAAGCTCTGAGGGGAGTTTATCTTAATAGGAGGTCCCCTCCATGAGGGGCTTTTGTTGTCTCAACTCTTGTTGCCTGGTACTCCTGGGAAAGTCCAATCCCAGGAGGGCCCACCTGGGGTCACAGATTAATGGGTCTGCGATTGGCAAGCCCTCCCACCCAACAAGTATGTGGGTCCTGGAGGCACCATATGCACAAACACCATTCTTAACCATCTGTGGCAACAAGAGTCTTTTTGCTAGCTTAGTCTATTTCTGGTAGTGAATTTTCGGAGAATCATGGAGGCTGCATTTTCTGTGACCATTTTTAAAAAATATCACTAACATCCATGATATTCTAAACCTGGAAATTTACCTCTGGGACTTTTTATGAAAAAGGCTCATCGGCTTGAGTCACTTATGGGATAAGTATATGGCCATATATATTTTTAAAACTTTTTAGAGAGCTCACATCTTAAATAGCAATCTTACTGGTACCTATGAAAAGATAGGAAAGAAATACAGCCTTGAAAATTATTTTGGACCAGGCACGGTGGCTCACACCTGTAATCCCAGCACTTTGGGAGGCTGAGGTGGGCAGATCACTTGAGGCCAGGAGTTTGAGACCAGCCTGGCCAACATGGTGAAACCCTGTCTCTACTAAACATACAAAAAGTAGCTGGGCATGGTGGTGCACACTTGTAATTCCAGCTACTCAGGAGGGTGAGGTGGGAGAATCGCTTGAACTTTGGAGGCGGAGGTTGCAGTAAGCCGAGATCACCATTGCACTCCAACTACACTTCAACCTGGGCAAAAGAGCAAGACTCTGCTGGAAAAAAAAAAGAAAGAAGAAAAAGAATTCATTTGGCAAGATTTTTAACAGATTGAAAACAAAGTGGCCAGGCATGGTGGTGCATGCCTGTAGTTGCAGCTACGCAGGAGGCTGAGATGGGCCTTGGGCCCAGGAGGACAAGGCTGCAGTGAGCTGATTGCTCTACTGCACACCAGCCTGGGTGACAGAGTAAGACCTTTCTTAAAAAAAGAAAAAAAAACGTTAAAAATCCCTTGTACACTCACACCGCCTGCTTTGGGTTCCCTGTGGGATTTGCAAAAAAAAAAAAAAAAAAAAGGCACTCACTCTACCCTGTCACTTGCCTAGTAGTTAAGATTCTGCACTTCCACATTGTAGCTTGGGTTTGATTCCAAGTCAGGGAACCAATTTCTGGAAGACGTAAATCCCTTAACTCGGATCAAAACAAAAAACAAAAACAACAACAACAAAAAAGAATTTGTTTGAATTATTTGTTTTGATTATGTATTTGTGTGACTCGACTTTTTGCACTACCCATTTGTTCTTGATCCTCTTCCCTCCTGTGAACAGCTCTTGTCTTCCTGCTCATCTCCAGGTGCCTTTTTTTGTTGTCTTTGTAAGGTGGCTCTGGATCTTGTGAGGACTCCTTCTTTGCACCTCTTTGGAGATGGCTCATGCATCCTTGGTTGTCATACAGGCTTATTGGTTTGGTTGAGTCACTTGGTAGGCATATTTGATTCAAAAGGAAAGAAAAAAGGCTGGGTGTGATGGCTCGTGCCTATAATCCCAGCACTTTGGGAGGCCAAAACAGGTGGATCACTTGAGTTCAGGAGTTTGAGAGCAGCCTGGACAACATGGTGAAACCCTGTCTCTACTAAAAATACAAAAATTAGCTGGTCTTGGTGGTGCATGCCTGTAATCCCAGCTACTTGGGAGGCTGAGGCAGGAGAATCATTTGAACCCAGAAGGCGGAGGTTGCAGTGAGCTGAGATTACGCCACGGCACTCCAGCCTGGGCAACAGAGTGAGATTCCATCTCAAATAAATAAATAAATAAATAAACTGTGTTGGGTTGTGGGGTAATCACACTCTTTTTTTTTTTTTTTTTTTTTTTTTTTTTGAGACGGAGTCTCGCTCTGTCGCCCAGGCTGGAGTGCAGTGGCGCGATCTCGGCTCACTGCAAGCTCCGCCTCCCAGGTTCACGCCATTCTCCTGCCTCAGCCTCCCGAGTAGCTGGGACTACAGGCGCCCGCTACCACGCCCGGCTAATTTTTTGTATTTTTAGTAGAGACGGGGTTTCACCGTGTTAGCCAGGATGGTCTCGATCTCCTGACCTCGTGATCCGCCCGCCTCGGCCTCCCAAAGTGCTGGGATTACAGGCGTGAGCCACCGCGCCCGGCCGGGGTAATCACACTCTTGTGATTCCCTGTGCTTCCTCCTACCCATGCACATTAAAATAAATTTGTATGCCTTTCCTCCTATTAATCTGCCTTATTTCAGTTGATTTTTCAGCAAATCTTCAGAGGGCAAAGGGATAGTTTTCCTTTGGCCCCGACAAAGCCAGCAAAAGGAAACATTTGAGGCCATCAGTTCTGTTAGGCAACAAGTAGGAAAAAAGAAAGTCTTTTTTATTGACTGAACGATCTTTAATCTTCAAGATCTTCCATAAAGTAAATCCTTCAAAATCCTATTCGTGTCATATCTTCTTCAAAGGTCAGGCTGAATATATAAACCACTTTAAGTCCTAACAGGAAATAAACGACGTTTACACTAAAATATGTACTCAGATATTTTATACGAAATTCAGTACAGGGCCATAAAATGAGAGAGTGGGGAAAGCCATGGCCCCAAGGTTCTCAATGTTCCTTTGCAAAAGGTCAACTTTATTATTATTCTGGTGTCCTGGGCCCAGCCAGGGAAGTGCACCCTCTGTTTCATGTGGTAAAACTCCAGGCTGCTGCTTTTTCAAGCAATCAGATTGTCCAGATCATCAACAAGGACTTATTTTTAGACCTGCAAGGATGAGAATTTCCTACCCTTCTATCACCCATTGAAGGCGATGGGGCCTTGTTTGTGAGTTTATCAACAAGGATATAAAACAGAAAATCTTCCAGGTTTTTTTTTTTCCACCCACACTGACATATTGACAGAAAACATTTCTGAATTGGACCCAGAAAGAGAAAACATGAGCAGGAAAATCGCCTCAATGGCAATGACTGTTGAATTGTAGCCTTTAATCTTTTCTTTTATCCTTTTCTTTTCTTTTCCTTTCCTTTTCTCTACTCTTCTCTTTTTGAGTCAGAGTCTCACTCTGTCACCCAGGCTGGAGTGCAGTGGCATGATCTCGGGTCACTGCAACCTCCATCTCCAGGGTTCAAGTGATTCTCCTGCCTTAGCTTCCCGAGTTTCTAGGATTACAGGTGTCCCTGCCACCATGCCCGGGTAATTTTTGTATTTTTAGTAGAGACAAGGTTTCACCATGTTGGCCAGGCTGGTTTCAATCTCCTGACCTCAGATGATCTACCCACCTCGGCCTCCCAAAATGCTGGGATTACAGATGTGAGCCAATGCACCCAGCCAGGTGAATTTCTTGATCCTAAATGGGAGAAGTGCTGTGCTTGGTTCTATCAGTATACAGGAATAAGAGGAATAAGGTATGGGGTTTGGGGGCAGGAGAGAGAACCCCTCTTATTCTTTATTCTGGAAACTGTCAACCTCCTGGTCCTTATCTCCAGCCCCATCCCCCAGACATTCCTCCCTATTTAACATTTTCCTTTTGTCCCTATATCCTGGAAGGTTTGTTTTTCCAGGAAGTAAGGATAATCTGGAAGCAAGAGGACCAAGTGGATTCCACAGTGGGCAGTCTGCTAACTCCTTTTCATTCATTCATCACACACATTCTGAACATTTACGTGCTGGGCTCTGTGGTTAGCACTGTGGCTCTGGTGTGAACCAACTCCTACATCTTCCCTAACACTCAGCCTTTCTCCTAGCAGGATGACTGGGACTGATACCCCTAAGCCCTTGAACTAGGATAGCAGAGTTCTGCATACTCCTCTTCCTGACCTTTCATCCATTCAACCAAGACTTACTGATCACCTGCAATGTTCAAAACACTGAGAGTATGCAGGCGAATCAGGTAAGCATCTTGTCCTCACTGTCTAGAAGGGAAGATGCTCATATAAAAAATAAAATGCATGCTGGCACAGTGGCTCACGCCTGTAATCCCAACACTTTGGGAGGCCAAGGCGGGTGGATCACTTGAGGTCAGGAGTTCGAGACCAGACTGGCCAACATGGTGAAACCCTGTCTCTACTAAAAATACAGAAACTAGCCAGTCGTGGTGGCGGGCACCTGTTGTCCCAGCTACTGAGGAGGCTGAGGCAGGAGAATCGCTTGAACCCACGAGGCAGAGGTTGCAGTGAGCCAAGATCATGCGACTGCACTCCAGCTTGGGTGACAGAGGGAGGGTTCGTCTCAAAAAATAAAAATAAAATACAAATCTAGATTGTTTCCAATTTGGAGGTATTATTTTAAAAAGCTACAATGAATGTACCTGTATGATTTTTTGTGGACATATGTTTTCATTTATCTTAGGTAAATACAGCATCCAAAGGACTGTTATTGGATGAATAGATAAATTGTAGTATATTCATTTATTCAATGAAATATTATTCTGAAATAAAGAGGAAAGAACAACTAATATTTGCAGCAATGTGGAAGAATTCCAGAAACGCTGTGATGAGCAAAGGAAGCCAGGCACAAAAGAGTTCATTCTGTATGATTCTATTTATATAAAGTTCTAGAACAGGCAAAACTGATCTGTGTTGAGAGAAAGTAGGACAGTGATTGCCTGTGGCAGGGGGCATTGACTGGAAAAGATGCATGAGGAAAGGTCTATATCTTATCCGGGGTGCTGGTGGCACAGATGTACACATTTGTCAAATCTTACCACATCGCACACTTAAAATCCATTCATTTTGTTATATGTAAATTACACCTTAATAAATATTTCATTAGAAAAACAAATCTGCACAGGGTTTATTTGTATCGGGAACAAACATGGCAAAAGTTAGGATCTGGCAGTTAGGAGGTGGTTACGTATGCATTTGTTATTTGTTGTATTATTTTTGTGCTTTTCTGTATGCTTGAAACAAGTCCTAATAAAAATATTTTAAAAGTTTAAAATAGAAATACAGAATAATCAAATCCCAAGTTAGAAAAGATCTTAATGTTCATTTAGTCCAACTTCCAATTTTGAGCTTGCATTCCATTAAAACATCCCTGGTAGGTGGTCTTCCAGACTGGATGGGAACTCACTGAAGGAGAGTGCTTCCTACCTCCTAGGGCAGCATATTCCAAAACTAGCATGGTGAGTGCGGCAGGCAGACAGGTACAGGGATAGGATGCTATGGAAACTCAAGGGGAGAAGGAAGCACCTGCCCTCCTTAAAAGCAGATGGACTCCAGAACCACCAGGAGCTGGCACTGGAGATGTAATAGGCAGCAAAACTGACCCATCCTTGCAAGCGGCAGAGCTGCGGCTGATAGTTTGATACTACTTAAAGGTCTTGTTCTTTCTTCTCTAACACTTTCCATGTCTACTAGCACTGAACTAGCTTCAGGGCTTTTAGGAGTAGATCAAGGAGGGAGACAGCGACCTTGGAGCCAGGCCTGTTAAGAGTCAGAGCTGGGAGGCCAGGCCGGACGCTGGGCACATACTGAGAGGGGCCCCCTCCCTTCTATCCAGAACAGGAGTAAGGTAAAAAGGACATTCTGGAAACCGTGGTGCAAGCTATCAAGGAATTTTCTTAATGGCAACATTGACCACCCAGCCAAAGAGTAGGGGCAGGCCAGCTCTTCCACGACATCACAGGACAGAAGCGGCTCTGCCTGCTGGCCTTCCTCCTGCCAGGGCTTCACCATCACTGGGGAAAGCAGGGCTCCGGGGACCCTGTGACCCTGGTTGGACCTATTTCAACCTCTCCCTGTGCAGGATGAGGTCCAAGGGCAAGCTGCAGATTGGCTTTCCTATCACTTAGGGTTCTCAGGTTGCCAGCAACAGAAAACAACTTAATCTAGGCAAGAAAATGAACGTATGAGACAGATACAAGTAGTTCCCAGAGTAGCAGAAAGAACTGAATAACCAGGCTTGGAGGGACAGGAATCACGGCCAGCTGGGATCTGAGGAGCACAATCACATGGATGGTCCTATTGGGACAAATTCATGCCAGCTGTTCCCATGTCTGCTCAAGAGAAAGAGAGTCTGATAGGCTGGCCTGGGGGCATGGGGGTATCCATTGTAGGCAGGCATTTTGATTGGCAATTCCACCAAGACCAGAGATTTCTCCAAGGGAAAATGATGGTGCAGTGGCCAGAAGAAGTGCTGGGCAGGTGAAATGCCCAAAATACTTCCAGTGCCCTCAGTGTCTAATTTGTGTCCTCATCTGCTACAGGGCATTTGCAAGGCACTGCGATACCACAGAGCAACATGGCGCACTGAGCCCGAATGGCCCAACTAACCTCAAGGCTCCCCCAGGGCCCTCTCTCCTGTTTGTATCCCAAATAGCCCACCAAAGACCTGGATAGTGTGGAGTTCTGAATGAACTCTCCAAATCCACCAGACAAATTATTGTCCACAATGTGAGCTTCCCAGGATGTCCGTTTTGGCCCAACCTAAGCTCAAATTGCGTGGGAGATTTTTCTAAGCAAACCCCACGCTGACTCTTCCTGAGTCACCTCTGTCTCTGTCTGGCTGAGCACGTCCAGGTCTTCCTTTGCAAGCTCTGCCAAAAACCAGGCTTTAGGGAAGTCTGTTCCTTTTGGAGGCTGTGATGTGAGCCAGGCAGGTAGAAGAGGCCCACAGCTCTGGATCTAATCTTGGCCTTCCATATAATTTGTACTGACTCCAGGGGTGGCCAGGACCAGGAGGCAAGATAAGGTAGCCCAGGCAGCACAGGGTCTGGAGTGGAGGCAGGGCACAGGATGGGGATGCCCCATGGGACAACCTCAGCTTCAGGCTGCATAGAATTTTCACGAATCTGGTTAGCATCACTCATTCATTCACTAGAAACATGTGATCCTCAAGTGCAGGGTTTCTCATTCATTTTTTTCGCTGCTGTGGCTCCACTGCCCAGAGCAGCACCCAGCCCTTCTGGGAGTCACTATGTCTTTGTAGCATGAATGCATAATAACATGGCGTTATCTTCTTTGCAAAACCACGGTGGGATCCTCTTCCCCACCGGCCGGGACTGCCTGTGGAAAGGGGCTCCGAAAGCCCCCCTTCTGCTAGGTTCCGGCCATCAGAGGCAGCCGTGTGACCCAGGCAGGCAGCTGGCCAGCGGCTCTGCAGTACTCAGGGCTGAGGATGAGTCAGGAGTTCCTCCGCCCTCAGTACTAGGCTGAAGAGGCTGTGACGCGCCCGGTGGCCCCTCTGGGCAGTGGCTGGCAGCAGAAACACACACGCAGCAGACACACTCGGCTTCCTCGCCTGGAGAGCCGGGAGAGAGCAGTCTCTTCTGTTATGTAAGAGACAGAAGGGGGACTGGGGGGCCTGCGGCTGCACAGGGCCTGCTCCCACTCGGCCTTCTTCCTGAGATCCTTTTCTTCCTTTCACTCCAGCGGATGTGATGAGGAGGAGAAGGGAAGCCTCCTGCCGAGAGCAGCTCCATTCGCTGAGCCCCGGCCCCTTACGGGCTACAAGGGCACTCATCTCCCACTCTCCCTGATCAAGGCCACAGCCTGCAGCGGCTGTCTGGGAAGCACCCTTAGCAAGGGCCCTGCTTGCCACACCCCTGGGCAGTTAGCACCCGGCCTGCCCACTCTGCACCCCTGGCGCTGGGGGCCCGCACCTCCCTGCAGCCTCTCCACTTCCTTCCCTTCTCCTCCTCCCCGGGATTTCCATGGTCAGGAAGGATTTCCCCTGGGTAACCAACTGTCTCTGGGTACAAAGAACTGCCTGTGAAGGCCATCTCCCCAACAGCCTATCAGAGCTCACCTCCTGCTCACCCCTGGGCCGGTCACAGAGGCTTGCTGCGTCTCTGAAGGGCTATCCACGGCCCTTCCACCTGTGCACATCAGTGAGCACTGTGGAGGTTTCAAGAGTCTCTGGGGCGAGCCCACCTGAGCTTACCACCTGCAAGCTCCTACCAGAGAACCTCAGGGAGTGACCTAAGCTGTGCGTTCCTCACTGTCCTCATCTGTAAATTGGGAGCAATCGCATGGTCCCCGTCATAGATCTGTGGTGAGGATCAACTGGGTTCGGGTATCACTTAGAACAGCTGCTGGCAGATAGCAAAGGCATAAGAAACATTCACACCTGTCCTCATCCTACCTGCCCTTCAGGGCCTACCTGGAAGTCTCATCTGGTCTTTCTCTTCTCCAGACTCCCAGTGTACTTCCATCTGCAGCACACAGGACATCACAGATTGTCAACGCTGTCACACAGTACTGCTCTGGTTATTCCTCGTGGTTATCTTTGCTCCTCAGGGAGATGGTGAGTGTCCAGCTCCATGGAAGTCCTCTTGAGCTTGCCAGGTACACAGACCCCCTGCGAGTCTCTGTAAACTTGGGCATTCTGTGTGCTGGGCTCTTGATTTCTTGCAAACTGATTTCAGAATTCACTTATATAAATTTTTTTTTATTTTACTTTTTCTTTTTTCTGTTTATTTAGAGACAAGTTCTCCCTCGGCTGCCCAGACTAGAGTGCAGTGGTGTGATCATAGCTCACTGAAGCCTCAAACTCCTAGGCTCCAGAGATCCTCCCACCTCAGCCTCCTGAGCAGCTGAGACTACAGGCATGCACCCCCACACCTGGCTAATTTTTTAATTTTTTGTAGAGACGGGTCTCACCATGTTGCCTAGGCTGGTCTCAAACTCCTGAGCTCAAGCAAACCTCCCATTTCGACCTTCCAAAGTGTTGGAACTCCAGGTGTGAGCCACCACACCCGGCCCACTTATAGGTTTTTTGAGCTATAATCGCCACTGCACTCCAGTCTGGGCGAAAGACTAAGACCTTTTCTCTTTTCAAAAAAAAAAAAAAAAATATATATATATATATATATATGTAGGTTTTTCATATTTTCATATTTAAGTGCAAACAAGCAAGGCCTATTTTTCAGGAACCTATTACGTGGTAAGTACTATGAGGATGAAAAGACTCATCAATATATCTGCTCAGTTCCAGCCAGAAACCTGTGAGTTACCCAGGCCTGCCCTCCGCTAGTCCCCATCTCCAGCAGTCACTGAGCCCTGTGGCTCCCACCACATCCTTCCCCTCCTGAACTTCCTCTCAGCCACTGCCCTCATCTTGGCCCCCCGTTTCTTGCCGAAACCATGGCAGAAACCCCCTACTGGTCTCTCTGCCTCTAGTCTCTAACCCTAAGACCCCAGAAGTATCTTCCCCAAATACAGTTTAGATCCCGACACTCTTTCATCTCACGCACAGGTGGAATCTAAAAAAGTTGAACTCTTAGAAGCAGAGAGCAGAATGGTGGTGACCAGGGACTGAGGGCTGGGGGAACGGAGTGGGAAGATGTTGGTCAAAGCACACAAAATGTCAGTTACACAAGAGGAACAAGTTCAAGAGACCTATGGTACAACACGGCACGATAGTTAAAACAACGTGTATTGTGGTCTTGACAATCACTAAAAATGTAGATGAGTGTTCTCACTACAAAAAGTAATAAGTATGTGAGGTAATGTATATGTTAATTATCTTAATTTAACACACAAGGCATACATACTTTTTTCGGTGTTTTATTTTGTTTTGTTTTAGACAGGGTCTCACTCTGTTGCCCAGGCTGGAATGCAGTGGCGCCATCCTGGCTCACTGCAGCCTCGAACTCCCGGGCTCAAGTGATCCTCCCACCCCAGCCTCCCCAGTAGCTGGGACTACAGGTGCACACCACCATGCCTGGTTAATTTTTTTGTATTTTTTTGTAGAGATGGAGTTTTGCCATCTTGCCCCAGGCTGGTGTCAAACTCCTGGGCTCAAGCGATCCTCCTGCCTCGGTCTCTCATAGCGCTGGGATTAGAGGCGTAAGTAAGCCACCACGTCAGGCTGGCATACACATTTCAAAACATTGTGTTGTACACCATAAATATATACAATTTTTATTTGACTACTTAAATAATTAATTAATTATTTTTAAAAAGACTCCCAGCATTTCCTGTGGTCTCTGGGATAAAAGTTCAATTTCCACACAAGTCTACAACCTTAACAGCCTCAGCCCCCACCTCCCTCCACTGCATGAATTCCAGACATCCCCCATTTTGTGCCTGGACACACTCTCTTTCTTCCACTGAGAACAACTTTCTTCCCTTACTCTACCTGGCAGCCACCACCCTTCCTTTACAACCAACTCAAATGCCACTTCCCTGGGCTTCCACAAAGTTTGTCTCTGCCTCTTCATGCTCCCACAGAACTTAGTACAATCCTGTATTAGAATACCTGCCACTCGGAATTATCATTGTTTGCAGAAGAATTTCCTCTGCTGGGGAGTGGCTAGGCCTTGTTCATCTGGCACCCATCCCTAGCCTGTAGGAAACGATCAAGAAATACAGGAATGACTTCATGCAAATAGCACTGGAAACTCAAGGACTTACCTCCCATTTTTCTCTTGCCATTTTCAGCAATACTGAACAGAAGAGTGGTTTATAATCACTGTCTCCAACTCTGCTTCTCCCATCTTTCTTGAGTCCACCCCAACTGTTTATCTGCACTACTTCTCTCCAAGGGCACTGGTGACCTCCACATTTTTTAACCCAGTGGTCAGACGTCGGTCCTCCTCTTCCACAGTTGATCCCTCCTCTGCCTGGTCACTTGCTCCTCTGGCGTTCTTTCCCATCTGCTCTCATCAGTGGCTTCTCAGACTTCTTTCTAACTCTCCCTCATCTCCCTAAACTCCTAATGTTAGAGAGTTTCAGAGCTTGATCCTGGGGTCTTTTCCCTATCTATTTTTTTTAGAGACAAGGGTCTCACTGCATTGCCCTGGCTGGAGTGCTGCAGCACCATCATAGTTCACTGTAGCCTGGACCTCCGGGACTCAAGTGATCTTCCCACCTCAGCCTCCTGAGTAACTGGGACTACAGGTGTGCGCCACTATACCCAGCTCTTTTCTCTCTTCCATCTGCACTCACTGTCTTGGTTATCACATGCAGATACATGACATTAAGTGTTATCTCTATGTGGATTATCCCCAAATTTACGACCCCTGCCTATTCTCCTCTCTTGAACCTAAAGCTCCTATGTGCAACTGTACACTCCACGTGACCACTCCACCTCTCAAGCTTGTTCAGCTGAATTCCTGACCCTCCCCTACCCTCCCCAACACCTCTTCTCCAGCAGTCTTCCTCGTGTCAGTGAATTGCAGCTCCCATCTTCTGGCTGCTCAGCTCAGACATCTTAAGTTAGCTTTTGGTTCTTTTTTACTCTTAAGACCTCACCCCCATCCATCGCCAAATTCTGTCACTCTACCTGCAACTTATCTGCAGACCTGGCTAGTCTCACCTGGACTGTTTCAGCAGGCTCCCAACTGGCTTTCCCACTTTGGCCTTTGTCCCCTACAGTCAATTCTCAACATGGTGGCCTGATTGATCCTGGAAAATCCAATCCAGCTCATGTCACTCTTCCGTGCAAAACTCTCCAAAGGCTTCCATCACCCAACGGCCAATGAAGCCCCAGGTGATCTGGTCCCTACCGCCTCTCTGGCACCACATACTCCCCTTCTCTCCCTCCTGGACTCAGCACCAGCTACTTTGGCCTCCTTGCTGTTGTTCAGACAGGCCAGGCACACTCCTGCTGAGCTGACCATTGCACACATGGTCCCCTCAGCCCAGCATGCTTCCCAAAGGATGCAGGACTCACTCCTCCACCACCTTCCAGTCTTCCCCAACCACCTTTATAATATTTGTAATTTACTTTAAAATACTTCAGTACAATCAGTAGGACATTATGTATGTGCCAGCTCACTGAAGCTTTAATTCTAGAGCCGGTCAGCCAACATGCAATGGAGAAATCACAGTTCAGCTGGCCCTCAAAAGACCACCCTCCAAAAGCTGCTAAATCTGAAGTTTCTATCATCTGCATCTCAAGCAACAACCAATACTTTGCTAATTAACACATTAAATTTTTTTTAAATGTCTTTATTGGCAAAACTAGCAATATGCTAAATAATGCGGTGAAAGTTAAAATCAAGGTAAAATTAGAATTTTTTTTTTTGGATTGGCTCAAATCATTGATTGACTACAATTATTTACAGACAACGCTCACTCTTTTTTTTTTTTTTTTTTTTTTTTAGACGGAGTTTCGCTCTTGTTGCCCAGGCTGGAGTGCAATGGCGTGATCTCAGCTCACTGCAACCTCTGCCTCCCAAGTTCAAGAGATTCTCCTGCCTCAGCCTCCGGAGTAGCTAGGGTTACACACCACAACACCCAGATAATATTTGCATTTTTAGTAAATACAAGGTTTCACCATGTTGGTCAGGCTGGTCTCAAACTCCTAACCTCAGGTGATCCACCTGCCTCAGCCTCCCAAAGTGCTGGGATTATAGACGTGAGCCACCACGCCCAGCCCAGACAACCCCTACTCTTACATAAATGGGCATAAGAATTACACAAGGCTTATAACCTGTATTCATCAGGAGAGACTTGAGGCCTAATCCGCCCTGTGTCCATCTGTTGGTTTGAAAGAATGTGTGACTACCTGATCCCAATTACAAGGCCAGAACCTCAGAAATGTAGAGAGTGATGAGAATTCAGAACAGGTTGTATTAACAATTTGTGGTCTGCTTTACTAATAATCATTTGGTTAATAAATACAGAAGCAGAATTCCATTTGAGATGTGCTTTGATTATTCCCCGATGGTGGCATTATGGCTGAGTGGCTCATGATCTCACCTACCTCAAACTCCTTAGTGTCTACTACTATTTACTAAAAACAGCTTAAGAATTACACATACCCAAACTGGCTTAGGTTAAGCTCCCGAGACCTTCCTATTCAAAACTGGAAGCATTTTCCCACACTCCCTACCCCTGTTCCACTTCGTTCCCAGCCTGTCACCATCTAACACACCATGTGTATAACTTCTTGTGTTGTGGATTGTCTGTCTCTACCCATAGATGATGTAAGCTCCATGAGGTCAGGGATTTGTGTCTATATTTGTTTGCTTTGCTCAATACCACAACCCAGTGCAAATAACAGAGCCTAGTGGAATAACAATGGCTCAGCCAGGTGTGGTGGCTCATGTTTATAACCCCAGCACTTTGGGAGTCTGAGACAGAAGGTTCACTTGAGCCAAGGAATTTGAGACTAGCCTGGGAAACATAGCAAGACCCCATCTCTATAAAAAAAAGAAATTAGCTGAGTATGATGGTGCTTGTTGGTAGTCCTAGCTACTCAGAAGGCTGAAGTGGGAGGATGGCTTGAGCACAGGAATTCGAAGCTGCAATGAGCTATGAGCTATAAGCACACCACCACTGCACTCTAGCCTGGGTGACAGAGTGAGACCCTGTCTCAAAGAAACAAAAACAAAAAATAATGTCTGAGTATTTGTTAAATGAATGTATAAAAGAAGATGAGGGATCACTGCAAGAGAACAGATGGAACGCTGAAAACATTCAAAAGCAACTCCTTGGCTGGAATATCAAGAAAATATAGAATGTGGTCATGTCACGGAACAAAGATAACCAGTGCAGTCTCAATTACAGACACAAACTTATCATTTGCCCAGTAAGGAGAGTCACATCCTTTAAGAAAAGTCAGTGAGTCTCCTTGAACTGAAAGTGAAAGAGAAAGACATAATGTGGAAAAGAAGTTTTGTCCAAATTTCCAATTGATTCAGAAGTGAAGTTCGAAGTCTCTCTTGAGATGGGTTCTTACTTTTGTTTTGCATCATTGAGACGTGGGGCAATTCTCAAGCAGATCCAGGATTTGCATAAGGCTTCCGGGGAGCATGCTGGAGATAACATTGAGGGCAGATTCGCACATGCATGCTCCAAGCTGGGCAAAATCTTCCTTGAAGTATCCCAAGAGGCCCAGGAAAAGGGCAACTGGGGCAGAGAAAACAGTGTGAACCAAAGCATTCAGGAGATAGAGCAGAGAATGCAGCCAGGAAGACAGGTGGTTCAAGGGAGCTGAGCAAGGGGTGATTCCAGATGAGGGGTGGGAGATGTTAGGAAGGGAGGTCAAGGTCCCACTGTAGATCCCATGAATGTGGGAGGCAATGGAGAGTCCTAAAACATTTGCAATCAGGAAATAGAATTGGAGTTGTGAAACTGGGGGCAAGAGGGCTGGTTTGGAGGCTGGTGTGGTATTCCAGGTAAGAGGTAGTGAAAGCCTAGACTCAGAGCCAGTAGACAGACATGCCAGCTGCAAGGGAGGGGGCCAAAGAAGAGGAAGGAGGAATCACAGATGGCTCTGGGACAGGCCGCTGTCAATCTGAAGTCCACCAATATGTATGCTTCTCCACGCAGTCACTCTCTCAGGTGGTAAGGCTGTGGCTCAGCCAGGAAGCATGCTGAACTTCACAGGGGTAGGTTGGTGGCCTGGAGGGATTAACCTGGTTTGGATTAGCTGGTCACTGGGTGGAGGGAGAGGGAAGGAAGGGCAGGAAATGCAAATCCCAGTGGTCAGTGGTCAGTGTAAGCAACTCCAACACTGGGTGTCACTCTGGGGGTACAGAAGCTGGTGGTTCAGCCCCCCTTATTTAGGAGGTGGGATTTAGTCCCCCCCGAGGAAAGTCCTGACCACCAGACCCAGCCAAGGAAATAAGATACAGGCAGCAAGAACCCAGGCCCAGAGGGGATGGAGCAGAAATTAGAAAATCATGGTGAAAGGTCAGGCCTGGGCCCTGCCTGGGCAGACCCAGTGTAAGGCTACCAGACCCATGCAGGGCTTAGCAGCTGGGGGGGAAAGAGCTCCAGGCACTCAGCCAGGCTTGGCTGAGGGGCAGTGGGGCTAAGTGCCTTCAAGGAAAAGCGGTGGAAGGCTGGGAAGCTTACTTCCAATCCCACATTCCCTTCCCCACTCCCTGGCAAAGCTTCCTGCAGACAATTGGGCTATGGACTGGCCAATGATGACTTACCCTTTGTCTATGTCCTGTTGTATCGGGAAGAAGGGGTGCTTCTGAGTGCACAACACCCAAACAGTTCTAACACAGCTGCCTCTGCCAAGCAAAATGGACTTGCTTCTCTGTCACCTCTTCCTCTTTGTGCACCTTCTGGAGAAGGTGGAAACCAGCCATTAAAGGGCAGGAAAAGGCAAGACAGGGAAGCCAGGGAGAATACGGCCACCAGCAGGGCAGCTTACCCCAGGCAGTGCCGGGTCAAACACGTGCAGCTGCCCTTTGCCTGGCTGGCTCTTCTCCACTCCCCCATCATTCTTCTCTCAGAAGGTGTTGCTGCCCAAAGTGCCCCAGATGCCGCTGCCCCTCAGGGCCCTGGACCTCAAGGAAGCCCCCACTCTCAGCAGCACAGAGCCATGGGGGAGATGTGTGGATGGCACTTGGTGCACCGATTCCAGCAGCTCTGCATCCTCCTTTAGAGAGAGAAGCTCCGGGGACGTCCTCCACACACTGCCTTCTACAGCAAAGGAGGGTCACGTTCTTCCAACTAACCTGGCACTCTCCCTCTTCTTCCCCACCTTCTTCAACTGCTCTTAGCAATTTTTTCTGACTCTCCTGACAAATAAACAGGTCACCTTACCCAGCCTGGGGAATTGCTAATCACTAGAATCCAACAGCTAGTGCAAGTGGCATTTGCCTCAGCCCCAATTCAAGGCTGGAGGGCTACTATTTCAGGCTTCAGCCTCTCTTGCATCCTCACCAGATCTCTGCCCCATCCTCTGCTTGTCTTGGGGCATGTACCTCTGGCGGATGGAGGCCCCTAGTCCTCCCTCAACCCCAAGCTCAGCAGGGTAAGGAGCTGCTGCTGTGGAGAAGGTTTGGGAGGGGTGAGAACAAGCAGGAAGCTGGCTCAGCTGTGCCTGCAGGAATCTAGAAGAGATGAGGGCCCCAGGAGACTGAGATCTTCCCTAGTGATTCAAAGATGTCGTGAGATGGGCACAAGACATTGACCCAGGAGACAGTTGCTCACCTTATCAGAAATAGATGCATCTGTCTGACCCCTGAACAGGTAAGTCCTTGGAGACCTCAGAGAAGTGAAGACACATTCCTGAGCCAGAGTCAAGGTAAGAAAATTGGGTATTGAGCCAGACACCATGCTAGACTGTTTTATATCATCTCATTGAATCCTCAGGCTTACCCTCAGGTGGCCTATTTTGTCCCCATTTCAAGGCAGAGAAAACTGGAGATCAGAGACATTAAGTAACTGACCTAAGGCCACATAGCTGGAAAGGTCAGAGCTAGGGTCCAAACCCAGCCTTGGCTGACTCTAGAACATGTAGTCAAGCTCTTTTCAGCCTTGGCTTACTCTCTCTACTGCACAGAACTGCCTTCATTGCTGCCAAGTTCAAGCCTCTTTCTGGGAAAATAGCAAAAGTTCCGTTATGTCCTCTCCAAATTCATATATAGAGGTCCTAACTCCTGGTATTTCAGAATGTGAAGTGTTTGGAGATAAAGTCTTTAAAGACGTAATTAAGTTAAAAAGAAGTCATCAGGATGAGCTTTAATCCAATATGACTGATGTCCTTATAAGAAGAGAAGATTAGGACACAGACACAGACAGAAGACAGACACAGACAGAAGACCAGAGAGAAGACAGCCTTGTGTAAGCCAAGGAGAGGGGACTCAGAAGAAACCAATCCTGTGACATCTTGATCTTGGACTTCTAGCCTCCAGGACTGTGAGAAAATAAATTTTTGTTGTTTAAGCCACACAGTCTGTGGCACTTCACAACGGCAGCCCTAGTAGACTAATATGAGTTCCCATTTACTGAGGGTTTTTTGTTGTCTAGTCCACAGTCTTGGACTTCCCAGCCTCCAGAACCGTGAGCCAAATAAATTTCTGTACATTGTAAATGACCAAGTCTCTGGTATTCTTTTACAGCAGCACAAAATGGACTAAGACATGTAGGTAGGAAACCCCTCATAAAATTCAGCATGTAGCATATGTGGCATATGTTTCTGTCAACTCTCTTTCCATTTTAATTCTCTTGGCAACAACTGCCCTTGGACTTCTCTCAAAACAGAACTTGACTTATAGGAGGAGTACAGCAGGGAGCGGGATAAACACTGGATGAGCCTTCCTGACTGTAGGCCTAAGCTGACCTTGAGGACATTGGCAGGGTGGGATACCAGGCACTTCTTCCCTTGGCCTACTTTGAGCAACTGCCTTTCTCATCCACAATAATCACAGTGAAATGCAACATGCTCCAGTCCTGGGGGTGCCCCCTGATCTTTCCTGTTCCTGCCTATCAATCACCACCCAGTGACTGCTGATAACCTCCTCTAGTGAGAAAGACTCACTGAAAAGTGAGCAACTCAGACTGGAGGCGGAAGGAAATTGGTCCCTAAATTTTGTGAGCATTAAATTTGAGTACATTCTGCGATGAATGAACAATAACATAAGTAACACTCACAGAAAGGGGGAAGGAGAAAACTCCTTTGAATTGCCAGGGGTGGAGAAGGAACTAGGAGGGCTTTGTTTTTTGTTTTGTTTTTTACAAAAATGAATCCAGGGATAGAGGGAGAGGTTGGAAATGGGTGTTTCAAGAAGAAAAAAAAAATTACACACACACATACATACACACTCTTCATCTTCTGCAATGTAAGGTCTTGGGGAACTTTATACACAGAGAAGGCCTTAGCCAGAACTGTCCAGTAGGGAATGTTTAAGCCCATCTCCAGCATTTTTCTTGATTCTTCAGTCAATTATTAGAAAGAAAGAAAGAAAGAAAGAAAGAAAGAAAGAAAGAAAGAAAGAAAGAAAGAAAGAAAGAAAGAAAAAGAAAGAAAGAGAAAAAATAAAGAGAAAAAAAAGGCACAGGAATAGGAACTCTCAAAAGTAAGGGGAAATCTGTATTTTTAGCATTCTGCAGTTTGGTATTCTTCAAACTTGAGAAATTCCAAGTGGAAATCCTGGTGGGTTTTTTGTTGTTGTTGTTTGTTTGTTGTTGTTGTTGTTGTTGTTGTTGTTGTTGTTGTTTTTGAGACGGAGTCTCACTCTGCCACCCAGGCTGGAGTGCAATGGCACCATCTCAGCTCATTGCAACCTCCGCCTCCTGGGTTCAAGCAATTCTCCTGCCTCAGCCTCCCAAGTAGCTGGGATTAATGCATGTGCCACCATGCCCAGCTCATTATTTTGTATTTTTAGTACAGACAGGGTTTCACCATATTGGCCAGGCTGGTCTCAAACTCCTGACCTCAGGTGATGGACCTGCCTCAGTCTCCCAAAATGCTGGGATTCCTGGCATGAGCCACCACACCCAACAGATCCTGGTCATTTTTATTTCTATTTCTGTGTTTTACACAGCCCAAACACTGTGAAGGCACTGCTAAAAACCTCTGTCTTTCACCTCAAACCAATGATAGAGAAGTTACATTATATCTTCAAACATCCTAGAAAAAAAAAATCTGTTCTAGAATTGCCTACGCTAACATGGGCACAAAATACCTAACAGCATGCTTTGTTTATTCCATCTTTATTCACATGTATAAAACAGAGGAAGGAAAAAAATCTTTGCCTGACCTAATAGTCTAGACGACAATATGCTCTAACCACAGTTCATTCCAAAAAATAAAAATATTGCTTCTGAAAGGGAAAAAAAATGTATGTGGTGCTTATGCCTTAGGCCAGGAAGTATATATCCTTTAGCTTAGGTTTGCTCCAAAGAGCCAGCTACATACATAAGCATGTTTCTGTGTGACTGACTTGTGTACCTCCATTGTGCGGAAGCAGCAAGTCGTGTTAGAAGTTCCTGCAAAGGGCCGGGTGCGGTGGCTCATGCCTGTAACCCCAGCACTCTGGGAGGCCTAAGCAGGTGGATCACCTGAGGTCAGGAGTTCGAGACCAGCCTGACCAACGTGGTGAAACCCTGCCTCTACTAAAAACACAAAATTAGCCTGCCATGGTGGCACGTGCCTGTAATCCCAACTACTCCAGAGGCTGAGGCAGGAGAATCGCTTGAACCCGGGAGGCGGAGGTTGCAGTGAGCCAAGACTACACCACTGTACTCCAGACTGGGCGACAGGAATGAAACTCTATCTTTAAAAAATACAATAAAATAAAGAAGTTCCTGCAAAGCATGCGAGAGGATGAAACCTGCGTCTCTGGGGCAGGACTGGAGTGCCTGAAGCTCTTGGACTGAGGATGGAGTAGAGGGAGCGTAAAGGGAGGTGGCTAGGGTGTATCAGTCAGGATGGGTATCTCCAGAGAGAGAGTCATGGTCCTGGGTACCCAGGCAGGAAACCTCAAAGTCATACAAAATCAATAAGAAATGGAAGCCAGCAACATTGATGCGTGGTAGAGAAGGTGGATTTGCAGGTATTTGAAAGAATGTAGGGAACACAAAGGGAACAGAGACACAGGCAGGGTGGGGAAGGTGGGGGATTGGTGCTTGGCATGTTCCCCGAGCACAAAGTCATAGTAATTAATCAGTTAACTGATCTCTGTTCCAAATATTTGGTGTACAGCTGTGGACTGAGGATTGCAGAATGTTTGTCAGTATCCAAGAACAGACCTTACAGTGCCTGCTGGGTAGATAATATGGGAAGGGGTTGTAAGGTGAATTGGCTGCAATATTTAGGAATACTTAATTTTGCTATAAAAAAATAAGAAAAACTAATGTTAGCCATAGAAATAAACAGAATATGTGAATATTGAACACTGATTTTAAAAAAGGATGAAACCGGTGGTCTCTCAAAAATTTAAGCAGAATTACCATAGGACCCAGCAATTCCACTTCTAGGTATATACTCTCAAAGAAATGAAAGCAGAGACTCAAACAGATACCTGAACATCCATGTTTGTAGCAGCATCACTCACAATAGCCAAAAGAAAGAAACCACTCAAATGTTCATCAACAAATGAGTGAATTAAAAAATATATGGTATACACAAATGATGGAATATTACTCAACCCTAAAATGGAATAAAATTTTGATACATGCTACAACATGGGTGAACTTGAAAACATTATGCCAAGTATTGAAATAAGCCAGACACAAAAGGACAAATCCTGTATGATTTTGCTTATATGAGGTATCCAGAATAGGCAAATTCATAGAGACAGAAAGTAGAATCGAGATTACTAGGGGCTAAGGGGAGGGGAGTGGGGAGTTAGTGTTTAATGCACACAGTTTTTAGTCTGGGGTGATGCAAAAGTTCTGAAAATGGACAGTGGTAATGGTTGCACAACAGTGTGAATGCGCTTAATGCCGCTGAATTATACTCAAACATCATCAACACAGTAAAGTTTATGTTCTGTGTGTTATATCACAATTCTTAAAAAAGAATAGAACAAATAAAAATGTTGCTTACGTTACAGGAAAGGGGTCCCAATCCAGACCCCAAGAGAGAGTTCTTGGATCTTGCACAAGAAAGAATTCAGGGCAAGTCCATAGAGCAAAGTGAAAGCAAATTTATTAAGAAAGTAAAGGAATACAAGCGTGGCTGATCCATAGGTAGAGCAGCCCCGAGGGCTGCTGGCTGCCCATTTTTATGGTTATTTCTTGATCATATGCTAAAAAAGGGGTGGATTATTCATGCCTCCCCTTTTTAGATCATAAAGGTTAACTTCCTGATGTTGCCATGGCATTTGTAAACTGTCATGGTGCTGGTGGGAATGTAGCAGTGAGGAAGACCAGAGGTCACTCTCTTGGCCATCTTGGTTTTGGTGGGTTTTAGCCAGCTTCTGTATTGCAACCTGTTTCATCAGCAAGATCTTTATGACCTGTATTTTATGCTGACCTTCTGTCTCATCCTGGGACTTAGGATACCTTAACCAACTGGGAATGCAGCCCCGTAGGTCTCAGCCTCATTTTACCCAGCTCCGAGTTAAGATGGAGTTGCTCTGGTTCACATGCCTCTGACACTTAAAGTCAGAAAAAAGATGAACAGGCCAAGTTACAACGTGTGTATTATGCCACCTCTATATGACAGGCACATTATTGCTGAATCAGCCATCATTGGTGAAACTACATTAATCCCATCTCTCCCCACATGAGCTTTGTCTAGAAACACAGAGAAAAGCAATGGCTGTTTAGCAAGCTCTTTATTGGCCAGGCATACTTGCCCCTTTATCTCTCTGGTAGAGCAAGATCATTTTGGCTTCAGGCAGTTTTCTCTGCAGAGCCTCCTTGTTCCAAAGTAACTACCCCATGAGCTTGGAAGGTCAATGTAGAAGAGAACACCGGTCACATGAACACTGAGTCACTGAGGATCGGGTCGTGTGGTCCTGCCACCTGCTTGCACCTTAAGCTAAGTGGGTGAACCTTTCTCACATCTTTCCCCTTGAAAGTACTGGATATTTTCAGCTGATTCAATAAAACTTGCGATATGAGTGACTTAAGTTGGTCTGAGAGCCTTTCTGTTCCACAACCTCTAGGCTGGCTTGCCCAGTAGCATAATTGGAGACTACCATTGTATCAAAGAAATTGCTCATACAATGTCAGAGAAAAGACAAGCACTGTGCAGGAAACAGTAAGAAATAGATGTGAAAAGAAGGAAGGGTGAGAGAAAACTAAAAGA
Organism: Homo sapiens; assembly: GCF_000001405.40. Taxonomy (NCBI): domain Eukaryota; kingdom Metazoa; phylum Chordata; class Mammalia; order Primates; family Hominidae; genus Homo; species Homo sapiens. Next base: position 29,359,134 of record NC_000008.11, on the reverse strand, counting down.
GGAAAGGAGCACCTTTCTCTGCTTGGATAAATGAGGGTAGCATCGAGTTGAATCAAGGAGACAGAGAGGATAGGAGGTGGAGCAGTCCAGGTGGATGGAAAGCAACAGAGAGAATCCAGGAGCCTTTCCTGTTCTGTTGACCCACAGGCAAACACGTGGACTAACAGCTGGGCCCACTGAGCAGCCCAGCCTGATGGCACAAAGACCCACCTGTGTGTTTCCATGCACCTGGAGTTTTGCCAAATGCAACTCCATGGAGAAAACAATGTATAAATCAGAAATGTTGCCCTATTGACACCTCTCAGCTTAAAAAGAAAAAATTGTCTAAGAGAAAGGAATAAGGAATAATAATACATTTTTTGAAAATGTTCCCAATGATGAATCTAGGTGTTAATAACATTCCTGGCTGGGCGTGGTGGCTCTCGTCTGTAATCCCAGCACTTTGGGAGGCCGAGGCGGGCGGATCAGGAGGTCAGGAGATCGAGATCATCCTGGCTAACACTGTGAAAACCCGCCTCTACTAAAAATACAAAAAGTTAGCCGGGCGTGGTGGTGCGCACCTGTAGTCCCAGCTACTTGGAATGCTGAGGCAGGAGAATGGAGTGAACCCGGGAGGCGGAGCTTGCAGTGAATTGAGATAGAGCCACTGCACTCTAGCCTGGGCAACAAAGCAAGATTCCGTCTCAAAAAAAAAAATAGATAAAATAATAATAACATTCCCAGTGACAAGATGTGAAAAGCAATGGCCAGAAACGTACCCAAAGTTCCCCAGCTACTTAAACGGTGGCTCTGGCATCAAAACCCACATCTGTCTGGCTACAGAGCCTGTGTCCTTTTTCAGAGCAGCAAATTAAGCCCAGGTCTGCAGAAGATAAAACTCAGATTCAAGGCAGGGGCATCCAGACAGTCCTTGGAAAAGGGATCTTGGGCTTCTGGAAGAGAAGACAGACCTCTTCGCCTGGTTACTTGATGAAGAGTTTTAGGTGCAACAGAGAGGACACACAGCATTGTGAGTCTAGGGGAGGAGATAGAGAAATAGATTAGATTAAAAACGGAGTTGGCGGGGTGCTAATGAGTTAACCTCCAGTAAATGGGCTGAATAGCAGGATGTAATTACCCTCTGCTTAAAGGGGACTCTTGGTGTCTCCCTCAGTGGGTAAACCCTTGAGGACTGTTATGCTAATTCCAATGGAAAACGTAGAGAGAGACTATAATTCTTTTCTGCAAAAGAAAACAGCACATTTTGCTGTATTCTTTTTGTATTACTGATTCCGGAGAGCCCAAATAATTGTTTTAAAATTAGATTACATAAATGAAATAAGTCAGGCACAGAAAGATAAATACTGCATGTCCTCATTCATATGTGGGAGCTAAAAAAACGTTGAGCTCATGGAAGTAGAGAGTGGAGTTGTGGTTATTAGAGGCTGAGAATGTTATTAGATGAGGGAGAGGAAGATGGGGAAGGTTGCTTAAAGAATACAAAATTACAGCCAGATAGGATGAATAAGTTCTTGTGTTCTATAGCACCGTAGGGTGAATATAGTTAACAAGAATTTATTGTATATTTTGAAAGAGCTACGAGAGACGATTTTGAGTGTTCCCAAGACAAAGAAGTGATCAATATTTGAGGTGATGGATATGCTAATTACCCTGATTTGATCATTACACAATGTAGATACATGTATGAAAATATCAGTCTGTATTCCATAAATATGTACAATTATTATGTGTAAACTAAAAACAAAAGGAAAAGAAATTTAAACATGTAAAAACTGGACTCATAGAAGATTAGATTACACAGAGGAGAGACAAGCAGCTCCATGGTGCAGGATGACCAAGGCACCCGTGGGTGCTCGGGCAGGTGGGGCTGTGGCTCTGCAGGTGTCATCTCAGAATGGCCAATGGTTGAGAAGTGTGGGGTGAGACAGTCTTCTCCTTTTGTTTCATTCCAGGGCTGGTAATCTGAGCATCCCATCCAGTGGGGAAAGGCTGTTCATGCCTTGACTTCAGAAAACCATTATTTCAACTGAAGTGAGTTGATCAATCTTATAGAGTATCAAAGGCCTTTTGCTTTTAGCTAAGGTGGAAATTTCTTATTTAGAAATTGTTTGTTGTTGGCCTTTTCCTTTGGTCTACCAGAAAAATCAGAAGGAAGAACTTTAGGGTTTCTGAAGGACTCCAGGGTTTCTAAAGCCACTGATTAGCTGCAGGAGACCTACTCACCACCCAATCAAGGCTTAAGCTGAAAGCTCTGACACCTTTCTTTGCGCGGTCCAGCACCTGGTCAGCCATGATGTGCTTACAAGGAGAATTAACTGACCATTAGACAGGGCAGAGAAGACTGTCCAGGACCTCTGCAGAATTAATGTGGAGACATCAGTGGATGACGATGGCCTGGGGCTCTGGTAGCAAACAGGTGTCATGACAAAGGTCTTCTATCACTTTGTCTCATTTATTATTTTGTCAGTGAAGACATAAGTCCCAGATTTTCTCTGATAGACTTGCTTTCAGGTTGTCTTATTGTTTTCAATAAAAGAAGATTTAGTAAACATATAAATAAATGTGTTTTTTATGCTTCCATCTTGGTAAGAATTTTTATATAAGTAATTTCACAAGTCCAAAAGACATCTTTTCTGACCATGTACTCCAACATTGATTTGGAAAATACATTCATTGTTGAAGCCTTGGAAAGGTGATTTAGACATTTTGTTGTCCTGAAAAAAGTAAATATAAAATGTAAACAATAATTACATTGTTTTTCCTTTGTTTTACAGATGGTAAAATCAAAGTACAGAACAACTGACTTGCTTAAGATGGCAATGAAAGAGTCGGGCCCTTACTTAGGTCAGCTACCATCTAGGTCGGTTGCTCATCCATGGCACAGATTTTCTACAGAGCTTTTGCATCATCTTAGCTCCCTTGTAGTTTCACACCAATTGCTCATCTATTTTTAGCAGGCAAACCCACTGGGGAAGAGAGATGCTAACAAATGAAAGGAAAAGAATACAAGGCACAAGGGCAGAATGAATGTCAGAGGTGAGATAACAGTTTAAAAAAAAAAAAAACCTACAAGAGAACTCAAGGACATTTCAAGGATAACATTTAAGTAGATGAAATGCACTTTATTCATGATGGCCTTTTCCTCCATTTCCCTAATCTCACAACACGGCTCCATCCCTTTCTCTTCTGAATCTTCCTGGCATGCTGTTTGTTCTCTAATGACACTTTGTTAGATCCTGCTTTCTGGCAATGTACAGTGGCAATCACACCCTGACTAGACCAATGAGACTGTCAGCTTTTTGAAGGCACAGTGTTTTGGACAAATCTGTCCCCCTACTTCCCGCACCTCTTGCTGAGTCTAGCACGTTTGTTGAATGAATAAGAGAATCTGCACAGCTAGAGTGACCCCAAATAACCTAGTTTTGTTTTGTATTGTTTTGTTTGTTTGTCTTTTGAGATGGAGTCTCGCTGTCTCGCCCTGTCCAGGCAGGAGTGCAGTGGCCCAATCTTGACTCACTGCAACCTCTGCCTCTCCGGGTCAAGGGATTCTTTTGCCTCAGCCTCACGAGTAGCTGGGACTACAGGCACCCACCATCATGCCTGACTAATTTTTGTATTTTTAATGTTGGTCAGGCTGGTCTCCAACTCCTGACCTCAAGTGATCCGCCAGCCTCCCAAAGTGCTGGGGGATTACAGGCATGAGCCACCATCCATGCCCAGCCTCCGAGTTCATTTTTATCCCGTTTGGAGAAGTGTTTCTTTCCAAAATTTGTTTCTGAAATTTTGAAGACGTTTTATCAAAATGCTTGGGACGTTAGCACGTGACTAAACAAATAAATAAAAACTATGAGCTCTGCTGTCCATGAGTTTATATTCTAAAGCAGGGACAAGGAGGAGCTAGAGATCGTCCTTTATCTTATGGCATTATAGTGTGCTTGGCTCTTCAGAGGGCGAGATGGGAAACCTATGAAACTTGGACTCGGAGCTGAGAAGTCTTCTTCTGCTCAGAATCATACAGGGTCGGAAATAGACCAGACCTGAGAAACCATCCTGCCCAAACTCTTCATTTTGCAGGTGAAGAAAGTGAGGCCAAAGGAGACTGTCTTGCCCAAGGCCACCAAGCTAGATGGTGGCATAGCCTAGATTGAATAGTTTTAAAATAAAGCAGTAAATAAAGCAATGCATTAAAACCTTTCTGCAGAGACCCTGGGTTAGAAACTTAATCTTTTATTATTTTTTATTTGTATTTATTTATTTATTTTGAGATGGAGTTTTGCTCTTGTCGCCCAGGCTGGAGTGCAGTGAGGGGATCTCAGCTCACTGCAACCTCTACCTCCCGGGTTCAAGCGATTCTCCTGCCTCAGCCTCCAGTGTAGCTGGGATTATGGGTGCGCGCCCGTCATGCTGGCTAATTTTGTATTTTTAGAAGAGACAGGGTTTCACCATGTTGACCAGGCTGGTCTTAAACTCCTGACCTCAGGTGATCTGCCCACTTCGGTCTTCCAAAGTGCTGGGATTACTAGCGTGAGCCACCTCGCCTGGCCGATACATAGCCTTTTAAATCATTAATAAGTGCTAGAGTATCAAGCATAGAAAACAAAAAAGATCTGTAACAAAGTCAGGACTTAAAAAAAGAAATCCTCAGGCTATGTCTTTGAGAGTTTTTGGTTAGGTTCAGTGTGAACTTTGAAGACTTTCCTTCGCTTTCAGTCCTGACTTGATGGGCAGAGGTACGTAGGGAAGGACAGGCATTTCTCAATTCCATTTCTAAACGTTGCCTAAGAACACGCTGTGTAGACCACAGGCTTCTCTGCTTTCAGGAGCAGGAGAGGGTCTCCCAGTTCTTTTGAGCCTTCCCACTACCAGGGGGCAAGTTCCCTAATTAGTTGATCTAAGAAGCCTAACCAACAAGATCTGTGCAAAATGGATTATTCCTGTTCCAGTTCGACGTAATAGCAAGGCTGCCTCTTTGCTCAAGAAAGGAAAAGCCACAGGACTTTTCTTTCCATCACCACCTTAATTAATTCATTAATGATTTTTCAGGCAAGTTTTATTCAGGCACTTTGGGACAGAGCAGTGAGTCAGAGGTTGGCATCAAAACTAGAATAGAAGCTGTACTTCTCTCTGGGGATTCTACTCCGGGCTTTAGATTCCCCGATCATACAACTTCCTAATTGGAAAGAAATGTTCCTAAACAAGAGCAGGTGTTTTGCTGGAGCCTGACAGTGACTAATAAGGTCGGTCTAAGGACTGACTGATGAAAGAGAAGCTGGATTTACTTGTCACAGCGAATTTTTAAAAGTTCTTTCACCCCGAGGTTTACTGCTGAATATAAATAAAAGACCTCTCCTTGGGCAATCCCATCCCAATTCCTACAAATATGCCTTAGTTAATTAAATTAACTTTGAAATGACATTCCGTGTCTTGCTCCAAATTGCCTTTGTTTTCTCCAAGATCTGCTCATTGACAAGCTGTTTCACAAGGTTCCTGTTTAAAATGGTTATGTTTCGTCCACAGACTGCAGACGAATTGGAGACAGGTTTTATCTATAGCCGGCATGGAGTAGCCCTCGCGTTGTACTCATTTAACTGTGGACCAATGGTTCACAAACATACAATTAAAAAATATATATCTAGGGTGTTTACACAGTATCCCGATAAATACAATATGGTAACTTAAATCTCCTTTGCTGAAATTCACACAACTGAAGGCCAATTCCTGAGTTGGCAATGGGGTGTGGATTTTAAAAATTAGTCTTTTTTAAAAATCAGGCCTTCGCTTTCGCAATTCAAGTGGCTCTCGGCTTAAACACATTAAGTCCCAAGCTGTGACTCCCTTCCAGTGAACAGCCGCGTAGGCGCGGGCACGCACACGTGGACACACACACTCACACGCGCCCTCCCACACCCCTTTCCGTGTGAATCGCCTGCGGGATTTAGGGCTTCTCCACCAGCGATTACTGTCAGGTGCAGAAAGCAAGCCTCTTTGTTCTATGGGCATTTTCCTCCCCCTGGATTTGACTGTTATTTACTGGCCACGTGAGCGCCAGGCGCGGGTCCGGCGGGGAAGGCGACCCCAGAACAGGGTAGACAAAAGCTGGCCCAGAGCGCGACCCGTGCGCCCCAGGGACGTCTCCCCAGCTCCTGCGACACGCGTGAAATTGGCCCGGACCTGCCTCCTGAGAGGCTTTTCCCAGAAATGTCTTGTTAAAGCCTTTGTAAAGGAATCAGTGTTTACTTGCGCCGGGAGAGCTCCGGCCCTGGGTCCTGGCAGGCGGCGGATTTCTGAGCTGCTGGAGAGCAACCCGGGAAAGCAAAATCAGCCTTGGACTGTCGGGGCCCCTGGGGCTCCTTGCTCCTTATCGAAAGCGAGTTATTAGATAGACCCCCACAGTCCCATTCAGCAGAATGGGAAACTGGACTCAGACACCTTTTGCCCTCCCCACAGGGAGGCCACGCCGTGCGGCTTTGACCACTGATCTCCCACCCGGAGTGCCCGACGCCCAGGGTCCTGCCACCGGGCAGCCTCGGTCAGTCCACAGTTGTGGCTCCTTCCAGGGCCTGGACTAGGGTGAGCACAAGCCTTGAGCGCAACATTTAAGAAGGGCGCCGAAAAGTCAGTAATCAAAAGAAATATCTTGATGCAATGCCTCTTTAAAAGAAAAAAAAATGCAAAAAATCCATGATGAATAAAATACTAAATTTTAAAAAGAGAAAGGATCCGTGCAGTGCCATCGTAAGCCATTTTGGAGCCCGGAGCAAAAGGAAATATCACCTTGCCCAAGCGGTGCCCCTACAGCTCATCCGAGTAGGGCCCGGGGGTCGAGGCATTCGGGGCCCAGTGGGGGACGAGGCCAGTCGAAGGTCTCGGAAGTGGAGGCTCCGCCGAGCTCCGGTCGGGGAGTGCAGGGATGGCCCCCGGGACCGGAGGTGAGAGCTCGGGAAAGCCGCTCCGCCCGGAACAAAGGCATGGGGAGAGGGTGAGCTTGGGCGGGAGAGACCCGGCGGGTACCGGTGCCCTCGCTGCCTGGGTCGGGCTTCCACGCGCGCCCCGGAATGGAATACGCTACTCTGCAGCCTCCGAAACTGCGAGCGAGTCCTGTAACTCCCTTGCTCTGTGATTAATTCTCACTAACAAGACTTGGCAAGATGTCGGGCGAATGATTTTTGGCTTCTGCACGGTCCCCACCGCGTGCGTGCACAAACCCCCAGCCAAAAGCCGCCTCTGGGAAATTAAATGCAAAAGAGAAATGGGGATGGGGAGGGCTGCTACGTGACCAGGAAAAAGGGATGCCCAGAAACATGAATCGGACCCAGAGCTGCTGAAGTCCTTTCAAAAGGTCATTCTTTGCGGGTACATTTTCCAGGGTCCAGCTCCGCAACAAATGTGGACCCTGTCATTTCCTGAAAGGATAATTCACAACTATGCAAGATAGGGTGAAGACGTTTCCCAAACCCGAAAACCTTGTTTTTCCCCCGACCAGGGTTAAATAAACATCTTTTAGGAAGCGTGGACAGGAGCGCAGCCTGCTCTCCTCCCTCGGAACACCATTCCGGCAATTAATGCCTCCCTTTGGGTAGTAAAGCAACAAACCCCACACCTCACTCCGATCCTGGGCTTCGGGCGGGAGGACTTTCTCTTTCATCTTCCAAGCAGGGGGTTGCCCACGTTCTTGGGGAAGCTATAAAACTGATTTAATGGCTTTAGATGAAAATCGATCACGCTAATGCATACGCTAACGTCTCAGGAATCGCATATTCAGAAAGGACTGGCCGGGCCGAAAGCGCACGGGGAGTCTGGGGCTAGGAGGTGTCAGGCCCCGCTGGGTGGGCAGCAGCGCTCCGGTCCCCTCTCCACTTGGGTAACCGGGAAAAACCTACGGGGCTGTCACGCGGGGAAGCGCGAAGGTGCCAAGGGATGAAAGCTCAAACCCGAGCCCTGGCCTCCTCAGCCGGCTATTTCCTTTGGCGCCGCCCGCCTAGCGGCGGGGTGCAGCGGCGGCACAGGTGCCGGTGTCGGGCTGGAGGCGCGGCGCAGGCTGGGCCCGCGGGTAGACGGCGAAAGGCGCCGCGCGCTCCATTCACAAAGTCCGGGCGCTGCCCGCCGCTGGCGGCGGGTCGGAGGCCGCCTCCCTCTTCCTCTCGGCCTCGGTTTTATGAATGGGCCTGATGGCGAGCACCCGGCGCCCTGTTTACTCCGCTCTTTGTGACGTCGAGTTCCCGTGACCGGGAGCCAGCGGCCGCGCTCCATTCAAGCTCCGGGGAGGGGGTGGGAGGAGGGGCCCGGAGGGGGCGGGGAGTCAGCGCGGGGGGCGGGGGACAGCGCGGGGGGCGGGGGACGGCGCGGGGCCCGGAATGGAACGGGGCGGGGCCTGGCGGGGTAGTACCTAGCGCCCCCTCCCCCGGGAGCGCGGAGGAGCATTAATAAACCTCTAAGCCGAGGAGAAAACTCTGGCTGGGGCAGTGCGCTGAGCGCCGGAGGAGCGTAGGCAGGGCAGCGCTGGCGCCAGTGGCGACAGGAGCCGCGCGACCGGCAAAAATACACGGGAGGCCGTCGCCGAAAAGAGTCCGCGGTCCTCTCTCGTAAACACACTCTCCTCCACCGGCGCCTCCCCCTCCGCTCTGCGCGCCGCCCGGCTGGGCGCCCGAGGCCGCTCCGACTGCTATGTGACCGCGAGGCTGCGGGAGGAAGGGGACAGGGAAGAAGAGGCTCTCCCGCGGGAGCCCTTGAGGACCAAGTTTGCGGCCACTTCTGCAGGCGTCCCTTCTTAGCTCTCGCCCGCCCCTTTCTGCAGCCTAGGCGGCCCGGGTTCTCTTCTCTTCCTCGCGCGCCCAGCCGCCTCGGTTCCCGGCGACCATGGTGACGATGGAGGAGCTGCGGGAGATGGACTGCAGTGTGCTCAAAAGGCTGATGAACCGGGACGAGAATGGCGGCGGCGCGGGCGGCAGCGGCAGCCACGGCACCCTGGGGCTGCCGAGCGGCGGCAAGTGCCTGCTGCTGGACTGCAGACCGTTCCTGGCGCACAGCGCGGGCTACATCCTAGGTTCGGTCAACGTGCGCTGTAACACCATCGTGCGGCGGCGGGCTAAGGGCTCCGTGAGCCTGGAGCAGATCCTGCCCGCCGAGGAGGAGGTACGCGCCCGCTTGCGCTCCGGCCTCTACTCGGCGGTCATCGTCTACGACGAGCGCAGCCCGCGCGCCGAGAGCCTCCGCGAGGACAGCACCGTGTCGCTGGTGGTGCAGGCGCTGCGCCGCAACGCCGAGCGCACCGACATCTGCCTGCTCAAAGGTAAACGAGGGCTCCGGGCGCTAGCTGGAGTCGGGGAGATGGAGGGGGTCTTGGCGGCCTGCGCCTTATTGGCACGGGAAGGAGTCCCCGGCGTGATTCGTGGTTGCGGGGATCCCCGCGCGCCCCTTTGTGTGTGTTGGTGTGTAGGGGTTTGCAAGGTTTCTGTGCAAGTGCGAGGTTCAAGTCCTCAGGGAAAGTGCGGACGGGTTTCTCCGGTCACCTGCAATTCCGCACCGTCCTAGCGAGGCCCCGTTTATTGACATTAACGGTCCTAGCCTCGAGGATGAAGCGACTCCTCTGCGCGGTCCATCTTGAGTCCCGGGAACAGTTTCCAAGTACCACGGGGCGCGTGGGGACAAGATAGGCCTGTTGGTTTGGCGTGCTGGGGCCCTACACTGAGCCGGACCGGGAGAATCCCAGAGGTGGAGAAAAGGTGAAGAGGGGTGGGCGCCGAGGTACAATTGGCCTTGCCAGTTTCACTGAAAACAAGACCCTGGCAAATGCAGAAAGGGAGATTGGGTTGCACACACTGTGTAGAGCGATCTGTATCTGCGTTCCCGCTGCCCAACTCCAAGCTCAGCTTGGAAGGTGGCCAATCCCCGTCCCGGGCTAGATCCAGGCTCTGGGAGCGGGAGGCTGAAGGACTGGGTATCTGGGGGACGCCGGGCGGAACCGGTCCTCTAGCGCCTGCAAATCCGGGCAGCGGAGAATGATCACCTTTTGTTCAGCCCGGATTTTCGACTATCTGATGGCGGCGCGTGCCGGATTTTAGCGAGCCCTGGCGAAACTCTCGGCGGCGAGACTGTCTTGTCACATTTGGTAGTCGGAAATCCTGGAAAAATCGCGTGCTGTCCGAGTCCCTGGAGGGACCTGGCGCCCGCCACACCTGCAGGGCAGGGTGGGTCCGCGGCCCTCGGGCTAGGGAGCGGGCAGGGCGCGTGGGGTCCGGGCGCCCCCCGCCGCGCTGCGCCTCCGCCTCCCGCCGCCGCATTCCGCGCATTCTTCCGCGCGGGTAGGGTCTGCGCTTCCGAGCCCGGTAGGCAGTTCAGACCCCCCCACACCCATCAAAGAGCCGCTCCTCCCCCCCGCAGGCGCCTTCGCCGCCTCCCTCCCTTCCTTTCCTTTCCGCTCCTCTTCCGACCTGTCCACCCGGGAGGAAGGGAGCTGGAAAGGGGGCGGAAACCTCTCCCCTCCAAAAAGCACAACAAAACTGTTCAGTGCGGAGGAGCCGGGTTCGCCCCTGCCGGACAGCGGGGGGCTTTGTTCCCCGCAGTTGTTTCCTGCCCATTTGACCTGTCAGCTGCTGGGGAAACGCTGCTGTTGACCTTTGGTTGAACTGCTAAGGCGATTTTGCTGATTTTTCTTTCTTTTTCCGCGAGGGCTGTCTTTTGCTCCTCCAAATGAGCCCAGTCCCCCTCCCTTCTCCCCAAAGCGCTCCAAGAGAAAGTGCCAGGAAGGGGCTTGTCCCGGAAGGCCTGGCGGCTGAGCGGGGCCAGGTCCTGGTTAGGCCACCAGGGTGGGCGTCCGCGCCATTGTTTGAGCTTGTCGGCGCTGGTGGGAGAGATGAGGGCAATTCCTCTGGGACGCAAGTCCCCTCGAATGGCCGGGGCTGGCCGGGATGTTCCCCGCACGGCGCTGCCCTCGAGTCCCCCCGATGGAGAGCGCGGGCGCGCCTTCCTTCGCTGGCGTCCAAACCCGGGACCAGCTAGAACACAGCAGGGCTGGGACTGGGTTCCAGCCCCACGTGGAGTCTGGATTTGTTTTGTTGTGTTTTGCTTTCCTTCCTGGAAGAAATCCCGAGGGGACCGCCCTAGAGCGGCAGCTCCAGGACCTCGGCCCTTGGGCTTCCGGGGGTGCAGCCACTTAGGCCCCGCTCCCGGGGAGAGAGGGATTATTTTTTAAGATTTATCCCCAGGGCGCGCGGCATTTCCCTGTCCCTCGTGAATCCCGTTGAGAGTCCTCCCTCCCCAACCTCCTCCATTTCCCCAGCCAGACCGATTCGAGAGCCCTGGAGATTCTGGGCGAGGCTAGTGACTGGGTAGTACAGGCCTCTAGGTAAAATGACAGCCCTCTGGTGGGTGGCGAGGTGCCTGGCCAACATAAGAGAAGTACTTTAAGGGCTGTTTCCTCCTGGAGCCTGCACTGCCTCTCGTAGTCGGCCCCGACGCGGGCAGGGAGAATCATCTTCTGCATCTCAAAGTGGACATCCTTGCAGATGGAGGTGTGCAGGCCTGGGCCACAGATTTAGCTTCGGTCTCTTCTAGAATAGCCCCTCCTAGCCAGAAGTTCAGCTTCTGCTTCCAAAGGGAGCCTGCCCTTGGAAGCAAGCACCTAAAATTGAGAGGTGGGGGAATCTTCCAGCCTGCTCTGTTGTGGTGAACATCGTTGAGGTTAACTGGGCCCTATTCGGTTTAGCTTAGCTGATTTTGACATATGTGTTCAGCAGAGGCCATCTTTAACCCAGTTCCTCTTCTTCCTCTTTGCCCTCTAATGGAAAGGCATCCCTAGAGAGGTCAGAAGGAAAAAGTCAGTATCTGCTCCCACAGCTCTGCGGGAAGGGGCTGGGGAAGGAAATCAAGGTGTCTCCCAGGTCTCCAGATACACCTCCCTTCCATGCCTGGAAGCCAGTGCAGTGGAGCAAATGTGGTTTCCCGGGAGGGGGCTCTGGGGCAGAGACCTAAAGGGGAATTTTGAGAAGCAAAGGAAGAAAAAGCCCCTTAGATTATCTTTAGTAAATGCCTGAATTGGTGAAGGGTTGGAGAATTTGTTTCCTACTGGAGTAATTCATTTTATTTTCCAGCGAGGGAATGTATGTATGTCTCATTTCAGGTGTGCCTGTGCGTGTCTGTAAAGCAGGACAGGAAGCCAGTGGAAGGCTTGATGGTTGGTGTCTGCCATTCTTGGAGGGGTTAGGAGAAGCAGTAAAAGCAACAAGAGTATTTTCAGAAGTGATAGTAGCATGTCCAGCCAAAGCTATCTAATTCTATTAATTGCATTTTAAAATTCAGTTTTTCTATTTCTGCCACGTTGAAGGGTTACTTCAACCACGTTGAACTGGTTACTCCATGCAGGTGGCAGGAGGTAAACTTCGCTTAATATCAAGAAAGTACAGCCTAGCCTTTACATTTCCTCAGATTACCCGACTTTTGCTAAAAGCAATAACGAAAAATCTAATGTTTTCTATCTTTGCTAGTAAAGGATTTCCAGTGGGGTAATTTTTTTAAAACTCATTTAATTTAAAATCTTGTAAGGCATTTTTAGAGTCAGTTTGGAAATTTTAGTTTTTCAGATTTTATCACAATACACTTCTTGAAATCCCTTTCTCTCTCATTCGTAAATCCTTGGATTAGAGTTTGAGACTCCCCTGGTCATTAGAGAAAGACAAAAAGAGCTTTTTCTTACCCTATTCTTTGCCTTTATTAACCCCAAATAACAAAATAATCTGTTATGCAAAAAGATTGCAGGTATAAAAACATTACCTTCCTTTCCACCTACCTAAAACTTCCCTCAGCCTTTGTCAGTTCTAATTTAAAAGCTGTCCTGGAGCTGTTGGAGAAATGGGGAAGATCATCTAGATATTCCAGTTTCTCCTTCCACTCACCCTATAGTACCGGATAGCATCCAATAGCCCAGGGCCTGACCATACAGCCCATGATATTACCCTTTCTGTAGAAAACAGTCACTAAGGCCACTGATGAATGTGGGGGGAGAGGAACACAATTAACAGCTCTGGAAACTCTGGTGACATTTTTCTGTTTTTTCTCTCTCTAGCCCCACCATTGCTCTCTCTGTCTTCAGTTCCCCAGGAGGGCAATGGCATCAAACAGCACAGCTCTGGGGGATGTCAATATTGCATACCTTTTCTACCTAAAGGGAAAATGACTCGCTTTTCTGCTTGCAAATATGGTAGTTTCTGCTTACAAATGTAATACAATGCCCATGACAGCCAAGGACTGGAAGCATAAGTTGCTAGGTCTTACAGGTGATTTTTTACAATGAAGCAAACTCACTATGTTAGACACCATTTACATTGGATGTCTCCAACTAACAAAAGTAACTAAAGACAGATGTAGGTGTAAATTGAGAGTGAAATTTGACCCTTTAGACCGTCACAACTTCCTTGGGCTTATCCTGGGTGCTTATAGGAGAGGTGGGCTCCACCCACAAAAATGGACTGCTCAGAAAAATGAGGGAGAGAGAAAGGGTGGCCACTTTCCCGAGCCAAGAAATTCCTTGAAAAAAAATCAGAACATCTGAAACCAGAGAGCCGATTTCCTTACCGGGAGGCAGTTCCTGGCTAACGAAGAGGAAGCACGATGGGAAGAAAAGTTCACTCCAACGGAAGCCAGTTTGCTGAACATAGCAGATCGCCCAGGAGGACTGGGAGAGACTGCAAACCAGTTCGAGCCCCCAGCATGGCGTTAGGTGTCAGCCAGCTGGCAGGAAGGTCCAGGTGTCTGTGTTCAGAGTCTCAAGGTGAGAAGTTCACTTAGTTGGATTTTAAATACAGCTCAGCATTTACATAGGTGCTTACTAAGTCAACAGTCACATAAAGTAGAGTTCCCAAAGGCAAATGGCCTTCAAACAACCCCAGACTTTCTTGCAAGAGCATGACTTTTCTGGCAAGAGCAAGGCCATGAGCCCTGCCTGGGACCTGGCACTATTCTGAGTGTTGGGGGCATAATGGGGAAAAAGTGGCAGCCACATTAAGATTCATGACCAAGGCCGGGTGTGGTGGCTCACACCTGCAATCCTAGCACTTTGAGAGACTGAGGCAGGCAGATCACTTGAGGCCAGGACAACATGGCAAACTTGGTCTCTACAAAAAATGCAAAAATTAGCCGGGCGAGATGGCATGTGCCTGTAATCTCAGCTACTCAGGAGGCTGAAGCAAGGAGATTGCTTGAGCCCAGGGAAGTCAAGGCTACAGTGAGCCATAATCGTGCCACTGCACTGCAGCCTGGGTGAGAGAGTGACAGTGACAGACCCTGTCTGGGGAAAAAAAAAAAAAAAAGATCCATGACCATAGTCACCACCAAAGGACAGTCTTCCCCATCACAAATCCCAGTAACAGTCCTATTATGGTGATATTATCAATCTGCCCTTTGTAAAGTACTTTTACATACATTATCTCCTACTCCTGCAAGGGACGGGGGAGTGTGGTGGAGGGCTTCTAATGAGGGGTCCTCATTTCCACTAAACTTGGAAAATTGCCTCCCTGTATGAGGATGTGAGAAGGAGGAGGCACAGTGGAGTTGAACTGTAGATGGAGTTATTCTTAAGTAAGTCTGATGAAAATCACACTCCTTTTTTTCTTCCAGACTTTCAAATTGTAAAATAAAGGTGATAAAATGAGAGATTTAGGAATAGAAAATATATTCTTAAATAAGGACATGGGAAAAACAGGTTGAAATTAGTAAGAAACCTCTTATGGAATTACATTCAGTAGGACACAGACACGTTCAATACATTCATTTCATACATTCAAAGGGCATAGGAAAAACAGAATTCATTCATTCAGAATGGCACATTTGATAATGAAATTATTCAGGAGATAGAAATGCAGATTTTAGGCACCTGCTGCTTCAGAGCTGGCAAAACTGACACGCAAATAAGTAGATCCTGGATATTTAGAAGCAGAGGATATTGGAACTTAAAGATCATTATAATCAGAAATTCTTACATTTTGAGAGTGGGAAAAACCAGAGTTGAGGAGGGAACATACTTGTCCAAGTTCCACAAGTTGAGTTGGACTTACACCTGGATCTGTCTCCACTTCTCCTTGCACACCTGCTAGGGGCACGGGAAGGAGCCCAGCCCCTTTGTAGACAATGAGAATAAGCTTTCCCTTTCATGATTTTTTGGGATAAAACTAGGTGATCTAAATCTAGCTCTTGAAAGGGCTGTGGCTATGGTACTTGCATGGATTTGGGGATGGGTAGGAGGGACTGAGTGGAAGTCACCTTAGAATAATCTTTTTTAACCCTGCCCACAGTAAGAAACACATTTTAATTTATATTGTGACCCAGGAGAGGGATACATGCACATCTGAAGAAAAGTTCCATAAAATGATATCCTCTTTAAGGGCAGTGCATCCTCCTAATTCCTATTCTATTGTATTCCATTTTAAAAATGTGGGTCATGACTCTTTAATGACAGCCTGGATTAGGAAACCAATGGGTAGAAGCAGAGTTTGGTGAAATATCAGCAGTGCCCTATTTGGATCAGTTCTGTTTTTGCATGAAAAGTCTGTCTTCACTTGATGAAACCTGCAGGCAGTGCCCCCTGGAGAAGGGCCCACCAGGAAGGGGTGGAAGGCAGAGGTGGCATAGACTGACACCCAGAGATGACTTACTGGGGCATGGCCCTGTGGGGGGTGGACTTGAGCAGCTTCTTCCACCGATGGATAAATGCTAACTTGCATGCATCCTCCCGCATCACCTTCACTGTGTCCTCCGGGCTCCACCAGCCCAGAACATATCGTTCTCACCCATGAGTGCTGGCCTGAGTGCAGCCCAGGGCCCACCAAAAGGAACCCCCTTTAGTGTGGCATCTTGTGAAACCAGCCACAGACCCCCAAAAGCTGGCCACCACTGTCAGGGACGAGAACCTTCCAGTGTTTCTGCCCCTTGAGCGAATCTGCTTCTTCACCTTGTTCCTTTTTTTTTTTTTTTTTTTGAGATGGAGTCTCGCTCTGACGCCCAGGCTGGAATGCAGTGGCGCGATCTCGGCTCACTGCAACCTCCGCCTCCCAGGTTCACGCCATTCTCCTGCCTCAGCCTCCCGAGTAGCTGGGACTACAGACACCCGCCACCACGCCCGGCTAATTTTTTTGTATTTTTAGTAGAGACGGGGTTTCACCGTGTTAGCCAGGATGGTCTCGATCTCCTGACCTCGTGATCCACCCGCCTCGGCCTCCCAAAGTGCTGGGATTACAGGCGTGAGCCACCGCGCCCAGCTCACCTTGTTCATTTTTGCTTGTTCTTTAAAACTCCCTCAGAGGGAACTGACTTTTCTGTAATCATTTTTCTGCTGCCTTCTAATGGTGCCTTTTCCAGACAGTTGCGATGAGCCTGGGGGAGATGACGAATGGCCCTCTCAGGCCACATCTAGCCTGTTCCCCACCAAATGGGTCACTTGGGCCCTCCTTGCCCCCCACACCACTCCATGGCCAGCAGCCGGTGCCAGGTCCCTGACAAGGGTTCTGCTGAGTGGCAGCCATGGCCATGCCTGGGAGAGAAGATGGAGGTCTGGAGGTCTCCGGAAACCAAGAGACAGGTTTCCAGGAGAGCAGGCTGTCAAATGCCCAGTACCTTACCAGCATTACCCTGTCCCCGGTTCCTCTTTGGCCTTTGAGGATCTCTGCTGAGGGCATCCGAGGGCACCCCTCCATGTAGGCACCGAGAAGGGAAAACTTCATGATCTGTCTCCCTGATGCCAGGCACAGAGCCTGGCTGTCAGAACCAGTCCTCATAGGCCTTTGTGCAGGGGACTTTCATCACTTACAGACGAGGAGGAGGCTCCGAGAGGTTCAGGAGGCCCGGGCTGCACAGGTGATACATGCTCAGGGTGGGGTGCAACCTCATGGCAGAGCCTGTGCCCTTTCGGAACTTCACTCCAGTGCCCTGTTCCATACCCTCAGCAATGGAGACAACATCCTCTCAGCTGCTCTGGGCTCTTCCTGCTTCTCCAGCCCTGAGGGCCACTCTGCTCTGTGACCGTGGGGCCTGCCCTGGCACTCCTGGGCCACCCAACCATTCACTTTTGAGTGCAGGCGATAGCTTGTCTGTCTTGGTGGTGAGTTTTTGCAGGACACCACCTGTGTCTAACATGTTGTTTTAAAATGTGTTTTAATAGCTCAAATTATGTAATAGACAAAAGGATCATGTACTTAGAATTTTTTCAAATCCTAGAGAAGTATATAGAGTAACAAGTGATGGCTTGGGATACAAGTGATCAACCACTGTTAATGAATGAGTTTCCCTTCCACTTTCTCCGAAAGGGAGCATGGACTGAAGTTTCCCATCACAGAAGCCCCTGAAGGACTTCAGCTGCAGACAGATATTTCCTTCCTCTTCCCTCATCCTCTAATTACTGCATTTTGGGCAGCAGTGGTGGCAGCCGAATAAGGAAAGGGGTTTATGATGGGAGGGAGGGGGTGCTTCTGTGATGAAGTGGCTGCCGAGGCCACCAGCATGACCGAGGCTGACGGTACCAGCCCCACCAGCAGGTTTTCCATCCAGGGAGGCTGGTCACTGTGACTCAGCAGGAACAAGGGCCTGTGACCAGAGAGAGATCCATTTATATCCTGAGGGAGGGAGAGGAGGGGAATAGAGAAGCCTCCGGTCAGAGAGGAAAAAATGTACACCCTGTTTCTATAAGCCTCATGATGTGGTAGAGAACCGTTTCCTTCCTCTCAGTAGGAAGCAGTCTTTAGGGTTGGGATTTGGCGCAAGTGACTGACTCACCGTCACATGTCTGCACATTGGAAAATTTCTATCAATGGCCCTAGGGCACAGAGGTCCTATGTCACTGTCATGAAGACCGCAAAGGTAGCGACATCCAGGACTGTTGGCCAAATTGTCATTGGAGTCAGTTGAATGGGTTTGTTGGAATGGTGGTTCTCCAACGCACAGGCCCTACTGAATCAATTGAATCCATTTCTGGCCCTACAGACACTGTAAAATAAAAATAAAAGCAGGGCCATACATTGATAGCACTGTGGATTGGAAGTTGGCCGCAAAAGGAAGTCCCAGAGATCACAAGAAAGCCAGAGATAGGGCTTGAAAGGTTGTCTTTTTGGATGGCCTCCCTGTGGCCTCTCCCTGTATCCCACCTGCCTCCACCCCTCCTAGATAGGAGCACTCACCCTACCCCAGCTCAGCTGGCCATTTATCATCATCTTCTTTTTTTATTTAAAAGATCTCCCTTCTCTGGAAGATGATCCCACAGATAACCATTCCAGGGCTTACCCACTCTCAGGTCAGGAAATACTCCCTTGCCCCAAACCTGTACATAGCATGAGGGGTTTATTTAGATTTAAGCCCGTTTTCCTCTTGTTCTGGTCTCTTGGTGACGGAACAGCTATTCATGAGGACGTGCAATGGACATCTGTTCCATTGCTGAGATCCAGAAGAGTTTGTACCAGGGTCATTTTTTCCCTTCTTTCTCACATTGGAGAACCTCCCCTGAGGAAGGGCTGGAATCAGGGGTGGCAGGTGTCTCTACAGGTACTTAGTGTCCTTGGAAGCCCAGCGTGACCTTTGCTTCTCTATTTTGTCATTGTCCTGAGGAGCTACTCCACAGTCACTTCTGCACATCCCCCTGCACGTCTTCCTTTGTATGTCTACCTCTCTAACCCAAGTCTTGTCCATAAAGCTTATCCTTCCAGCTTTGCTGCAGTCCTGACGAGTGTGTCCTCTGCATCTCTGGAAACCACTCCATGGCCATTCTCTAGGTCCACAGCGCCACCTAGTGGCCAATATGGAGCACGCCAGCCCCTGCCTTCCTAGCAGTCCGCCTGAGTCTGTAGGAGTCGAGTTCTTTCTGACTTCCTGCTGGCTTAGTGACCCCATTAACCTGAGCTTCTTTCTCCTTTACAGGCGGCTATGAGAGGTTTTCCTCCGAGTACCCAGAATTCTGTTCTAAAACCAAGGCCCTGGCAGCCATCCCACCCCCGGTTCCCCCCAGTGCCACAGAGCCCTTGGACCTGGGCTGCAGCTCCTGTGGGACCCCACTACACGACCAGGTAGACTCGGGGGGCAGGGCTTGGAAGTGGGGGGCAGGAACAGCGTAGGGGCCAGTGGATGCCTTCTTTTCAGAGTTCTGACGGTGTTTTTTGTCTTTGCTTTTGAGACAGTCTTGCTCTGTCACCCAGGAGTGCAGTGGTGTGATCATAGCTTACTGCAGCCTCGAACTCCTGGGCTCAAGGGATCCTCCCTGGTAGCTGGGACTACAGGTGGCACTACCATGCCTGGCTAATTTTAAAAGGTTTTTGGTAGAGATGGGGGGGGGGGGTCTTGCTATGTTGCCCAGGCTGGTCTTGAACTCCTGGCCTCAAGTGATCCTCCTGCTTTGGCCTCCCAAAGTGTTGGGATCACAGGCGTGAGCCACTGCATCCAATCCTGAGATTTTTTTAAGTCTTTGAATGTTATGCCTCAATTTGGGGAGAATGCGGTGAACCCGGAGTATTGGGGTGGGATGTTAGGTAGGACCTATTTACTTCTTGGAAATCTTCCCCTTCCCTCTCTAAATATCCTCCTAAGAAAAAAGTCTAAAGACATGACTCCCTGGCTTGGCCTCTAACGTCGTGTCCGGACAAGTGAGGAGGCCTCCAGAAGCCCTGGGGGACCTGCTCTCTGGGAAGCTGAGGTCATTCTCCTCTGAAGTAGCAGGCCATGAAATACATCTCAGTCCCCGACAGGCAGGCTGCTCCCACGTATCAGCCGAATGAACATAGATGGTCACCCACCCTCCCTCCAAGAAAACCTGCTTGAGCCACTGTGTTTCTTATAAGCCCACCCTCCAGCCCTTTCAGTTAGATGGACTCTGCTGCCCACATCTCATGTGCTAAATTTAAGCCACTGTTGCCTCATTTTGCCAAGATCCTCTCTCTTGTCTGTGTGGCCATGAGGGCATCAGCTTATTTATTTGTTTATTTTTAGAGACAGAGTCTCACTCTGTTACCCAGGCTTGAGTCCTGTGGCGCAATCATAGCTCACTGCAGCTTCAAAGTCCTGGGCTCAAATGATCCTCCCATTTCAGCCTCCCAAGCAACTGAGACTACAGGTGTGCACCATCATGCCAGCTTCATTGTTTGAGAGATGAGGTCTCACTGTGTTGCCCATGCTGGTCTTGGAACTCCTGGCTCACATGATCCTGCCACCTCAGCCTCCTAAAGTGCTGAGATTACAGGTGTGAGCCACTGCACACCTGTTTTTGATATGCCCAGTGAATACATATCAAAACAAATAAGTATCTAAACCACACAGCAAATGGCTTGATGATTAGCAGATATAAACTCAGTGTCACAGATGGTGCCATAAGGCCGGCATTGTCCTGCCGCTTATTTTGCCATGGGGGAGGTGCAGGAGAGTCCCACAAGACTTTACCTGCCCTGGCCTCTCTGCTCACAAGTAGAGGGCAAAGGCTGGAGAAGTCCCACTGGGCCTATCACCCCTCCAAGAGTTCCAGGAGGCTACAGGGGGAGGCTGGGAGGGCCAGGCCCAGCAGGCATTCTCCCTGGGTTTGGAAAGGAAAGCTCTTCTCAGACAAGCTTCCACTCCCTGTGCCAAGCACTTTACCCTCATGTCATTCAGGGGCCTTTGTTTCCCTTTCTGTGCAGGGGGGTCCTGTGGAGATCCTTCCCTTCCTCTACCTCGGCAGTGCCTACCATGCTGCCCGGAGAGACATGCTGGACGCCCTGGGCATCACGGCTCTGTTGAATGTCTCCTCGGACTGCCCAAACCACTTTGAAGGACACTATCAGTACAAGTGCATCCCAGTGGAAGATAACCACAAGGCCGACATCAGCTCCTGGTTCATGGAAGCCATAGAGTACATCGGTAGGCTGGCCCTGCTCTGGGGTTCCTGGGTTTGAGGGCGGGTGGGAAGGATAAGGAACCCCTGTAAGCCTGGGTTGAAGGTGGACATTGGAGGCACTGAATCCAAGGGTCCCCATTCCCCCTCTTCCTCATTGGGAAGGCTTATACATTGGATGTTGGGTTGGGAGGGAGGAGGGAAGATGGACCTACACACAGGCTTAGCTTGCAGAGCCAGTCCCCTTCCCCTTGCATGGCTTCAGTGCCTAGATGGTAAGAGTTTTTGGACGGGGAGGAAGACACAAGGAGCATTGAGTCATAGTTTTTATTTTATTTCTATTTATTTATTTATTTTGAGACAGAGCCTTGCTCTGTTGCCCAGGCTGGAGTGCAGTGGCGCCATCTCAGCTCACTGCAACCTCCGCTTCTGGGGTGCAAGTGATTCTCCTGCCTCAGCCTCTGGAGTAGCTGGGACTACAAGTGCACCACCACGCCCAGCTAATTTTTGTATTTTTGTAGAGACAGTTTCATCATATTGCCCAGGCTAGTCTTGAACTCCTGAGCTCAAGTTATCCACCCTCCTTGGCCTCCCAAAGCGCTGGGATTACAGGAGTGAGCCACCACCCTGGACCCCACTGTTTTGTTTCTGCAAAGGGAAATCCTTGAACAGATAATAGGATTTAACCAGCTTCAGCATAGTGATTCGGGAAAATAGACCTCAGAATTGGGGGCATTCTAGAGACCTGCCTACATGGGTTTTCTTCCTCTCCAGTCCTTGGTCTAGCACGGCTAGTCCTTCCTTCAGAGCCCCCCGACCCCAGGGGCTGGCCGGTGCCCCTGGTCGGGGCTGGGGTCTGCAGAAACGTGCACTAACCTATTGAACCCTGTCCCCAGATGCCGTGAAGGACTGCCGTGGGCGCGTGCTGGTGCACTGCCAGGCGGGCATCTCGCGGTCGGCCACCATCTGCCTGGCCTACCTGATGATGAAGAAACGGGTGAGGCTGGAGGAGGCCTTCGAGTTCGTTAAGCAGCGCCGCAGCATCATCTCGCCCAACTTCAGCTTCATGGGGCAGCTGCTGCAGTTCGAGTCCCAGGTGCTGGCCACGTCCTGTGCTGCGGAGGCTGCTAGCCCCTCGGGACCCCTGCGGGAGCGGGGCAAGACCCCCGCCACCCCCACCTCGCAGTTCGTCTTCAGCTTTCCGGTCTCCGTGGGCGTGCACTCGGCCCCCAGCAGCCTGCCCTACCTGCACAGCCCCATCACCACCTCTCCCAGCTGTTAGAGCCGCCCTGGGGGCCCCAGAACCAGAGCTGGCTCCCAGCAAGGGTAGGACGGGCCGCATGCGGGCAGAAAGTTGGGACTGAGCAGCTGGGAGCAGGCGACCGAGCTCCTTCCCCATCATTTCTCCTTGGCCAACGACGAGGCCAGCCAGAATGGCAATAAGGACTCCGAATACATAATAAAAGCAAACAGAACACTCCAACTTAGAGCAATAACGGCTGCCGCAGCAGCCAGGGAAGACCTTGGTTTGGTTTATGTGTCAGTTTCACTTTTCCGATAGAAATTTCTTACCTCATTTTTTTAAGCAGTAAGGCTTGAAGTGATGAAACCCACAGATCCTAGCAAATGTGCCCAACCAGCTTTACTAAAGGGGGAGGAAGGGAGGGCAAAGGGATGAGAAGACAAGTTTCCCAGAAGTGCCTGGTTCTGTGTACTTGTCCCTTTGTTGTCGTTGTTGTAGTTAAAGGAATTTCATTTTTTAAAAGAAATCTTCGAAGGTGTGGTTTTCATTTCTCAGTCACCAACAGATGAATAATTATGCTTAATAATAAAGTATTTATTAAGACTTTCTTCAGAGTATGAAAGTACAAAAAGTCTAGTTACAGTGGATTTAGAATATATTTATGTTGATGTCAAACAGCTGAGCACCGTAGCATGCAGATGTCAAGGCAGTTAGGAAGTAAATGGTGTCTTGTAGATATGTGCAAGGTAGCATGATGAGCAACTTGAGTTTGTTGCCACTGAGAAGCAGGCGGGTTGGGTGGGAGGAGGAAGAAAGGGAAGAATTAGGTTTGAATTGCTTTTTAAAAAAAAAAGAAAAGAAAAAGACAGCATCTCACTATGTTGCCAAGGCTCATCTTGAGAAGCAGGCGGGTTGGGTGGGAGGAGGAAGAAAGGGAAGAATTAGGTTTGAATTGCTTTTTTAAAAAAAAAGAAAAGAAAAAAAAAGACAGCATCTCACTATGTTGCCAAGGCTCATCTCAAGCTCTTGGGCTCAAGAGATCCTCCCACCTCGGCCTCCTGAGTAGCTGGGACTGCAGGTGTGTGTCATCATGACCAATGTGAATTGCTTTTGAAGCTGGTTCATGGGCATGTAGGCCACCGAAGCAATTTTAGACCACAGTAAGTCAAGCTTTTTTCCCTCCGATGATCACTGGGTGGTTGCAGCATTTTTTGCATAAACCTGCCTAAGACTTGTCTATCGTCTGTGATCAATATGCCATATTACACTAAGGTGCTCCTGGAAAATTGGGTGCAGTTCAAATTTTCCTACAGCAAATCATTTGGCAAGGCCAGCCATTGGGGAAACCAGACAACTAGAGATAACCCTGAAATGAATCCTTTTGTAAATTGAAGCACCATCTTTTCTTTTTTTGCATAAATTGGAGGTTTTAATTTTAGGGCAGTTACCTGAAGTGAAATATACCAACAATTTCTTGTGTTCTTTAAATTCCTAGTTAGGTGAATATTTTTGAAGGTCCTCTTTTGAATAAAGAGGGGAATGGACACCACATTTCAGGTCTTCTCGAAGTGTGGAAGGGCAAGAGAGCATCAGTGAGCTGATGGTGGATTGCTTACATCGGATTCCATTGGTATGAATTTCCCAAACTGGAAATCAAAGCGCCAGGGTGGGGTTGGGGCTGACTGCTGGTGAGGGGGCTGGCCGCTGGCTCCCGTGACGTGCGTCATGGGCACGCAGGCGCCATTTTGAATCTATCGTCGGCACGTGGGTGCCATTTTGAATCCTTAGTTGGGCCTTTCTAAATGGAGAATGGCTTTGGAGGGAGACACGTTTTCTGTGGGGAGGGTTTGGGGGGGAGGGAGGAGGGAACAAGCTACATGCTATTTTGTTTGTAGTATTGTGGAACAGTCTTGTTATGGAGTGCCAGCTTAGAGGTTGTTGCAAACTTGTCTAGAAGTGAGAGCATGGTTTTTTTTAGCCCTTTGAGAGTCTACATCTAATGAACATTCTTGCTCACCCATAAATAACGTCAAGCCTCAATGTCACCGTCACGTTGGGATACTCTTTCTCATCTGGCATCCTAGACAGGACAAGGTTGGTTACCTTTCCTTCCATGAACCATGAACCTGTGACGGCATCATTCATCCTGACTTCACCAAGCTCCGCCTGTGGGTGAGGCCAGAGCTCCCACTGGCAATTTTTAGAAGAGCCAGAGGCTCCCTGCTTCCTCTAGAAATAACAGTTCAGGGTGAAGCATGGAGGGTTTCAGTTCCCAGACAATGGAACCATTTAGAGACAACACAGTTGGACATTTCCACTTTTTCCTTGATTCCTGGAAGTCCAGTGGGTTCTGCAGCTGAAAAAGCCCTGGGTCCCAGCAGCAGAGAGACAGGACAGAGGGGATGCTTGGGCGGGGAGGGACGGTAACCTGCAGAACAGATTCCATTTTTATAGAACGAGTACACGTTTGCTAAAACAGTCCTGCTTTCCCAGACTGGATTCCCACCACAGGGACAGTCGGAACTCAGGACTAGCTCCAGCGACATCTTTCCTCCGAATTCAAGCCTTCTATCACAATGTCAAAACAGCTATTTATAAAGCCATTTTCATTGTACTTGATAACAGCACGAGTCCCAAAACTTTTAGAAATAAAATAGGACATTGGCTTGATTGAAAAGAGGGACTTTTTAAAAATTGTTCTTTCGTCAGAAGCCTTTTGGATGACTTACAATAGCTCTGATGAAGATACCACCCCAGCGTCAGTCCAATAGGTCAGTGAGTTTCAACAGGCATCCATCCCTCCCATGAAGGGATTCTGGTGATGGGAAGTTTCTGTAATGACAGGAAAGCATTGACCCTCATTGATTGTCAACTTTGGTATTAGCCATGAAAGACAGGATGCTCATTGGGTGTTCTGTAGAGTGAGGAATGCTGCCTATTCCCTCCCAGAACGTCTGACCCAGGGGTGTGTGTTGAGGAGCCCTGGGGGAAATGGACCAAGTTTTCCCACAGAGCAGTATTAGGCTGAAGAGCAGGTGACTGGTAGGCCCCAGCTCCCATCATTCCCTCCCAAAGCCATTTTGTTCAGTTGCTCATCCACGCTGGATTCCAGAGAGTTTTCCAATTTGGGAAGCCATGAGAAAGGTTTTTAAATCTTGGGAAGATGGAGAGAGGGACATAGGATAGTTGACTCCAACATGACAGGAAGAGGCTGGAGATTGGGAATTGGCCATCAACCAAGCCTGTAGTAGTAAAGCCATGGTCCCGCATTGGAATTACTTGGGGAACTTATACAGTTCTGATACCCAGGCTCTCCTAGACCAGTTCAACCAATTCTAGGTGGGGGACTCAGGCATCAGTGTGTTTCGTAGCTCCCCGGGTGTTTTCCCTGTGCAGCCGAGCTTGGGAAACTGCCATGCTTTTTGGATGTCAAGGCGCTGTTGGAGGCTGGGTGTGACAGCACAGAGCCAGGTTGTCTTGTGGAAACCACAGCCACGGGTTTGCCACTGGCTCAGCATGGCCTCACTGCCAGTCCCAGCCTGGCTGAGGGACAAGATGGTTTCTCTTGGGAGTTCCTGAGTGGAGCACCCTTCCAGGCTTTTTGAAAGCCAGCTGATCTGTGGAGCCTTGTTAAGGGACTCAATACGGTGTTTGGATATTGATGTTTTTCCTTGAGACTGTCTTGTCCATCAATAAAGATGGAGGATGTCTCCTCTTTGAACCCCGCTTCCCCACCAGTACTCTCTCTCCCTTAGAGTTTATGAGTTATTCAAGGAGGAGACTTCTTAAAGACAGCAACGCAATTCTTGTAACTTGTGTAAATAGCCCCATCTTTCAGAGTGATACCATTTCTACATTTGATAATGCCTGTATTCCTGTAGGATGTATATAGTTTAGGGGATTTTTTTTTTGTTTGGTTTTGTTTTTTAGAAGTCAATATGTCTGGTTTTATTTATTGCTTGAAAAAGATCATTTGAAAAAAATAAATACATTTTCAACCACTTCTGGCTTGGTTAGACCTTTCCTTGAAAACTGTTCTGCTGTTATGACTTGGAAGGGGAGGAAAGAACCGCTGGGTCAGTTAATAATCTTGCCCACTTAATAGCGCAGTGGAGATGGAGTCCATTTGTTTACCTTCTTTTCTTTTCTTTTTTTTTCTTTTCTTCATGGAGCCCTTTTCTTTTCTTTCTTTCTTTCTTCTTTCTCTTTCCTTCTCTCTGTGTCTCTTTCCTTTTCTTCTTTTCTTTTCTTTTTTTCTTAGACAAGGTCTCA
The DNA here is from genome assembly GCF_000001405.40 of Homo sapiens. Classification (NCBI taxonomy): domain Eukaryota; kingdom Metazoa; phylum Chordata; class Mammalia; order Primates; family Hominidae; genus Homo; species Homo sapiens. Next base: position 29,332,792 of record NC_000008.11, on the reverse strand, counting down.
CTGTGTCCCCCAGGCTGGAATGCAGTGGCACAATTGTAGCTCACGGCAACCTTGAACTCCTGGGCTCAAGCAATCCTCCTGCCTCAGCCTGCCGAGTAGCTGGGATTATGAGTGCACACCATCACACCAGACTAATTTTTTTTTGAGGTAGGGTCTCACTCTGTCGCCCAAACTGGAGTGCAGTGGCGCAATCTCGATTCACCACAACCTCTGCCTCCCAGGCTCAAGCAATTCTCCTGCCTCAGCCTCCTGAGTAGCTAGGATTATAGGCACGTGCCATTACTGCCTGGCTGATTTTTTGTTTTTGTTTTTTGTCTTTTTGAGACGGAGTTTTGCTCTTGTTGCCCAGACTGGAGTGCAATGGCACGATCTCGGCTCACTACAACCTCCACATCCCAGGTTCAAGTGATTTTCCTGCCTCAGCCTCTGGAATAGCTGGGATTACAGGCATGTACCACCACACCTGGCTAATTTTGTATTTTTAGTAGAAATGGGGTTTCTCCATGTTGGTCAGGCTGGTCTTCAACTCCTGACCTCAGGTGATCTGCCTGTCTCGGCCTCCCAAAGTGCTGGGATTACAGGCGTAAGCCACCGAGCCCAGCCTCCACCTGGGTAATTTTTAGTAGAGATGGGGTTTCACCATGTTGGCCAGGCTGGTCTCGAACTCCTGACTTCAAATGATCCACTCATCTCGGCCTCCCAAAGTGCTGGGATTACAGGTATGAGGCACCACACCCAGTATTTTTTTTTTTAAGAGACATGGTCTCCCTATGTTGCCCAGGCTGGTCTTGAACTGAGCTCAAGCCATCCTCCTGCCTCAGCCTTGCCACCACACCTGGCATGAACCCTTTTGCTCCCTGAACACTCTTCAAAGCAGGCGAGAGGAGAAGGCTGATACTCATCTCTAAGAGCCTGATTTCTCCACGCCATTCTCCAGTAGCAGAGAGACAAGGAAGAAGTAAATGATGAGAGATAGCACTTCCTCTTAGCCTCTGCTGTGTGTCATCACTTAGGCCTTTAAGACTGACCTCTCCTGGCCGGGCGCAGTGGCTCACACCTGTAATCCCAACACTTTGGGAGGCCGAGGCGGGCAGATCACGAGGTCAGGAGATTGAGACCATCCTGGCCAACATGGTACACGGTGAAACCCCATCTCTACTAAAAAAAAAAAAATACAAAAAATTAGCCAGGCGTGGTGGCAGGCACCTGTAGTCCCAGCTACTCGGGAGGCCGAGGCAGGAGAATGGCGTGAACTCGGGAGGTGGAGCTTGCAGTGAGCCGAGATCATGCCACTGCACTCCAACCTGGGTGACAGAGCGAGACTGTGTCTCAAAAAAAAAAAAAAAAAAAAAAAAAAGATTGACCTCTCCCACTGAGGAGCCATCATTATATCCTGTACTTCGTTGTAATAGAAGAATGCAAAAGGAATGACCACTCCTGGAACACCCCTCCCCATTGGGGAGGAGGTCCAGCCTGTCTCAGAGAATCTGAAGAAATTTTACTGACCTCTTATTCCACTGGGATCATGAAAATGAGGGCTATGTATCAAGGCCAGGTTGAAGAAGTAAGCTGATAAAGGTGGTGTCATATGTCAGTGGTACCCCTGGTGCTGATTGTGGGTTGCTTGTATCAGATTTCATTGGTATGAGTTGCCAAACTGGAAATGAAAGGCATTAGTAAACATGCATTCCCACCGTATCTGACAATTTAACAGTATTGTGGAAGCACTGGCCAATGTAATTAGCAAGGGAGAGAAATGAAGTATACAATTTGGAAAGTGGGAGGTCAAATGATTTTCAGATGATGTGTATTAAACAAAAGAGAATCAACTGAGAAACCATCAGAGATAAGGTAATTCAGTAAGTGGTTGATTACAAAGTAAACATAAAAAACAGCTTTCCTATAGGAAATATCAATTAAAAATTAACTAGAAGTGGTAGAAAATCCCATTTGCAATCATTGCTTAACACACCTATGATAGACCTTAACAGAAATAGGTAGGATGTATATGATGGACATGGTATAGCCCTGCCAAGGGACATGTAGAGACACTTGGAGAAAGCGGAACATACAGATGGTCCCCAATTTACCAGGGTTTGACTTTACGGTGGTGGAGAAGTCATATGCATTCAGTAGAAACTATTGAAAAAGGAAAATAAATCTCAGGACCCCCAAACCACTAAGCCAAATGGAACTCACTAATAAATCTTGGGACCCCAAATATCACTAGGCCACAAGGAAATTCCTTGTGAACAAAGAACAGACAGAACTCAAAGTCCTCTCTTTGCTCACCATGAGACAAATGCTTATCTGATTGCTTCCTTTGCCATATTGTTTCACTAAGAGACTAAGGCCTAAGTGACTATTCCTGTAAATTGTGTTTTCAGTGGAAGGCTTATCAGAAACTCAAAAGAATGCAACGTTTGTCTCTCATCTACCTATGACCTGGATGCCCCCATCCCCACTTTGGGTCATCCCACCTTTCCAGATCGAACCAATGTACACCTTACATATATTTGTTGATGTCTCATGTCTCCCTACAATGTATAGAACCACCATCAGGACCTCCTGAGGCTGTGTCACAGACACATTCTTAACCTTGGCAAAATAAACTTTCTGAATTGACTGAGACCTGTCTCAGTTATTTTGGGTTCACACCGCACTACCCATACAGGCATCCTGACTTTCAATTTCAGTATAGTACCCTTTAAATTACATGAGATATTCAACACTTTGTTATAAAATCGGCTCTGTTGGATGATTTAGCCAATTGCAGGCTAATATGTCTTCTGAGCACATTTAAGGTGGGCAGAACTAAACTATGATGTTCGGTACCTTAGGTGTATTAAGTGCATTTTAACTTAACGATATTTTCAATTTACAATGGATTTATCGGGATGTAATCCCATCATAAATCAAGGAGCATCTGAACTGTATTCTAGGATAAGAACACCAGTATTGAATCGTATGATTTCTTCATAAATTAACCTATACAGTTAATGGGATCGCAATCAAAAGAGCGACAAGATTTTGGGAGGAACATGGCAAAGTGATCTTGAATTCACTGGAGAAATAAATATTCAGGAAAACTTTGAAAAAAAATAACAGAAGGGAATCCCATGGTGGAGGGAGAAAAAATTTATGTCCTTTTGAATTGTCCATTTACTACTATTGTGACACAAGTAGTTTAGCATTTCTACAGGAGATTATTCTTAAAATAAACATTCCTGGGCCCACCTAAGACTTAAAGACTCTACAAATTCCCACAAGATTCTGATTTACAAGCCAATTTAGGAATGTCTGACACAGGTTTCTCCTCTTCCATTCCGTTTCATTCAGTCCCCTCCTAGCATAACAGCCCACAAACCATAATGCTTTCGATTACTATCTCTGTATAACAATTTACCCAAGAACTTAGTTTTGTAAACTAACAACCATTTGTTTTGCTCACACATTTGTTAATTAGGAGCCCGAGAAAGGCTCTGTGGGCATTTCTTACTTGAGGGTCTCTTGCGTGGTTGCAGATGGATGTTTGCTGGGGCTATCCTTACTTGAAGGTTTGGTTGGGCTGGCCATCTACAATGGCTCGCTTACAAATGACTGTTGATGTCGGTCATCAGCAGGGAGTTCAATTGTGACTGTTGACTTGAGTGCCTATAAGTACTCTCTCCATCATGGTGGTTCCGGAATAGTCAGACTTCTTACATGACAGATCAGAGCATGAGTGTTCCAGTGAACAGGATGGAAGCTACCCGCCTTTTATGATCTAGTTGCAGAAATCTCAGCACATCACTTCATCTCTACTAATTGGTTTCAAGCCTGCTCAGATCCAAGGGAGGGGAGACAGACCCTGCCACTTGATGGGAAGAGTGTCAAAATCTTTGTGTAGCCATTTTTTAAAAACCACCACTCCAATAAACAGATAGTTATCTAAAAAACCTGAAAATGCAAGTTTCACCACTAATCCAGAAACATTTGTCAGCTAACATAACACATACTGGATATTAGTAGTAATATCGGTGATAACATGAATAATATCAAAGTGTGTTAACACTGGACATCAATAGTAATATTGGCGATATTGTGAATAATATCACAGTTTGTTTAATATCACAGTGTGTTAACACTGGACATCAGTAGTAATATCGGTGATATTGTGAATAATATCACAGTGTGTTTAATATCACAGTTTGTTAACACTGGACATCAGTAGTAATATCGGTGATATTGTGAATAATATCACTGTTTAATATCACAGTGTGTTACCACTGGACATCAGTAGTAATAGCGGTGATATTGTGAGTAATATCACAGTTTGTTTAATATCACAGTGTGTTAACATTGGACATCGGAAGTAATATCAGTGATATTGTGAATAATATCACAGTGTATTTAATATCACAGTTTGTTAACACTGGACATCGGTAGTAATATCGGTGATATTGTGAATAATATCACACTGTTTAATATTACAGTGTGTTAACACTGGACATCAGTAGTAATATTGGTGATACTGTGAATAATCACACTTTAATATTACAGTGTGTTAACACTGGATATTAGTAGTAATATCCATATTTCATTAAAATCACAATGTGTAAACACTGGATATTACAAATATCACAGCGATATTTTATTAGTATTACAGTGTGTAAACACTGGATATTATAAATATCAGGGTGATATTTCATTAATATCACAGTGTGTAAACACTGGATATTACAAATATCAAGGTGATATTTCATTAATATCACAGTGTGTAAAAACTGCATTTTATAAATGTCAGGGTGATATTTCATTAATATCACAGTGTGTACACACTTGATATTATAAATATCAGGGCTATATTTCATTAATATCTCAGTGTGTAAACACTGGATATTGTAAATAGGGTAATATTTCATTAATATTACAGTGTGTACACACTGGATATTATAAATAACAAAGTGATATGTCATTAATATTACTGTGTAAAGACTGTGTTTAAACACTGGATAATGTAAATATCAGAGTGATATTTAATATCACAGTGTGTAAACACTGGATATCATAAATAGGGCAATATTTCATTAATATCACAGTATGTAAATACTGGACAGTGTAAGTATCAGAGCAATATTTTATTAATATCACATTGTGTAAGCACTGTGTGTAAACAGTGGATATTATAATTATAAGAGCAATAATTCATTACTATCACAGTGTGTAAACACTGGATATTATAAATGTCAGAGTGATATTTCATTAATATCACACTGTGTAAGAACTGTGTGTAAACACTGGCTATTATACATGTCAGAGCAATATTTAATATCAGTGTGTAAACACTGTGTAAACAAAGGATATGATAAATATTAGATCGACATATTAATATCACACTGTGTAAACATGCTGTGTAAACACTGGATATTACAAATATCGGGGATATTTCATTAATGTCACAGTGTGTAAACACTGCATGCAAACATTGAATATTATAAATATCAGAGCAATATTTCATTAAAATCAGTGTGTAAACACTGAATATTATAAACATCAGAGCAATAATTCATTAATATAACAGTGTGTAAACACTGGATATTACAAATATCAGAGCAATGTTTCATTAATATCACAGTGCGTAAACATTCTGTGTAAACACTGGATATTATGAATATCAGAGCAATATTCAATTAATATCACAGTGTGTAAACACGAGACATTATAAATATCAGGGTGATATTTCATTAATATCACTGTGTAAACACTGTCTGTAAACACTGGATATTATAAATATCAGAGCGATATTTCATTATTATCACAGTATGTAAAAAGTATGGGGAAACTGGATATTACAAATATCACAGCAATATTTCATTAATATCCCAGTGTGTTTACACTAAATATTATAAATATCACAGCAATATTTTGTTGATATCTTACCGTGTAAACACTGTTAACACTGGATATTATAAATATCAGAGATTTTTCATTAATATCACAGTGTGTGAACACTGCATATTACAAATATTAGAGGGATATTGCTGTTTATAATATCTTTGATGATATTACTGCTAATGTCACAGTAGGTGTACACCCTATGATACTAAAAATAATATCTTCAATGATATTACTGCTAATATCACAGTGGGAATACACCTCGTGTGTACACTTTGTGATACTGTTCATAATATCCATGATATTACTGCTGATGTCACAGTGGGTATACACCCTGGGTGTATATCATGTAATACAGGAGTAACAGTGGGGTACACCCTGTAATATTATTAATAATATCTTCAATATCACTGCTAATATCATATTGGGGGTACACACTCTGATATTATTCACTATATCTATCAAGGATATTACTGCAAATATCACAGTGGGGATACAACATGTGTGTAAACCCCGTGATATCATTCATAATATCTTTAACATTACTACTATCTTCGATATTACTGCAATATCACAGTGGCATTATTATGTGATATTATCCAAAATATCTTTGATATTACTGCTAATATCACAGTGAATGTACACCCTGTGATATTATTCATAATATTGTCAATATTACTGCAAATATCACAGTGGGTGTGCACACCCTGTGTGTACTTTTAATATCACAGTGGGTTTTCCTCATGTGTGTACACCTTGTGATATTATTCATAATATCTTAGGGAGATATTACTCTTAATATCACAGTGGGTGTACACTCTGTGATATTAGGAGTAATATTTCCCTAGAATGTACACCTGATATACATGCACTGTGATATTAGGCATAATATCTGCCTAGAATATTACCAGTAATATCACAGGGTGTACACACACTGTAATATGAGGAGTAATATCTTTCTAGGAATATTATGAGTAATATCACAGGCTGTACACTCACTGTGATATTAGGAGTAACATCTTTGTAAGATATTACAAGTAATATTACAGGGTGCACACACAAGGTGTACACCAACTCTGATATTAAAAGTATTATCTCCCTAGGATATTATGAGTAATATTACAGGATGTACACCCACAGTGATACTAGGAGTAATAGCTCCCTAGGATATCATGAGTAATATCACAGGGAGTACACACATGATGTAAAAACACTGTGATACTAGGAGTAACATCTCCCTAGGATATTATGAGTAATATCACAGGGTGTACACCCACTGTGATATTAAAAGTAATATCTCCCTGTGATATTGTGAGTCATATTACAAGTTGTACAAACATGGTGTACACCCCCATGATACTAGGAGTAAAATCTCCCCAAGATACCACAAAAAATATTACAAGGTGTACACCTACTGTGATATTAAAAGTAATATCTCCCCAGGATACTACAAATAATAACACAGGGGTGTACACCCACTGTGATATCAGGAGTAATATCTCCCCAGGATACTATGAATAATACAAAATGGCATACACCCACTGTGATATTAGGAGTAATATCTCCCCAGGATACTACAAATAATATCAAAGGGTGTACACCCACTGTGATATTAGGACTATTATCTACTTAGGATATTATGAATAATATCAGAGTGTGTACACCCACTGTCACTGTGATATTAGGAGTAATATCTTCCTAGAATACTATGAGTAATATCACAGTGTGTACACCCACTGTGATATTACTCATAATATCTCCCTAGGACACTATGAATAATATCACAGGTTGTACACTTAAGGTGTACACCCACCATGATACTAGAAGTAATATCTCTTCAAAATACTACTAATAATTTCACAATTTGTACACACAGGGTGTACACTCACTGTGATATTAGAAGTCGTATCTCTTCAGGATACTATGAATAATGTCATAGTACACATTGTGTACACTCACTTTGATATTAGGATTAATACCTCCCTAGGATATTATGAGTAATATCACAAGGTTTACACACATGGTGTACACTGTGATATTAGGAGACATATCTCCCTAAAATGTATGCGTACACCCACTGTGATAGTAGGTGTAATATCTCCGTACTATATTATGAGTAATATCACTGTGGGTGTACATGACTGGTGTACACCCACAGTGATATTAGGAGTAATAACTCCCTTGGATATTATGTGTAATATCACAGGGAGTACACAAATGGTGTACACCCACTGGGATATTAAGAGTAGTCTCTCTCTATGATATTACAAGTAATATCACAGTGGGTGTACACAGCTGTAATACTTGTAATATTACAAGTAATATTACAGGTTATACACACATTGTGTACACCCACTGTGATATTAGAAGTAATATCTACCTAGAATATTATGATTAATAACACCCTGTGTACATACACTTTGATATTAGGAGTAATATCTCCCTAGGATGTTACAAGTAATAAAACAGGATGTACACCCACTGTGATACTAACAGTAATATTTCTTAAGAATATTACAAGTAATATCACAGGGTGCACACCCACTGTGATATTAGGAGCAATATCTTCATAAAATATTACGAGTAATATCATAGGGTTTACACACTTTGTGCACACCCACTATGATATTACTCGTAATATGTCATTAGAAAATTACTCCTAACATCACAGGTTGTATACACGTGGTGTACACCCACTGTGATATTAAGAGTAATATCTCCCTAGTGTGTTACTAGTAATATCACAGGATGTACATCTACTGACATATTAAGAGCAATATTTCCCTAGGATATTATGAGTAATATAACATCCACTATGGTATTAGGAGTGATATATTCCTAGTATTACAGGTACTATCTCCCTGTAATATTAAGAGTAAGATCACTGGGTGTAAACACATGGTGTACACCCACTGTGATATTAGGAGTAATATCTCCCTAGGATATTACGAGGAATATCACAGGGTATACACACATGGTGCACCTCCACTATGATTATGGTAGAAATATCTTCCTAGGATATTACAAGTAATATCACAGAGTGCATAAACATAGTGTACATCCACTGTGATATTAGGAGAAATAGCTCCCTAATACATTACGAGTAACATTACATGGTGTACACACACTGTGATATTAGGAGTAACATCTCCCTAGGATAGTACATGTAATGCCACATGGAATATACACATGTTGTACACCTACCGTGATATTAGGAGTAATATCTCCCTAGGATATTGTGAGAAATTTCACAGGGTGCATGCACACGGTGTACTCCCACCGTTTTATTAGAAGCAAAATCTCCAGAGGATATTATGTATATCAGAGGGAATACACACATGTTGTACACCCACTGTGATATTAGGAGTAACATCTCCCTAGGATACTGCGAGAAATTTCACAGGGTGCATGCACAGGGTATACTTCCACTGTTTTATTAGGAGCAAAATCTCCAGAGGATATTATGTGTAATATCAGAGGGAATACACACACGTTGTACACCCACTGTGATATTAGGAGTAATATCTCCCTAGGATAGTACATGTAATATCACATGGAATACACACATGTTGTACACCCACTGTGATATTAGGAGTAATATCTCCCTAGTGTATTACAAGTAATATCACAGTGGGTGTACATTATGTGTGTACACCCACTGTGATATTAAAAGTAACATCTCCCTAGAATTTTATCAGTAATATCACAGGGTGTACACCCTCTATGATATTAGCAGTAATATGTTTTTAGAATATTACTTGAAATAATACAGGGTGTACACACATTTTATACACCCACTGTAATATTATAAGTAATATCTCTTTAGGACATTGACTAATATCACAGAATGTACACCCACTGTGGTATTTGAAGTAATGTGTTGTTGGTTATAATGAGTAATTTCACAGGGTGTGCAACCACTGTGATATTAAGAGTATTATCTGCATAGGACGTTGGGAGTAATATCACAGGGTGTACACATGTGGTGTACACCCACTCTGATTTTAGAAGTAATATCTCCTTAGGGTATTATGAGTAATATCACAGGGTGTACACACATGGTGGATGCCCACTGTGATATTAGGAGCAATATCTCCTTACTATATTATGAGTAATATTACATAGTGTACACACATGGTGTACACCCACTGTGATATTAGGAGTAATATCTTCCAAGTATATTAAGAGTAGCTTCACAGGGTGTACACACATGGTGTAAACCCATTATGATAATAGGAGTAATACCTGTCTAGTATATTATGAGTCATATCACAGGGTATACACACATGGTGTACACCAACTGTGAAATTAGGAGTAATATATCCGTAAGATATTATGAGTAATATTACAGGGTGAACACCCACTGTGATATTAAAAGTAATATCTCCCTATGATATTACTGGTAATATCACACCATGTTCACCCACTATGATATTAGGAGTAATATTTTCCTAGAATATTACTAGTAGTAGTATCACAGGGTGTACACCCACTGTGATATTGTGAGTAATATCTCCTTAGGATATTATGTGTACCACGTGTGTACACCCTCTGTGATATTAGGGGTAATATCTCCCTAGGATGTTATGAGTATTATCATGGGGTGTGCACACATTGTGGACACACACTGTGATATTAGGAGTAATATCTCTCTAGGATATTATGAGTAATATCACAGGATGTAAGCCCATGATATACACCCACTGTAATATTAGGAGTAATATCTCGCTAACATATTATAAGTAATATTACAAGGTGTACGCACATGGTGTACACCCACTGTGATATTAGGAACAATGTCTTTATAGGATATTACATGTAATATCACAGGGAATACACACATGTCATACACCCACTGAGATATTAGGAGTAATATTTCCCTAGGGTATTATGAGTAATATCACAGGGTTTACACACATGGTGTACACCCATCGTGATGAGTCGTATCTCCTTAGGATATTATGAGTAATATCACGGTGTGTGTACACACATCGTGTACACACACTGTGATATAAACAGTAATATCTCTCTAGAATATTATAAGCAATATCATAGGGTTTACACCCACTGTGATATTAGGAGTAATCTCTCTCTAGGATATTATGCATAATATCACAGGGTGTACAAACATGGTGTACACACTCTGTGATATTAGGAGTAATATCTCCCTAGAATATTACAATTAATATCACCAGGTGAACACTTACTATGATATTAGGAATAATATCTTCCTAGGATATTATGAGTAATATCACATTTAATACATACATGGTGTACACCCACTGTGATATTAAAAGTAAAATCTCCTCAGGATATTACAAGTAATATCATACAGTGTACACCTACTTTGATATTAGGAGACATATCTTCCCAGGATATTATGAGTAATATCACAGGGTGTACACACATGTTCTACATCCACTGTGATATTAGGTGTAATATTTCCCTAGGATATTACGAGTAATATCACAGGGTGTAAACACATGGTGTACACCCACTGTGTTATTAGGAGTTATATCTCCCTAGGATATTCCAAGTAATATTACAGGGTGTATACACATTGTGTACATTCACTCTGATTTAGGAGAAATATCTCCCTAGGGTATTACGAGTACTTTTACAGGGTATACACCCAATGTGATATTAGGAGTATGTCTTCCTAGGATATTACATGTAGTATCAACGGGTGTATGCCCACTGCGATATTACGAGTAATATCTCCCTAGGATATTATGAGTAATATCGCAGGGTGTACACCAACTGTGATATTAGGAATAATATCTATCTTGGATATTATGAGTAATATCACAGGGTGTACACCAACTGTGATATTAGGAGTAATATCTATCTTGGATATTATGAGTAATATCACAGGGTGTACACCAACTGTGATATTAGGAGTAATATCTATCTTGGATATTATGAGTAATATCACAGTGTGTACATCCACTGTGATATTAGGAGTAATATCTCCCGAGGATATTAGAAGTAATATTATAGGGTGTCCACCCACTTTGATATTACCAGCAATATCTCCCTAGGACTTTAGGAGTAATATCACAGGGTGTACAGCCACTGTGATATTTGGCATCATATGTTTCTAGGACATTACATGTAATATCACAGAACATATAACCACTGTGATATTACTCATAATATCTGCCTAGGATATAACGAGTAATATTACAGTGTATACACATATGGTGTATGCCCACTATGATATTAGGAGTAATGCAAAGCTTATAGCTTGCAGTGAACGCTAAGAATGAGTTCTCAGACAGTTCCAGCTGAGCGGGGTGGGGGTCGGGGTGACAGCTCTTCTGAGAGAGTGCTACTCCAGCATCGGTCCTCTAAGTATTGAAAGGACTTGTTAAACCACAAACATCCACTAGATGGCCATTTGAGGTCGGTTACTTTAGGCACTTACGGCGTTGTAAAACACTCAAACCGCATTCTCAGGAGGCTGTTTTCAGCGTTCCTTATTACACACTCCACCCCTTGTCCTGTTTTCAGGGTCAAGGAGTTACATTCTTATGCAAAAATAACATACACACAGTGCCTCAGTATTTTTCCATGCCCCGACCTCAAATGCCATGTACGTAAGCTTGAATACGTTGATGTGCACCCCGCCACATCTCCCCCTTCTTCAATTCTTAGAGCGTGCTGGTCATCCAATGCAAGGTAAGGTTCTATCATTCTTCCCTGTTCATAGATGTGCCGGGTGGCAGCACAGAGCCATCTGCAGACACCTAGCAAACAGACACAAAAAAGAGTAAGTATAGCGGCCAACACCCAAATGTGTATGTATTGTTGTACCTGAGCGAGTTAGAGAAAACGCCACACTTGGAGACGAATTAAGAGTCCGTTTATTTAGCCAGCGGCCAAGAGACGGCTAACGCTCAAAGTGCTCTTGGCCCCGAAGAAGGAGCTAGATTTTCTTTTATACTTTGGTTTAGAAAGGGGAGGGGGGGGTCTAGTTAAAACAATTTTACAGAAGTAAAGTAGGCAAAAAGTTAAAAGGATAAGTGGTTACAGGAAAGTAAACAGTTCCAGGTGCAGGGGCTTTAAGACTATTACAAGGTGATAGACCCGGGGCTTTGGGCGTTATCAATCGGACGAATTCCTGGGAACTGTGGATATAGCTTGCCACAGTATCTTATCAGTTAATTGCATTCTTGAATGTGCTGGGAGTCAGCTTGCACAAGGTAAGTCCTTGAGGAAGGGGCTGCCAGTGTAAGAGCCAAGATGGAGTCTGTCTGGCTCTCTTAGCTAAGGGAGAGTCAATTCAGGTGGAAACAAGGCTAGGTGATTAAAGGAAAGGGAGAGTCTAAAAACAGGGTTAGTAAAAACCAGGTTGGGCATTACAGTATCACCCAGACAACCAAGTGTTCATGTTTAACCACAAAGCCCTCTTGTAATTGCTGAAGGGTATTTGCTTGTAATTGCTGCGACCATTCTTCAAGTTGTTTCTTTAACTCACATTCAAGAGTAGAAATTTGAGAAGAAATACGGTTGTGATAAGCCCCTTGCAGGTGTGCTTTCACTCTCTCCCAAGCATATTGGGAGCTATTATATGGCAGAGGTGTGACACAGATAGGATTATATTGCCAATCACAATGTAAATTTTGATGGGTAATGAATGCCTGCTGCTGACCCCCCAGCCATTCAACTGCGGCTTCAAGAGCCTCCAGGTGAGACAGAATAGTTTTATCAATATTTACCTGTTCCTGAAATTCATGGGTTACATTATATACCATGTGGTTCACCACTGAGGCTATGTGAATAGATCCTGTTAGAGAGACAGCTGCAGTAGCAGCAGTTGCTAGTATGATAATAGCTGAGACTAAAAAGTCAATTAAAGTGGCCAGAAATCTTTTTTTCTGAGCATGAGACAGTGCTTTTCTAAATAGCTGCTGGGTGGAATTTCCTTCCCAGCTCCAGGTTAAATTTACAGGCAGCCACATTTCTGCATGCCGTTTTAAGATCATGACGTAGGTTATACTTAACTGTGTAACGTTTTGATAAGACAAGCATGTAGCATACCAAGTACTGGAAGAGACTTTAATACTATAAAAGGTCTGATTCTGTTTTATGTTAGGAACACCTCGCCCAAACAAAAGTATATAGGGGTGCATAGTACAAATCAGGACTGTGTCAGTAACATTATTATGCAAAGAGAGGGTATAGGTGCTGCCCTTAGTAATGTACTCACCATGTGAAAGAACTCATTCAAAAAAAAAAGGAAGTCCTAATCTCCAAATCTGGGTATGAACAGGGCTTAAAGCTTGTTTCCCTTTTAGTTGTAATATTGGTCCTGAAAGCCCATACTCTGACCAGGTGATAGAACTATTGGAGGGACTCCCAAACCCAATATAGTCTGATTTGCAGACGTAAGATAACCATGGGGACCCCAATCAAGTAAGGTGCCATTATTAAACAGAGGCCCTTGACATGGTGCAGATTGTCTGCATGGAGACCACTGGACAGCCTCAAACTTATATCACCAGTCCCCACTCGGACGGCATATAGGAAGATCAGGCACTTGTACAGCTTCATGAGAGACCTTAGTAAGATTAGTAGTAACAGCAGAAATAAAGGTCAAGTTTGCAAGCTTAGCATCCCTTTTAGGCTGATAGTTAAGATACTCCTGAGGAATGAGAGTAACACACTTACCATGTGCTATTGTGGAAAAACAAAGAGGGGATTACTAAACAATAAAATCAAGGAGTCATTAAGTTTAATCCATCCCAAATTTTCAGTTAAGGGGTATGACAGGGACACCTATCGACCTCCTGTCCAAGAAGTATCATTAGATAACAAAGGCAGGTCAGCATCCCACTGTGTAATAACATTAAAAACAAGGGGATTTAGAATATGACTCCAATAAACATGTTCTTGAGCTGATCTCACTTGGCAAAGGACAAGAATTACCAACCAGCCCAACATCTGTGTCTGTCTTACTTTTCTCAGAAGTTTCCCCAATTACCGCCAGTTACATAAGAAACTGATTCTCTGCAGTTGCAGGGGCCTCCACAGCGGCAAGCCGGATAGTTGCCTGTTGGTCCAATTTCTTTAGCGGTCCCCAGGTAATGTCAGGTGCCTTCTGAGTCATCACCGTCATTGTCAGTCAATTCTCCAATGACAGGTCCTATTCTAGAGAAGAGAGCCCCATATTCCCCCTTTTTTGTTTGTTTGATGAGTTTGTTTAATAACTGGTTGAGTTATAAGGAATACCAGTTTTGTGTTGTATGTGCCAAAGTTGCAATACATGTGCAAATCGAGCACTAAGATAGCAAGGTCTATTATCAGTTTTAATAGTTTGTGGAAGACCTAAAGTCATAAGAGATTCAAAAAGATGAGCAATTGCATCTTCAGTTTATTTCTCCAGTCCAGGGGGTAGCATGTATTAAGCCTGTATAAGCGTCTACGGTAACTTGGAGAAATTTGAAACGTCCAAAGGATGGATACTGAGTAACATCAGTTTGCCAAATAACATTAGGCACCAGACCTCGTGGGTTGGTACCAAGCCCTAAGGAAAAGGGGGAAAGAGAATGTCATTGGCAATCAGGACAAGTTTTAATAATCATGAGAGCTTGAGCAAGTGTCAAATGAAACTGTTGTTTAAGACTGTGGGCGTTCTAATGAAAAAAAAAACAATGATCAGCTTGAGCTTGCAAAAAGGCAGGAGACTCTGCAAACCACATCTGTGTTTGTACCAGAGCATCAGCTCGAAGGTTCCCTTCTGATAAGGACTAGATAGCCCAGAATGAGAGCAAATATGTGTGATGTAAAGAGGGTGATGACAGGCACAGAGGAGCTCTTGTGCTGTAAGAAACAAAGCTAGTAGGGTTTCATTAGTAATGCCCTTCGCATGTGCAAGATCTAAATCAGTAATACTACACCACATAAGAGGAATCACTTTATCATCATATTTATGTCATGGTGAGGAAAAGTTTGTAAGGCCAATATGAGGGCACCTAACTCCGCCTGTTGCGTAGTTTTAAAACGTTCCTGGATTTTGTGCTGCCAGTTCTGCGTGGCATCTTGCCACACTATAGTTGCCTTTCCAGTTTTTCCTGAACCATCTGTAAAGACAGAAGTGGCGTGAAGCAAGGGCTCAGAGACAACATAAATACAAATTTAACAGGCACAGTTTGTAAAAAGTTCAGGAGTTTAGAGGCTGGTCAATGAAAGCTGATATTACCAATAAAGTCAGTCATTGCTACTTGCCAATCAAGATCACAAGCTAGGAGAGTATGAAATTGTTTCTTGTTTAACAGTAGGAAAAGAGTAGTGGGGTTATTTTGGCCATATGCCCAGTTAGGCCACAATTATAATACGTGGCCCCAGTCAACATTGCAGCAAAGGTCTGAGCCAGATGGGTTGTAGTGCCTATATTCTGGCACACTTTAATAAACACGCTGATTTCAGTGGCAGTGGCTCGGACTGGAGTTATTGCTGCCTGACAATCCTTATTTGCATTTTCAAAAGCCAATTACAACATAAGAAGTTTGGCAGCTTTAGGATAGGGTGCCTGTTTTTTTATTGCAGCCTGCAATCAGTTGATAAATTCAATGTATGTTTCTGTGGCACCCTGTTTAACTATCATAAAGGAACCCTGGGATTGTCTTATGGGTATTTTTTATGCTTGTATTGTTAGCTGTGAGCATTGAGGAAATAGACGGCTATCTGCCTGAGCCTAAGCCTGAGCCTGAGTTGAAGCAAAAGGCCCTGTTCCCAATAGCATATCAAGTTGCATGGGGATATTATTATCCAAATTGTGTAAGGATTGCTACACGGCTAAATCACTGGACTCACTCCACCACACAGTATATTCAGCAGGTGAAACCAAAAGTTTTAGTAAAGTTTTCCAGTCATGTGGAGTCATCTTATAACCATTTCCCAAAGCCTCAATCATCCCCTGCGTAAAGGGTGAATGTACACCATTTTCATGAATACTTTTCTTTAACTCTTCAAAGGCAGTAAAAGGCAAACTCTCATGACGTCTCCTGTTGTTTTGAACAATAACAAGGAATGCGCCAAAAAGCGCCTCAGAGTCTCCCTTCCGAAGTCCCTCTTGGAGGCCCCCGAGGCCCCCGTCTACTAAGACTGACCGAGGTCTTATCCAAGAACCATCTCTTGGGCGGCCTCCAATCTCCTCAAGGCGGATGGGAGGCGCTGTTGGCTGAATGGGGCCAACGGATGCAGGTCCCTTTAAGGGTGGAGGAAAGGAGGGCAATGACTTTTCTATAGGGGAAGGAAAAGGCTCCGGTCTGTCCTCATCCTCACTAGCAAAAATCTCTTCTTTAGCCCCCATAGAAGGGAATGAAGAGTGGGGAGGAGTCTCTCCCTGTTGTCTTGGTTCCTGTTTTTCCTTCTCCTTTAAATCTCCTGAATTCCCTTCAGGCGGAGAAGATGGGCAGCCTGACTCACCGCAATCCGGCAGAAAAAGAGGCTACAACGCGGAGCGTACCAGCGCTCAGGTGGTCAAAATAGTTAAAATGGCCTTGCTCATATCCTCTTTCCGGGCAGCGGACTACCTGCACCCATAAATAATTCTAAGGTTCCTTGATCAGGAAACAGAGGGCATTCCTGCCGAATTAAAAACAAAAGCTTGTGTAGAGCTCCAGGCTCTACAGTGCACTGGATAGCCTTAAGTAGCTGTTGCACTGTTTTAAAAAAATACTTTCTGTTCTTTGGTCAAATCTTGACCCATGATAACCCAACCCCTGGTAGTTTACGCGTGGATACCGTCCTCCTGATGGGAGTCAGGACTGTCCCTTACCGGGATTCCCCGAAAATTGATGAGTTTTCCAACTTCACGCGTAACTTCAAGGCGATCACACTGGGGGCACCACTTACAAAGCTTATAGCTTGCAGGGAACGCCAAGAATGAGTTTTCAGACAATTCTAGCTGAGCGCGGAGGGGGACAGCTCTTCTGAGAAAGTGCCACCCCAGCATCCGTACGCTAAGTATTTATTGAAAGGGCTTGTTAAACCACAAACATCCACTAGATGGCCATTTGAGATCGGGTCGTGAGACACCCGTAGCCTTGTAAAAGCACTCAAACCGCATTCTCAGGAGGCTGTTTTCAGCGTTCCTTATCACACACTCCACTCCTTGTCCTGTTTTCAGGTCAAGGAGTTACATTCTTATGCACAAATAACATACACACAGTGCCTCAGTATTTTTCCATGCCCCGACCTCAAATGCCATGTACGTAAGCTTGAATATGTTGACGTGCACCCCCACAGAGTAATATCTCCCTAGGATATTCCGAGTAATATCACAGAATGTACTCACATTGTGTACACCCACTGTGATATTATGACTAATAGCTCCCTAGAATATTCTGAGTAATATCATACGGTGTACACACATGGTGTACACCCACTGTCATTTAGGAGAAATATCTCTCTAGGATATTACTACTATTATCACAAGGTGTACACCCATTGTGATATAAGGAGTAATAGCTACCTAAAATATTACGAGTAATATGATAGGGTGTCCACCCACTGTGATATTAGAAGTAATATCTCCGTAGGATATTAAAAGTAATATCACTGTGTGTACACCCAATGTGATATTAGCTGTAATATCGTTGTAGAATGTTACGAGTAACATCACAGCATGTAAAGCCACTATGATATTGGGAGTAATATCTCTCTAGGATGTTTCGTATAATATCAGACAGTGTACACCCACTGTGAAATTAGGAGTAATATGACCCACGAATTTTAAGAGTTATATCACAGAGTGTATGCACATGGTGTACACCAACTGTGATATTAGAAATAATATCTCTATAGGATATTATGAAAAATATCACAGAGTGTATGCACATGGGGTACACCCACTGTGATATTAGCAACAATATCTCCATAGGATATTATATGTAATATCACAGGGAATACACACATGTTTTACACCCACTATGATATTAGGAGTAATATCACCCTGGGGTATTACCAATAATATCACAGGGTGTACACATATAATGTATATCCACTGTGATATTAGAAGTAATATATCTGTAGCATATTATGAGTAATATCACAGGGTGTACACACATGGTGCAAACCCACTGTGATGTGAGGAGCAATATCTCTCTAGGATATTATGAGTAATATCACAGTGGGTGTACACAAATGCTGTACTCCCCCTATGATATTAGAAGTGATATCTCCCTCAGATTTTAAGAGTAATATCACAGTGGGTGTACACACATAATGTACACCCACTGTGATATTGGGAGTAATAACTCTAAAATATTATGAATAATATTACAGGTTGTATACACATGGGATACAGCCACTGTGATATTAGGAGCAATATCTTCATAGGGAATTACGTGTAATATCAAAGGGAATACACACATGTTGCACACCCAGTCTAATATTAAGAGTAATATCTCCCTAGGGTATTACGAGTAATATCTCCCTAGAATATTATGAGTAATATCACAGAGTGTACACCAACTGTGATATTAGGAATAACATCTATCTAGGATATTACGAGTAGTATCACAGGTTGTACACACATGGTATACACCAACTGTAATATTAAAAGTAATATCTCCCTAGGAAATTACAAATAATATCAGATGATGTACACCCACTTTGATAATAGGAGTAGTATCTCCCTAGTATATTGTGAGTAATATCACAGGGTTACACCTGTGATATTAGGAATAATATCTTCCCAGGATATTAAAAGTAACATCACAGGATGTACACCCACTGTGATATTAGAAGTAATATCTCCCTAGGATATTACTAGTAATACTGTGATATTACTACCATTACTTGTAATACTCCCGATATCACAGGGGGTATACACTCCCTCTGTGATATTGTTCCTAATATCCAGTGGGGGAAAGGATGGTATTACTACCAATATCACAAGGGGTGTATACCCCCCTTGTGATATTTTTCCCAATTTCCAATGGGAAAGATGATGATATTACTCCCAATATCTCAGGGAGTGTGCACTCCCACTGTGACATTGTTCCTAATATCCAGGGACAGAGAGGATGATATTACTCCCAATATCGCAGGAGGTGTACGCCCCCTTTGTGATATTGTTCATAATATCAAGGGGGGAGAAGATATTATTACTCCCAATATCACAGGGGGTGTACACCCCCACTGTAATATTGTTCCTAATATCTGGGGGGAGAGAAATGATAATATTACTCCCAATATTGCATTAAGTGTACACCCCCTACGTGATATTGTTCCTGATATAGAGGGGAAGGAGGATGATGTTACTTCCAATATCGCAGGGAGTGTACACCCCCCTTGTGATACTGTTTCTAACATTTAGGAGGGGAGAGGATGATATTGTGTCCGGAATTGGTGGGTTCTTGGTCTCACTGACTTCAAGAATGAAGCCGTGGACGCTTGCGGTGAGTGTTACAGTTCTTAAAGGCAGCGTGTCTGGAGTTTGTTCCTTCTGATGTTCAGATGTGTTCGGAGTTTCTTCCTTCTGGTGGGTTCGTGGTCTCGCTGGCTCAGGAGTGAAGCTGCAGACCTCCGTGGTGAGTGTTACAGCTCTTAAAGGCAGTGTGGACCCAAAGAGTGAGCAGTAGCAAGATTTATTGCAAAGAGCAAAAGAACAAAGCTTCCACAGTGTGGAAGGGGACCCGAGCGTGTTGCCACTGCTGGCTCGGGCAGCCTGCTTTTATTCTCTTATCTGGTCCCACCCACATCCTGCTGATTGGTAGAGCCAAGTGGTCTGTATTGACAGGGCGCTGATTGGTGCATTTACAATCCCTGAACTAGACACAAAGGTTCTCCACGTCCCCACCAGATTAGCTAGATACAGAGTGTCAACACAAAGGCTCTCCAAGGCCCCACCAGAGTAGCTAGATACAGAGTGTCGATTGGTGCATTCACAAACCCTGAGCTAGACACAGGGTGCTGATTGGTGTATTTACAATCCCTGAGCTAGACATAAAGGTTCTCCACGTCCCCACCAGACTCAGGAGCCCAGCTGGCTTCACCCAGTGGATCCCGCACAGGGGCTGCAGGGGAGCTGCCTGCCAGTCCCGTGCCGTGCCCACACTCCTCAGCCCTTGGGTGGTCAATGGGACTGGGTGCCATGGAGCAGGGGGCGGCACTCATCGGGGAGGCTCGGGCTACACAGGAGCCCACGGAGGGCGTGGGAGGCTCAGGCATGGCGGGCTGCAGGTCCCAAGCCCTGCCCCGCAGGAAGGCAGCTAAGGCCCGGCAAGAAATCGAGTGCAGCGCCGGTGGGCTGGCACTGCTGGGGGACCCAGTACACCCTCCGCAGCCGCTGGCCTGGGTGCTAAGCCCCTCATTGCCTGGGCCCAGCAGGGCCAGCCAGCTGCTCCGAGTGTGGGGCCCGCCAAGCCCACACCCACCTGGAACTCCAGCTGGCCCGCAAGTGCCATGCGCAGCCCCGGTTCCCGCTCGCGCCTCTCCCTCCACACCTCCCTGCAAGCTGAGGGAGCCAGCTCCGGCCTTGGCCAGCCCAGAAAGGGGCTCCCACAGTGAAGCGGTGGGCTGAAGGGCTCCTCAAGTGCCGCCAAAGTGGGAGCCCAGGCAGAGGTGGCGCCGAGAGCAAGCGAGGGCTGTGAGGACTGCCAGCACGCTGTCACCTCTCAATCCCCCCTCTAAACAGGACACCCCAACTGCTGTTGGGAATTTGGCCGATGACTGCTTTTGCTACTTCCTGCTGGATAGGGGCGAAGAAGGGACCCTGCAGTTGTAGTGTCCTTCAGAGGGGAACTCTCTAGGCCAGGGGAAGTGCCAGCGGGTCGGTCCATGGGTCCTCGGTAGAAGTTGTTAGTTGAACTCATTTGGGGTTCCATTTGTAAGACCATCTGTAGCTCGAAGGCCTCGATTCTAGAGGAAACAAATTTGACAAGAAGGTTAAAAATACAGGCCCCAAAGGCAAGTAACAGCAAGATGGCTGCCACGGGACCTAGAAAGGGGAGAAGCCATGTTGCCCAACTCCAGAGGTTGTTATAAGAATTTGAAAGGCGTTGTCTGATTTCAGAAGCCTTTCCCTATAAACGCTGGGTAGCATCTCATACTATCCCCGACTGGTTAGTGTAAAAACAACACTCTTCCCCTAAGAAGGTGCAGAGTCCTCCTTTCCCAGCAGTGAGGAGGTCTAGGCCTCGGCAGTTTTGGAGAGTCACTGCTGCCAAAGAGTCTATTTGGGATTGTAAAGTAAGGATAGATTTCGTTATTTCTTGCAAACTGTTTGAGAAGCAGATATGGGTTGAAGATCCACATAAGAAGAATATGCCTTGGCTGGGTAGATAGAAATTTACCCTGGCTTTTAAAGGAATAGGGTACACTGTTTTTTCTTTACTACTTCCATCTCTTTCTCTCTTCGACTTCTTCTTTGTCTCTTCCTCTCTTTTTAACTCTCTCTTTGACTGTGTCTGTCCCTCTTTTTCTCTGACTTCTTCTTTGTCTCTTCCTCTCTGTCTCTTTCTTTGACTTCCTGTCTCTTTCTTTCATTTCTGTTGCCTCTGCCAGCTGCTTATGCCACTGTTCTCCCCTCTCCTTCCCCTTTTGATGGCTTTGTCAGTGTGAGATTCCCACCTCTTTGTGTTTTCGCATTGTGTGCAATAACTCTATAATTTCCTTGTGGTATTTAATGGGGGTTTCCCCAGAGGTTAGGAACTCCCTCTCTTTCCATATTGCAGCATGGGCATGTAGGATTAGATAGCATACTTGCTATCTGTATACACATTTATTCTTTTTCCCTTTCCCAGTTCTAAGGCTCAGGTAAGCGCCACTAGTTCTGCTAACTGGGCCCTGGTCCCTGGGGCAAGAGGCTTACTTTCAAGTATGGTTACATCACTAACTATGGTGTAACCTGTCCTTTGTATCCCATTCTCCACAACTGAACTTCCATCGGTATATAGGTTAAGGTCAGGAATAGTTAAGGGGACATCTAAGAGATCATCTCGGGTGGCATAAGTCTGGACTATAATTTGTTGGCAGTCATGCTCGATTGGTTCCCCATCCTCTGGGAGAAAAGTGGCAGGGTTGAGGGCCACGCACATGCGTATTTGAAGCACCAGTCCCTCAAGGAGTAGTGCCTGGTATCTAAGTAGGCAGTTGTCTGATAGCCATAAACTTCCTTTGGCACCTAGTATGCCATTTACATCATGAGTAGTCCAGACAGTGAGATCCTTTCCTTGTATTATTTTGCTGGCCTCTGACACTAAGACAGCCACTGCTGCAACTACCCTTAAACAGTGAGGCCAGCCTTTTGCTACTACATCAATTTCCTTACTTAGGTATGCCACTGGTTGTGGGGTTGTCCCACGAGTCTGAGTGAGGACTCCAAGAGCTATCCTGGCTCTCTCTGTGACGTATAAAGAGAAGTTCTGTCCTGTGGGAAGGCTTAAAACTGGAGCTTG
Organism: Homo sapiens; assembly: GCF_000001405.40. NCBI lineage: Eukaryota > Metazoa > Chordata > Mammalia > Primates > Hominidae > Homo > Homo sapiens. Next base: position 29,309,504 of record NC_000008.11, on the reverse strand, counting down.
TACTAAGGCCTGCTTTAAGGCTTTGAAGGCTGTTTCTGCCTCTGGTTCCCATTCTACTAGATGAGTATTTGCCCTCTGGGTTTCCTTGATTAGACTATAGAGGGGCCTGGCTATCTCGCTGTATCTGGGGATCCATAGTCGCCAAAAGGCGGTAATTCCAAGGAACCCCCTCGACTGTTTTAATGTCTTAGGGCAAGGATAAGCCAGTATAGGCTGTATTCGTTCCTTGCTGAGGGCCCTGGTCCCTTTGGCTAAGATTAGGCCTAGATATTTAACCTGCTGTAGGCAAAGCTGGGCCTTCGACCTAGACACCTTGTACCCTTGATTAGCTAGAAAGTTCAAGAGATCTAGAGTAGCCTGCTGGCACAAGGCTTCCGAACTGGTAGCCAAAAGTAAATCATCCACATATTGAAGGACCAGAGTGCCTAGACTTGAGAAGTGGCCTAGATCTCAGGCCAGTGCCTGACCAAACAGATGAGGGCTATCCCTAAACCCCTGGGGCAAGACCATCCACATAAGTTGGGACGTGTGGTCTGTGGGATCCTCAAAAGCAAAGAGGAACTGGGAATCAGAGTGCAGGGGAATACAGAAGAAGGCATCCTTGAGGTCCAGAACCATGAACCATTCTGCTTCCTCTGGTATTTGAGAGAGCAGGGTATAGGGGTTGGGTACAACTGGATATAGTGGAATTACTGCCTCATTGATGAGTCTAAGATCTTGCACTAGTCTGCACTGACGATTGGGTTTTTGTACTCCCAGAATTGGGGTGTTGCCGGGACTGCTGCATTTCCTTACTAAGCCTTGAGCTTTCAAATGTTTAACAGTATTCTGTAATCCTTTATGAGCTTCAGGCCTTAAGGGATAAGGAAAAGTGGTGGGATCTTTTAACCTGATTTGGACTGGGTGGGCATTTTTTGCCCTTCCAATTTGTCCTTCCAATGCCCAGACTTCAGGGTTGATTCCCTCCTCAAGTAGGGGACAACAAATGGGTAATTTGTTTCCCATATTCACGTAGATAATAGCTCCAGCCTTGGCTAATATATCCCTCCCTAATAAGCGTGTGGGACTTTCAGGCATAACAAGAAAGGCATGTGAACAGAGCAAAGTCTCCCAATTACAACTGAAGAGGTGGGAGAAATACCTGGTTACAGGCTGTCCCAGGATTCCTCGGATGGTAACAGACCTTGAGGACAGTTGTCCAGGACAGGAGATTAACACTGAGAAGGCCGTGCCACTGTCCAGGAGGAAGTCAATTTCCTGGCCCTCAATAGTTAAACATACCTGGGGCTCAGTGAGGGTGATGACATGAGCTGGCGCTTGCCCCAGGCACCATCAGTCCTGTTGTTGGATCATCTGGTTGGGGGCTTCTGACCCAGGGAACCTTCATCCTCTGGGGCAGTGCACCTTCCAGTGATTGCCTCAGCATAGTGGACACGGACGAGGGGGCAGCTTGTTTCTCATTGGACAATCTTTTTTAAAGTGTCCTAGTAAACCACACTGATAACAAGCCCTACCAGGTGATTGGCCTGCTCCATTTTCTGTCCTCTCTGAACCACCAAGGTTTGTTTGTCTGCGGGCCATGACTAAGGCTGCAGCCTTTCTCTGATCTCGCTTTTCCTTTTGGGCCTGTTCCTCTTGGTCCCTATTATAGAACACCAAGGTTGCCAGGTTTAATAATGCCTCTAGATTTTGTTCAGGGCCCAGGGCTTGCTTTTGGAGCTTTCTCCTGATATCTGCGGCTGATTGGGTAATAAACTTTTCTTTTAGAATCAATTGACTCTCGAGTAATTTAGGTGACAGGGGAGTATATTTTCTTAAGGCCTCTCATAGCTGCTCGAGGAAGGCAGAAGGATTTTCTTCCTTTCCCTGAGTTTTGGTGGACATCATTGAATAATTCATGGGCTTTTTTCTAATTCTCCTTAGTCCTTCTAGAACACAGGTCAACAGATGTTTATGACTCCAATCCCCATGATCTGCATCAAGGTCCCAGTGGGGATCCATACTGGGGATGGCTTGCTGACCAGTAGGGAATTTGTCCCTTTCTTCGGCTGTCATTCTATCATTTACTTGACTAAGATACCAGGTATCTCCAAACTCTCGGGCTGCAGCTAAAGCCACATTCTTTTCATAAAAGGCCAGGGTTTGATCTAACAGTAGCATGACATCTCTCCAAGCGAGGTCAAAGGTTTGCCCTAGACCCTGTAGGACATCTATGTGCCTATCAGGATCATCTGAAAACTTCCCCAGGTCTGCCTTGATCTGCTTTAAATCAGAGAGGGAGAAGGGGACATGTACCCGGGTTGGGCCAAATTCCCCTGCCCCTATAGCTTGAAGGGGACATAATCGATAGCCCAGGGGTTTTTGTGGACCTTTGGAGATTTCTTTGCTTATTTCCTTCTGGGCAGGGGAGATTAGAGGAGGCTTATCATTAATAGGAAGGGGAGCTATAGGGAGACTAGGATATGTGGGTAAGCTGAGAGGTCCTCCTATGGGATGTAAATTGCAAGCTTTGCATAGTTGTGTATTCTCCCTCAATGAAAAGAAAGCTTGGACATAAGGTATTTCATTCCATTTGCCTTCCCTCTTACAGAAAAGATCAAGCTGCAGGATAGTATTGTAATTTGTACTTCCCTCAGGTGGCCATTTTTCCCCATCAGAGAGAGAATATTGGGGCCAAGCCATAGTGCAGAAAAAAATGAGCGGCCTCTTTTTCAGGGTTTGTGCATCAAATTGGTCCCAATGGCTTAGGATGCATTTCAAGGGGGAGCCTGTTGATGCCTGAGTGTTTCCCATCTGAAAGACAAAACTGCCCACAGTTTTGGTATATTTTGTTTCTCCCCCTGCCCAAGAACCCACAACGGTCCCTGGACCCTGCTGATCAGAATAGTTGCACTCACAGACACAGCAGCAGAAACACTAGTTTTCCTCCCAGACCACATGGAGGACTGAGGAAGGTCAGATTTAGTGGTCCTTACTGACGCATTCTCAAAAACCTGCACCCTTGCCTGTCCTCCTAGACCACAAGGAGGACCGACCAAGAAAAATTGGATTTAGTGGCCCTTACAGACGCATTCTCGAAAAGCTGTTAGAGTCCTATGCATTCTCCTGTTAGTATTGGAACTTTACCCCTGTCCTATAAAGATGTTATGCCCCAAAAATGAAGTGGAGGGCCATACCCTGAGGGAGGGAAGGGATCTTCAGGGTTGGAAGAGTGACACCTTTTGTCCTCATTTATATGAATAGGGAGGATACAATTTCTGAGGCTCCCCATATCCTAACTTCAGGAATAGCTTTTGTTAGACCTGTTAGTCTGAGGAGGGATCCTAAAATTCCAGGTAGTCCCCACTACAATGGGGCTTTGGGCAAAAATTATGTCTTTCTGATTGGTGAGCCCAGGTGCCTAAAGAAGGTAACAGAGTCCTGGAGTTTATACTAGAAATCATTCTTATAGGAGAAACTAGAAAAGCACGAGAGACAGGTAGCAATTTTTAGAAGCGGGACTAACCTCAGAGAAGAGAGGCGAGAGGAAGTTTGTCTCACAGGCATTAGGACCCAGGGGGCAAAGGTCAGGATAGATAGGATAGATGGGCAAGTCTCGCTTGGGCAACATGCCTTTGAGAGTTCCACTCATGGCCGCAGGGTCAACCAACTTGTTGTCGGGACCCTGGAGCTGCATGGCTTTCCTCTCTGTCGACCCTCGGCTCAGCCCAGAAGTACAGGAAAAGCAGAAGCTGGTTCTAGGCAAACCAACAGTCCCAACTCTGAAGAGTCGGGGGTTGTTAGAGAGCCCTTTCCCAGAAAGCCTGACACCCATGTCTTTAGTCAGTGGCCATGCTAGTCACTTTTAACTGGCCGACAGATGCCCGGTATTTAGCCCCCGAATTCTAAGGAAAGATAGGACAGAAGAGCAAGCGAAAGGGGTCTGGTGGTACTCACTGCTTGGCGATAGGTGATTGTCTCACTGCTCAGCGATAGGCAATGGTCTCACCGCTTGGCGATTGGTGAAGGTCCCATCTGGGTCACCAAAATGTGTCCAGAATTGGTGGATTCTTGGTCTCACTGACTTCAAGAATGAAGCCACGGACCCTCGCAGTGATTGTTACAGTTCTTAAAGGTAGGGTGTCTGGAGTTTTTCCTTCTGATGTTCAGATGTGTTCGGAGTTTCTTCCTTCTGGTGGGTTCGTGGTCTCGCTGGCTTGGGAGTGAAGCTGCAGACCTTCGCGGTGAGTGTTATGGCTCTTAAAGGCAGTGTGGACCCAAAGAGTGAGCAGTAGCAAGATTTATTGCAAAGAGCAAAAGAACAAAGCTTCCAGTGTGGAAGGGGATCCGAGCAGGTTGCCGCTGCTGGCTCGGGCAGCCTGCTTTTATTCTCTTATCTGGTCCCACCCACATCCTGCTGATTGGTAGAGGCGAGTGGTCTGTTTTGATGGGGCACTGATTGGTGCGTTTACAATCCCTGAACTAGACACAAAGGTTCTCCACGTCCCCACCAGATTAGCTAGATACAGAGTGTCAACACAAAGGCTCTCCAAGGCCCCACCAGAGTAGCTAGATACAGAGTGTCACTTGGTGCATTCACAAACCCTGAACTAGACACAGGGTGCTGATTGGTGTGTCTACAATCCCTGAGCTAGACATAAAGGTTCTCCAAGGCCCCACCAGAGTAGCTAGATACAGAGTGTCGATTGGTGCATTCACAAACCCTGAGCTAGACACAGGGTGCTGATTGGTGTATTTACAATCCCTGAGCTAGACATAAAGGTTCTCCACATCCCCACCAGACTCAGGAGCCCAGCTGGCTTCACCCAGTGGATCCTGCACAGGGGCTGCAGGTGGAGCTGCCTGCCAGTCCCACGCCGTGCGCCCGCACTCCTCAGCCCTTGGGTGGTCAATGGGACTTGGGAGCCATGGAGCAGGGGACGGCGCTCATCAGGGAGGCTTGGGCTGCAGCGGAGCCCATGAAGGGCGTGGGAGGCTCAGGCATGGCGGGCTGCAGGTCCCGAGCCCTGCCAGGCAGGAAGGCAGCTAAGGCCCGGTGAGAAATCAAGCACAGCGCCGGTGGGCTGGCACTGCTGGGGGACCCAGTACACCCTCCGCAGCCGCTGGCCTGGGTGCTAAGCCCCTCATTGCCCAGTACCGGCAGGGCCGGCCGGCTGCTCCGAGTGTGGGGCCCACCAAGCCCATGCCCACCGGGAACTCCAGCTGGCCCGCAAGCACTGCACGCAGCCCCGGTTCCTGCTCGTGCCTCTCCCTCCACACCTCCCTGCAAGCTGAGGGAGCCGGCTCCAGCCTTGGCCAGCCCAGAAAGGGGCTCCCACAGTGCAGCGGTGGGCTGAAGGGCTCCTCAAGTGCTGCCAAAGTGGGAACCCAGGCATAGGAGGCGCCGAGAGCGAGCGAGAGCTGTGAGGACTGCCAGCACGCTGTCACCTCTCAATATTAACAGCCTATATCGCAGGAACTGTGCATCCCCCTCATGATATTGTTCTTAATATCTGGAAGGAAAAGATGATCTTACTTTCATTATCGCAGGGGGTGTACTCCCCTCCCCGTGATATTGTTCTAATATCCAGGGAGAAAAAGGATGATGTTAACAACAATATCGCAAAAGTTGTACACATCCCCTGTGATATTGTTTTTAATATGCAGGGAGGGAGGAAATGATATTACTCCAAATATCGCAGTGGGTGTACACCCCCCCAGGATATTGTTCCTAATATCCTGGTGGGGGGAGTATGATATTACTCCCAATATTGCAGGTGGTGTACATTCCCCCTGTGATATTGTTCCTAATATCCAGGAAGAAAGAGGATGATATTACTCCCAATATTGCAAGAAGTGTATGCCCCCCTGTGATGTTGTTTATAATATCCAAGGGGAAAGAGAATAATATTACTCCCAATATGGCATGGTGTTGACACCCCTCCTGTGATATTTTTCTAATATCCAAGTGGGAAAATACAAAATTTCTCCCAATATCGCAGGGAGTGTACACCCCCACTGTGATGTTTTTTCCTAATATCCAGCCGGGGAGAGGATGATATTACACTCAATATTGCAGGGTTTGTACACCACCCTGTGATATTGTTCCTAATATCACGAGGGGGGGACGATGATATTACTCCAAATATCGCAGGGGGTATACAACCCCCGTGATATTGTTTCTAATATGCAGGAAGGGAGAAGGATATTACTCCCAATATCACAGAAGGTGTACACCCGGCCTGTGATATTGTACCGAATATCAAGGGAGGGAGATGATGATATTACTCTCAATATCGCAGTGGGCTGTACACTCCCCTGTAATATTGTTCCTAATATTCACTGGGAAAGGTGACGATATTACACCTTATATTGCAGTTAGTGTACACCACCCCTGTGATACTTTTTCTAATATTCAGGGGTGGGGGAGGATGATGTTACTCCCAATATTGCAGGGGGTGTACACCACCATTGTAATATTGTTTCTAATATTTAAGAAGGGAGAGGATGATATTACTCCCAATATCGCAGGAAGTATTCACATGCCTTGTGATATTGTTCCTAATATCCAGTGGGGGAGAAAATAATGTTACCATAAATACCACAGGTGTTGTACACTCCCCCTGTGATATTGCTGCTAATATCCAGAAAAGGATAGCACGACATGACTCCAAATATTGCTGGGGGTGTACACTTCCCCCCTTGATATTGTTCCTAATATTAAAGGGGGAATAAAATGATATTACTCCCAATATCGCAGGGGTATACACTCCCTCTGTGATGTTGTTCCTAACATCCAGATGAGGGGAGAGGATGATATTACTATCCATATTGCAGGGGGTGTACACCCGCCTTGTGATATTGTTCCCAATATCCAGGGAAGGAGATGACAATATTACTCCCAATATGGCAGAGGGTATACACTCCCACTGTGATATTGTTTCTAATATCCAGGAGGAGAGAGGATTATATTACTCCCAATATGGCAGGAGGTATAAACCCCCCCGTGATATTGTTTACAATATCAAGGGGGGAGAGATTATTATTACTCCTAATATTGCATGGGGGTGTACACCGCCCCTGGAATATTGTTCCTAATATCCAAAGAGAGAGATGATGATATTATTCCCAATATCGCAGTAAGTGTACACCAACCCTGTCATACTCTTCCTAATATCCAATAAGAAAAGGATGATGTTACTCCCAATATCGAAAGGAGTGTACACACCCCTTGTGATAGTTTCTAATATTTAGGAGGGGAGATTTTGATATTACTCCCAATATCGCAGGAACTATACATCCATTCTGTGATATTGTTCTTAATATCCAAGGGGGAGAAGATGATATTACTCCTATTATTGCAGGGAGTGTACTCCCCCCTATGATATTGTTCATAATATCCATGAAAAAAGAGGATAATATTACTCCCAATATCGCAGGGGATGAACACCACCCTGTGATATTGTTCCTAATATCCGGGGGGATGGAGAGTATGATATCACTCCCAATATCGCAGGGGGTGTACATTTCCCCTTTGATATTGTTCCTAATGTCAACGGAGATAGAGGAGATTATTCCCAATATTGCAAGGTGTACATCCCCCTTGTGATATTGTTTTTAATATTGAGGAAGGAGGAGAATGCTATTACTCACAATATCGCAGAGGGTGTACAGCCTCCTTGGATATTGCCCCTAATATCCAAGGTGGGAGAGAATGATATTACTCCCAATATTGCAGAGGGTGTACAGCCCCTCTGTAATATAGTTCCAAATATCCAGGGAAGGAGAGAATTATACTACTCCCAATATCGCAGGGTGTGTACACCCCTGCTGCGATATTGTTCATAATATCAGGGGAAAAAGAAAATGATGATTCCCTTTATAGCATGAAATGTACACATACCCTGTGATATTATTTCTAACATCCAGAGAGGAAGAGGATGATATTACCTCCAGTATCATAGAAGGTATACACCCTCCCTGTGATATTGTTCCTAATGTCCAGGAAGGGAGGAGATGATATTATTACTCCCAATATTGCAGGGGTTTTCACTCTCCCTATGATATTGTTCCTAATATCCAGAAAGAAAGAGTATTATATTACTCCCAATATCGCAGGGGGTGTATATTACCCCTGTGATATTATTCCTAATTTTCAGAGGAACAGAGGATAATACTGCTTTCATTATCGCAGGGAATGTACAGCCCCACCCTGTGATATTGTTTCTAATATTCGGGGGGAGAGGATGATATTACTGCCAATATCGTGGGAGGTGTACACCACCCCTGTAATATTGTTCCTAACATCCATATAGGAAGAGGATGACATTACTCCCAATATCGCAGGGGTTGTACACCCACCCTGTGATATTGTTCCTAATATCCAGGGAGGGAGAGTATGATATTACCCCCAATAACACAGGGAGTGTACATTCCCCCTTTGATATTATTCCTAATATTCAGTGAAAGAGAGGATATTACTCCGAATATCACAGGGCATTGTGATATTGTTCTTAATCACCTCCCCTATGATATTTTTTCTAATATCCAGGGAAGGAGAAGATGCTATTACTCCCATTATTGCAAGTGAAGGATACACCCATATGATATTTTTTCTAATATTTCGGGGGGGAAATGATATTACTCCTAATATCGCATTGTATGTACACACCTCTGTGATATTGTTTTTAATATCCAGGGGAAGAGAGAATGATATTACTCCCAATATCACAGAAAGTGTACACCCCCCTGTGCTATTGTTTGTAATATCGAGGCAGAAGATGACATTACACTTAATAAAGTAAACACATAGTGTATTCACCCCCCTGTGATGTGATTCGTAATGTCCAGGGAGGAGAAGAGGGTGATATTACTCCCCATATCGCAGAGGGTGTTCACTCCCCCAGGATATGGTTCATAATATCCAAGGGGAGAGAGGAAGGTGATATTACTCCCCATATCGCGGGGTGTGTACAACCCCCTGTGATATGGTTCCTAGTATACGGGGGCAGGGGGAGGAGGGTGATATAACTCCCCATGTTGCGGGGGATGTTCACTCCCCTGTGATACGGTTCATAATTTACAGAGAGGGAGAGGAGGGTGGTACTACTCCCCATGTCGCGGGGAGTGTTCACCCCCCCCCGTGATTTGGTTCCTAATATCCAGGAGGGGAGAGGAGAGTGATATTACTCCCCATATCGCGGGGGGTGTACACCCGCCTGTCATATTGGGATTGATATAGTCCTCTCTTCCCCTGGATACTACGAGCAATAGCTAAGGGTGTGTACATTCTCTGCGATATTGGGAGTAATTTCATCCTCTCTCCTACCAGATATTGCGAACAATATCACAGTCGGATGTACATTCCCTGCGATGTCGGGATTAATATCATCCTCTCGCTTCTTGGATATAGTGAAAAATATCACATGAGGGTGTACATTCCTCGATATTGGGAGTAATATCTTCCTCCCACAACCTGTATATTACAAACAATATCACAGAGGGGTGTATAGCCCCTACAGTATTGGAAGTAATATCATCCTCTCGCCCCCTGGATATTACGAACAATAACACAAGGGTATGTACGCCTTCTTCGATATTAAGAGTAGTATCAACATCTCCCCCCCCCCCCGGATATTGTGAACAATATTACCAGGAGTATACACCCCGTGCGATATTGGAAATATTACCTCTCTCCTTCTGGATATTATGAACAATAGCACAAGGTGGTGTACACGTAGGGTGTTTATGATATTGGGAGTGATATCACCTCCTCCCTGCCTTGGTTATTAGGAACAACACCACAGGGGGCTGTACCCCCCTGTGATATTGGGAGTAATATCATTCTCCCCCCTCTGTATATTACAAACAATATCAAAGGGGCGTTTACGCCCTCCCACGAAATTTTGGGTAATGTTTTCTTCTCATCCCCTGGGTATTACGAACAATATCACAAGGGTGTGTGCACCCCCTGCGATATTGAGAATAATAACATTCTCTCGCCCCCTGGATACTGCGACCTATATCGCAGGGGAGTGTGCACCCTTTGCAATATTGGGTGTAATATCCTCTCAACCCCTGGAAATTGCGAACAATATTGCAGAAAGGTGTGCACCCCCTGCGATATTGGGAGCAATATCATTTTATCGACCCCTGGATATTGCAAATAATATCACATGAGTGTGTGCAGCCCCTGCGATATCGAGAGTAATATCATCCTCTCGCCCACTGGATATGGCGAACAATATCACAGGAGGGTGTGCACCACCTACGATATTGAAAGTAATATCCTCTCGCCCCCTGAATATTGCGAACATTATTACAGGGGGGTGTGTACTCCCTGCAATGTTAAAAGTAACATCATCCTCTTGCTCCTGGATGTTACGAACAATATCACAGGTAGTGTGCACCCCCTGCAATATTGGGAGTAATATCATCCTCTTGCCTCCTGAATATTACGAAAAATACCACAGGTGTTTGTGCACTCCCTGAGATATTGGAAGTAATATTATCCTCTCGCCCCCTGGATATTGCAAACAATATGACAGGGGAGTGTGCACCACTGTGGTATAGGAAGTAATGTCATCCTCTCGCCCCCTGGATATTGTGCACAATATCACGGGGGGGTGGTGCATCCCCTGCAGTATTGGGAGTAATGTCATCCTCTCGCCCCCTGGATATTGCAAATATCACAGGTTGGTGTACACACTTTGCAATATTGGGAGTAATATCATCCTCTCGCTCCCTGGATATTGCAATCAATATCACAGCGGGGTGTACAACCCCTGTGATATTAGGAGTAATATCATCCTCTTGCCTCCTCGATATTGCGAACAATAACACAGCGGAGTGTGCACTCCCTGTGATATAGGAAGTAATATTATCCTCTTGCAATCTGGATATTGCAAACAATATTAAAGAAAAGTGTGCACACCCTGCGATATTGTGAATAATATCACATGGTGTACACACGTTGGGTGCACCCACTGTGCTATTAGGAGTAATATCTATCTTCCTAGGATATTACGAATAATATCCCTTGGTATACACCCACTGTGCTATTAAGAGTAATATCACCCTAGGATATTACTAATAATATCACAGGGTGTACAAATATAGTGTACACCCATGGTGGTATTAGGATTAATATCTCCCTAGGATATTAGGAATAATATCACAGGGTTTACACCTACTGTGATATTAGGAGTGATATCTCAGAAGGATATGACAAATAATATCACAGAGTGTACACCCATTGTGATATTAGGAATAATATCTTTCTAGGTTATTATGAATAATATCACAAGGGGTACACCCACTGTGATATTAGGAGCAATATATTTCTAGGATATAACGTATAATATCACATGGTGTACACCCACTATGATATTAGCAGTAATATAGCCCTAGGATATTATGAATAATATCACCGCGTGTACAACCACTGCCATATTAGGAGTAATATCTTACTAGAATATTACAAATGTTACATAATAGGGTGTACACCCCCTGTGATATTAAAAGTAATATCTCCCTAAAATATTAAGAATAATATCAGAGGGTGTGCACCTTCTGTGATATTAAGAGTAATATCTCTCTTGATCATTATGAATAATATCATAGGGTGTGCACTCACTGTGATATTAGCGTTAATATCTCTCTAGGATATTACAAATAACATTACAGGATGTGCACCCACTATAATATTAGGTGTAATAACTCCATAGGATATTATAAATAATATCACAGTGTGTACACACATTGTGTGCACTCACTCTGATATTAAAAGAAGTATCTCCCTAGGATATTACCAATATGGTAATAATGGTGTGCACACGCTGAGATATTAGGAGCAATATCTCTCTAGAATGTGACAAATAATATCACAGGGTGTACACACACGGTATGCACTCACTGTGATATTAGGAGTAATAACTCCCTACGATATTATGAATAATATCACAGGGTGTACACACGTTGTGCGGACTCACTCTGATATTAAAAGAAATATCTCCCTAGGATATTACCAGTAATATCACAGGTTGTACTCACATGGTGTGCACACTTATATTAGGAGTAATATCTCCCTAGGATATTACGAATAATATCACAAGGTGTACACACATGGTGTGCACCAACTGTGATATTAGAAGTAATATCTTCCTAGTATATTAGGAATAATGTCACAGGGTGTGCACCCACTGTGATATTAGGAGTAGTATCTTCCTAGGATATAACAAATAATATCACAGAATGTGCACTCACTGTGATATTAGGAGTAATATCTACCTATGATGTTACAAATAATATCGCACGGTGTGCACCCACTGTGATATTAGTCATAATATCTCCCTAGGGTATTACAAATAATACCACAGGGTGTGCACCCACTGTGATATTAGGAGTAATATCTCCCTAAGATATTACAAATAATATCACAGGGTTTGCACCCTGTGTGATATTAGAAGTAATATCTTTCTACGATATTAAGAATAATATCAAGGTGTGCAAGCACTCTGATATTAGAAGTAATATCTTTCTAAGACATTTCAAATAGTATCACATAGTGTGCACCCACTGTGATATTAGGAGTAATATCACATAATGCAACCTCTACCTCTTGGGCTCAAGCAATCCTCCTGCTTCAGCCTCCCAAGTAGCTGGGACTACAGGCACAGACCACCATGCCCAGCTATTTTTTTTTATTTTTTGTAGAGATGGGGGTCTTGCTATGTTGCCCAGGCTGGCCTCGAACTCCTGGACTCAAGCAATCCTCCTGCCTCAGCCTCCCCAAGTGTTGGAGTTACAAGCATGAACCACTGTTCCCGGCCACGCAGCATCTTTTGAAGGTGCTTCCTGTGTGCTGGAAGTTTCCCATTCATGTTGTGAGTCCACTTCCCTTTCCCGGGGTCACATAACACAGACCTGTGATGTGGGCTCTACCAATCAGATGCTCTTTTATTGGACTGGGGCTCAGGCGGTTCTGACCCCGGAAGGGAAACTTGCTTTGTCTGGGGTGGAGACAGCAAACATGTTGATAAGGCACCAGCAGTGGCTACCTTGTGAGTCTGGGGCCCAAAAGAGACAGTGGTGCTAACTGTGGAGTCTGGTGCCCAGTGGCCCTGGCAGGCGTGTCCTCACAGGCCAGGCTTGCAGTGTGGTTTCGACATTGTTTCCGGAAGCTGAGCCTCAAGGTGAGTCCTCCTGCCTTCCCAGCCAATCTTCCCAGTAGCCTTGTCACAAATTCCTTTCTGCTTTATCTGCCCGACTCAGTGTCTGTTGCTTGTAATTAAGACTGCTAAATGAGGCCAGGTGTGGTGGCTCACGCCCATAATCCTAGCGCTTTGGGAGGCTGAGGCAGGTGGACCACCTGAGGTCAGGAGTTCAAGACCAGACTGACCAACATGGCGAAACCCCATCTCTACCAAAAATACAAAAATTAACCAGGCATGGTGGCACATGCCTGTAATCCCAGCTACTATTCAGGAGGCTAAGGCAGGAGAGTTGCTTGAACCTGGGAGGCAGAGGTTGCAGTGAGCCGAGATTGCTCCACTTCACTGCAACCTGGGTGAAAGAGCAAAACTCTGTCTCAAAAAACAACAACAAAAAGACTGCTAAATGGCATATCCACATTTGAGTGTGGGGAAGAAATGAAAATTACACAGACTATGAGGCAGAGGTTCACAAGCATGAACATTAACACCCCTATATAAGAGATTGAGGCCAGGCGTGGTGGTTCACACCTCTAATCCTAGCACTTTGGGAGATGGAGGCAGGTGGATCACTTGAGCCCCGGAGTCCAAGACCAGCCTGGGCAACATAGTGAGATCCTATCTCTACAAAAATTTCAAAAATTAGCTGGGCCTGGTAGCACATGCCAGTAGTCCCAGCTACTTGGGAGGCTGAGGTGAGAGGATTGCTTGAGCCTGGGAGGTGGAGGTTACAGTGAACAGAGGTTGCACCACTGCACTCCAGCCTGGGCAACAGAGTCAGACTCTGTCCAAAAGAGATTGAGACCAGCTGTAGAGGCAGGAGGATTGCTTGAGGCCAGGATTTTGAGACCAAAAAAGATTGAGACCAGCTGTATAGGCAGGAGGATTGCTTGAGGCCAGGATTTTGAGACCAGCCTGGGGTCTTTTGTAGAGACCCGCATCTCTACAAAAAACATTAAAAATTAGCTAGGTGTGGTGGCTTATGCCTATAAGTCCCAGCTACTTAGGAGGCTGAAGAGGGAGGGTTGTTCAAGCCCAGGAGGTTGAGGCTGCTATGAGCTCATGATTGTGCCACTGCACTCCAGCCTGGGTGACATAACGAGAAAGAAAGAAAAGAAAAGCTTAGAAGGAGTAAATGAAGTAGATTAGAATATTACAAAGCAGAAACAAAGAAAAAAGTAAAAGTGTAAGACAGTCCAGGGATTAGTTTTTAATTAATGGTTTAAAGGGAATGGAATGTTTTTTTAAAAAAAATGAAGTAGAAAAATTATTCAGTGAGTAGTTTGGAAATTATCATTAGAAAAATAGTAAAATTACAGGTGCAGTGGCTCACACCTATAATTCTAGCACTTTGGGAGGTCTAGGTGGGCCGATCACTAGAGCCCAGGAGTTCAAGACCAGCCCAGGCATCATGGTGAAACACATACTCTACAAGACATACCAAAATTAGCCAGGCGTGGTGGCATGTGCCTGTAGTCCCAGCTACATAGAAGGCTGAGGTGGGAGGATCACCTGAGCCCGGGAGGTCAAGGCTGCAGTGAGCTGTGATCGTGCCACTGTACTCCAGCCTGGGTGACAGAGTGAGACTCTGTCTCCACAAGAAAAGAAAAGCAAAGAAAAGAAAAGAAAAACAGTAAAAGTCATTGTTGTAGCCTCTAGCTGTTTTTCATTAGATTATGTGTAATTTCAGGCAATAACGTATATGGTCCTGCAAAAAACAAATGCATAGTGGCCATAGTTTTAAAGTGCTTCCACCTTTATCACTCTCTGAATTTAACAACAGTCTCAATGCTGATATAGTCTGAAATAGCCCCACAATTGCCACTGAAAGCAGAGGGGCTAGAAATGATGAAAGAGGAACTATTTTATGACTTCATATTCTACTTTAGTCACATTCAAAAGAAAAGCAGGCATAGGGATTTCTGTTAAAATTCCTACCCAGGTGGAAGTAAAATTTTCAGAAACCAGGAGAGGCAACTTACAAAAAAAGCATCTTGAAGAATTATTAGAAAATGTCAGAATGGATCATTTCATTAGAGGAAGGAAAGTCAATGATAGGTGTGTTATATTTTTAAAAATCACAAGAAATATAATCATTGGTAATTAAGGACACGATGAGAACTGCATAATTTAAATGGTAGTATGACGCTGGGAGCAGTGGCTCACACCTGTAATCCCAGCACTTTGGGAGGCCAAGGAGGGAGGATCACCTGAGGTCAGGAGTTCAAGGCCAGCCTGGCTCACATGGTGAAAACCCGTCTCTACTAAAAATACAAAAATTAGCCGGGTATGATGGCACACACCTGTGGTCTCAACTGCTTAGGAGGCTGAGGCAGGAGAATCACTTGAACCCGGGAGGCAGAGGTTGCAGTGAGCTGAGATTACGCCACTGCACTCCAGCCTGGGCCACAGAGTGAGACTCCATCTCAATAAAAAAATAAATAAATAAATAAATAAAATGGTTGTAGGAGATGTGAGAATGAGGACCAAGTCAAAATAGAATGTCATCAAAATAGAATGTCACAGACACACACACACACGATCCCTGCCTAGCTATCCGTAGGCAGGTAGAGATTGGGGGGTAGATGCTCCTCTGCACTGGCCCAGAGAGTGATGGACTCACAGACTCAAAAGCCATGATGATGAGTTGGGGTCTCCCTGCCCCCACCTAGTCCACTGGTGTCATGGACTAGTCCCCCCACCCCCCAAATATACCTGGAGAATGGCAGCTCTCTCCTCAGCCAAGTTCAAGGACTTGGTTAGGGAACAGAGGTCAGGTCCACCCTGGGAAAGCTAGACTTCCTCTAATCCTGGCTCTTTTGGGCCCAGAAGGTTCTGCTCTTTGGGGTGATGCCAAACATGCCTCCAGCATAAAAGACTGCAGTTACAGCTGACACACACAGAAGCAGGAAGGGGGGGTTCTATCCTGTGCACTCTGTCTTTCCTTCCTGGTAAGAAAGTGGTCTTTTATCATAAAATATGTCATTCCAATTATGCCATGAAATGGGGTTAAATATCAGCAAGGCGATGGTTTGCTTCTCTGGTGGATGTTAAATTTTTTTTTTTTTTTTTTTTTTGAGAGGGAGTCTCACTCTGTTGCCCAGGCTGGAGCACAGTGGTGTGATCTTGGCTTACTGCTACCTTTACCTCCCAAGTTCAAGCGATTCTCCTGCCTTAGCCTACCAAGTAGCTGGAGCTACATGCCTGGCTAATTTCTGTATTTTTAGTAGAGATGGGGTTTGCCATGTTGTCCAGGCTGGTCTCAAACTCCTGACCTCAAGTGATCAGCCCGTCTTTGCCTCCAAAACTGCTGGGATTACAGGCTACATGTTCGACTTTGATCCCAGATCAGCAGCTCTGCTCAATGCCAAGAGGGTGCTGGGCCCCGTGGGGACAGACGGGGGGAAGAAGTTTCGCAGGGACAGGAGGACCCAGGCAGAGACTGAAGAGGGGAAAACCCAAACAGAAAAACTTTAGGACACCCGCTGCAGCTGCATGTGTAAACCTGAAAGTTGAAGTGATGGGGAAGATGTAGAATTGCTTTGGCCTTTTCTCTGGGTCCTGCTGGTCTGTGGTCTGCCGATGGTAACCTCTCCTCACCTTCCAGCCCAACTGGGATGTATCTTTCAGACGCTGCAGGGCTTGGCGGAAGATCTGAGCCATTTGCCTGGACGTTCTCCATGCTATTGTGATCGGCCTCATCTGTCTGAAACCTTGCTGACCCCGGCTTATCTGGTGTTGGACCAAATGACCCTGGAGTCTCTGCATCTTCTTCAGGGTGACCTGTGCATGTCTGCTATCCCTGCCCCTGCCAGCCGTAGGCTGACCTCCACCTGACCCTCAACTGCATGGGCCCTGATGAGGTACATTCCCTTTGAATCCAGGCCCTCCCTTTAGTTTGGAAGATTGCTGGAAATAGCTTGCTTTCCAAAAGGAGATAGTGAGAAATGGATTCAGGAGTTTCTTAAATCCAGTTGTAAAGATTTGGGGGAATTAGGAAATTAAGAGCATGGTAAGGAAGAGATTAGGAGAGTGCACAAAGAGGAAACCACTATTCCCCCCACCTTTCAAAGACAGGAGGAGTCATAAATACCGTTGCAGTCATGTCCGTGGTGTAGAGAGCATAGTGACAGATCCCACAGCATGATTTGCTGAGACTTCAAATCCAAAGACGAGATAGATAATGAGCTAAAGAAGTAGAAAACAGGACAGAAAAAGACTATCAATTTAGAAAGGGAAAGTTCACACTCCAAGCAGGTTTTTGTTAAGAAATATAGTATTTTTTAATTTGTATTTTTATTTATTTATTTTGAGACAGAGTATCGCTGTCTTGCCCAGGCTGGAGTGCAGTGGCACTATCTCGGCTCACCGCAACCTCCGCCTTCCAGGTCTAAGCTCTTCTCCTGTCTCAGCCTCCTGAGTAGCTGGACCTACAGGCACCCACCACCACACGCAGCTAATTTTTTTGTGTGTTTTTAGTAGAGATGGAGTTTCACCATGTTGGCCAGGCTGGTCTTGAACTCCTGACCTCAAGTGATCCCCCTGCCTCAGCCTCCCAAAGTGCTGGGATTACAGGCATGAGCCACCGCACCCAGACAGGAATATAGTATTATTAATATTTTCCCCCTTTAAGTAAGATAAGAAGGCTGAAGGAAAATGTTCCAGGTAGGACTCAGCTAGAAACTGTTAAGGACGGCAGCTGTCTCTTTAAAAACAAAGTGGGGGGCTGGGCGTGGCGGCTCACCCCTGTAATCCCAGTACTTTGGGAGGCCAAGGAGGGTGGATCACCTAAGGTCAGGAGTTCAAGACTAGCCTGGCCAACGTAGTGAAACCCCATCTCTACTAAAAATACAAAATTATCCGGGTGTGGTGGTTTGCACCTGTAATCCCAGCTACCTGGGAGGCTGAGGCAGGAGAGTGGCTTGAACCTGGAAGGTGGAGGTTGCGGTAAGCAGAGATCATGCCACTGCACTCCAGCCCGGGCAACAAGAGCGAAACTCTGTCTCAATCAATCAATAAAAGAAAAGGAAAGAAAAGAAAAAAATCAGGCAAGCATGGTGGCACATACCTGTAGTCCCAGCTACTCCAGGAAGCTAACGTGGGAGGATCACTTGGCCCCGGGAGGTTGAGGCTGCAGTAAGCTGTGATTGAACCACTGCACTCCAGCCTGGGTGACAGCAAGACTTTGCCTCTTTAAAAAAAAAAAAAAAAAAAAAAAAAAAAGGCCGGGCGCAGTGGCTCACACCTGTAATCCCAGCACTTTGGTAGGCTGAGGCAGGCAGATCACGAGGTCAGGAGTTTGAGACCAGTCTGGCCAACATGGTGAAACCCCGTCTCTACTAAAAATACAAATATTAGCCAGGCATGGTGGCACGGGCCTGTAATCCCAGCTACTCAGGAGGCTGAAGCAGGAGAACCACTTGAACTCGGAGGCAGAGGTTGCAGTGAGCCGAGATTGAGCCACTGCACTCCAGCCTGGGCAACAGCACAAGACTCCGTCTCAAAAAAAAAAAAAAAGAAAGAAAAGAAAAGAAAAAAGAAGGAGGGCAGGATGTTTCAAAGAGGACTAGGAAAGACTTATTTGGGAAATTCATTAACCTCAGTGTTTTTTTTTTTCTAATTAATAGACTTTATTATGTAGAGCTATCTTAGGTTTATAGAAAAATTGAGCAGAAAATGCAGAGAGCTCCCATATTAAACCCCTCTCCCAACACAAAGTTTCCTGTTACTAACATCTTGCCTTGGTGTGGTACATTTGTTACAATATTAACCCATTGAATAATATTGAAGAAATATTAACACGTCATTATTAACTTAAGCCCATAGTTTACATTGGAATTTATTCTTTGCATTGTAATTTATGGACATTTTTAATCAAAAATAAAACTGTTTTCATAGGAGAGATTATAAGTAGATGAAGAGAATCAAAAATTTATATAATTCCAAAAAAAGCATGGACCTTCCTTTCCAGGATAAGATAGATACAAAAAAAAAAAAAAAAAAAAAAAAACCCTTTAAAAGTCCCTTCTGATGGCAGGACTCTTGGGTTCTAGAATGACTTGGAGCTTTCAAGAACAACAGTTTAGAAACTAGGCATGACAAAGGGTAGTCAAATCTTTCAGTTCAGGGTATAAAGCACCTTAAAAAATATTTTATACTTAGTATCACTGAACTATACACTTAAAAATGGTTAAAATGGGCTGGATGTGGTGGCTTATGCCTGTAATCCCAGCACTTTGGGAGTCTGAGGCGGGAGGATAACTTGAGCCAGGAGTTCAAGACCAGCCTCGGCAACATAGCAAGACCTTGTCTCCACAAAAAATAAAAATAAAAAAATTAGCCACATATGGTGGTGCATGTCTGTGGTCCAGATATTCGGGAGGCTGGGGTGGGAGGATTACTTGAGCCTGGGAGGTTGAGGCTGCAGTGAGGTGAGCCGTGACCGCATAACTGCACTCCAGCCTGGGCAACAGAGTGAGACCTGGTCTCAAAAATAAAAGGTTAAAAAGGTCAATTTTACGTTGTGTACATTTTACCGTAAGAAAAAAAGTTTTAAAGAAGAATTACCCAAGAGAGCTTATCCACAAGTGTGTGACTCATTCAGTTGGGTGGAAGCCAATTTCCAGGGCAGGAAGCTGTGAAATATTCATTTCTGAATAAGCAAGATGAACACCTGTGAGAGGGCTCGTTGGCAAGTCGTGTTTCAGAGCCACACAGCAACATTAGCTTTTAAAACAATGATACTTTAAGCATGGCTTCTATTCAGTCACAGGCTCCCTTCACAGAAGGAAGGTGGAAAAAGCTCACGTGAACGTTGCTTTCCTGTCCTTGGACTTCTGACATCCCTCGGGCCAGCCCTCAGCAGTGAGCCAACCCGCAAGTCCTGCTCAGGATCCAGTGGGAAGGCAGCTGTCCTCTTGGATGATCCTGGCACCATATTGGAAGGAGTCCATCTGTGGAGGCCATCAGAGATTTGATCACCTCAGCTGTTGTTCAGCTCCTCCGGGGACTGGGGGAATTTTCGTGCCATTGGTGTTGACAATGACATAATCCTAGCTCTAAGTCGTCTAAGTGTGTTTCTCCACAGATACACATCAAGTACTAGGTGGTGCCATTCTGTCCCACACAACTGTACAATAAGTCTTCTCAAAGGCTGAGAAGACTCACCATACAGAGCTTCATTCCTTGAAACCCTAAGCTGGAACCCTGAAACCTTATTTTTTCTTTCAGCTACCATAAGGCTGAAATTAACCATAGCCTTCCCAAGGATTGGTTTCTTCTCAAAGAGTTTTAACTTATAAATAGGACCAAAGATTTTAAAAATACAAATGTTTGTCATTAAATGAAGTCATGCAAGTGAAAGTGCCTAGAATAGTACTTGGCTCATAGCTGGTACATGGGAAAGTCTTGTTTTCCACCTCCATGTACTCCAGACGCAGCTTAGAAAATCAGGTAACTTGGCCGGGCTCGGTGGCTCATGCCTATAATCCCAGCACTTTGGGAGGCTGAGGCAGGCGGATCACGAGGTCAGGAGTTTGAGACCAGCCTGGTCAACATAGCGAAACCCCATCTCTATCAAAAAACAAAAAATTAGCTGGGCGTGGTGGCGGGCACCTGTAATCCCAGCTACTTGGGAGGCTGAGGTGGGAGGATCGCTTGATCCTGGGAGGCAAAGGTTGGAGTAACCTATGATCACACCACTGCACTCCAGCCTAGGTGACAGAGTGAGACCCTGTCTCAAAAAAAAAAGGCAGAGCTGAATAAGACCGTTACTGTCACAGGGCTTTCTTCAATAAATGCTAGTCACTATTTTGTTTGTTTGTTTGTTTGTTTGTTTTTGAGACGGAGTCTGGCTCTGTGACCCAGGCTGGAGTGTAGTGGCATGATCTCAGCTCACTGCAACCTCCACCTCCCAGGTTCAAGTGATTCTCCTGCCTCAGCCTCCTGAGTAGCTGGGATTACAGGTGCCCACCACCACACCTGGCTAATTTCTGTATTTTTAGTAGAGACAAGGTTTCGCTATGTTGGCCAGGCTGGTCTTGAAATCCTAACCTGAAGTGATCCTCCTGCCTCGGCCTCCCAAAGTGCTGGGATTTCAGGTGTGGGCCACTGTTCCGGCACTTTTTTTTTTTTTTTTTTTTTTTTTGAGGCAGGGTCTCGCTCTGCCACCCAGTGGCAGTGACTGGAGGGCAGTGACTGGACATGGCTCACTACTACAGTCTCTATCTCCTGGGCTCAAGCAATCCTCCTGCCTCAGCCTCCCAAGTAGCTGGGACCACAGGCATGTACCACCACGCCCAGCTAAGCCACTATTATTAATAAATGTTTGCCTTAGAACAAAATTGACTACATTATACCTCAATGTCTGATCACTCTTCCTACATTTTCACTTTTTTTCCATCACTCTTCTGATCAAAATCTCCTAGAAGCTGGGCATGGTGGTACGCACTTGTGGCCCCAGCTACCTGGAGGCTGAGGCAGAAGGATTCCTTGAGCTCAGGAGTTCAAGACCAGCCTGGGCAACATAGCGAGACCCTGTCTCATAATGAATGAATTAATTAATTAAAAAATCTTCCAGGGTCCTGCTCCATGTGGATAAAACCCCAACTCCTTAGCTTAAGTAGAACTTTTTTTTCCTTTTAAAGCTAGAAGGAGCTTTATTGATAATTTATTTTCTTATTTCATTTTTTAGATTTGCCTTGGCATATAGACCTTTGAAAAAATATATATATAGTTGTAATTATTAATAGTTTTGGGGGTACAAGTGGTTTTTGGTTACATGGATGAATTGTATAGTGGTGAAGTCTAAGAGGATTTATTTTATCTCTGTTTAAAAAGCACATTTAGGATTGTTTGAATGTTTCTTTCAACACTATTTTTGTAAAGCTTATTTTGTAATTACTAGCCAGTCACAAGAAAATGAATCCATCAGAATGAACTTCTTAGCAGCTCTGAAAACCTACCGATAATCCAGTGGCACCCAGTCCCGGCTGCACATTAAAATCACCTCGGGCCTTTAAAAACACACCAGCGCCTGGGCCCAACCCCCAGAAATTCCAATCTAATTGGTCTGGGGCGTGGCTGAACACTGGGATTTTTTTTTTTTTTTTTTTAAAGCTCCCAGGTGAGTCAAATGTGCAGCCAGCGTTGAGTGGCACTGTTGTCACCTCTGTTTCTTCACACCTGAGCCTTCGTCTGTCGGCTCATCTGCAGCCACACAGTTCTCAGGTTCTTCCTCCTGGGCCCCATTTGTCTGGGATAGGCCGAACTCACCCCAGTTCCTGCCCTGGAGCAATTATACAGACGTACCTTCTAAAGCAAACAAGCCTTGTCTTCAAATCAGGCCACAAACACACCTTGACCCGCCCTCATAACTTCCTGGATTCTTGATCCGGTTTATGGTTTACTGATAACATCCTGGATAGAGAACCAGTTTCAGACTTTCGGTGACCTAGTCACCCCTTGGCTGGGGCTGGAATTTCATGTTGTCTGGGCTCCTTGATGGTCCCAGAATGGTGGTGATTATTTTTCTTTGGTCCTTGGTGCTGCATCCCCTGAGTGCCAGCTTGATAGGTTCTAGTTTCTTAGCTTTTGCAAACTGGAGCTTTCATTTTGCAGTTCTAAACTGCCTCGCCCCCACCAGCCCCCAACCTCAGCCACTGGAGCCTTACAGGTCACCAGCTTCCGCTTACTCTTCTGATAAAGGACTAGGTGATGAACTGAACATTGAAAAACAAGGAAGAGAGAAATTTGGAATAAGTTAATCTAGGGAAAGGGGGGGCAGTCTTTTGGGTTGATCCAACACAATTTACCTTTCCTTTCCTTTTCTTTTTTTTAATAGGGACAGGGTCTTGCTATGTTGCCCAGGCTGGTCTCAAACTCCTGGACTCAAGTGATCCTCCCACCTCATCCTCCCAAAGTGCTGAGATTACAGACATGAGCCACAGTACCTGGCCACAATTTACCTTCTCTTTGGTGTCTTAGGAACCTGAGGATAATGCATGGGGTATTCCAGTAGACTGTGCAAAACCCACCATCTTCCCATTTTGATATCATGGTTTCTGCTACTCATCTATTCCTGCCTCCTTTTTTGCTTTCCCCTATTTTATCACATGTGGCACAAGAAACCCAAATAGAAAAGCACAATTACTTCTATAGTCAGAGCAAGAATGAGATTTCAGAATCAAAGGAACCATGTTGGACTACGGAGTAGGCAAGAGTTACAGGTGACAAGGATTCAACATGTATACAGTTCCCTAATACAAGGCTTGCACCACTTGTCTGGGAAGGCCATGCTCTTAATGAATGTCCCTGCAGTAGACTTGAGACTCATCATCTTGTCCCTCCTTGCCTTGAGTCATGCCAGTGTAACAGACTCGCAGGACACAGCCACAAGTCCCATTGTAGAAGCAGGTGCTACCTCTCACATCAGCTCACTACATCCCTTCTGCAGTTGTCAGCTGAGAGCCACCGAGTTCACAGTCTGTTCAGGGGAACTCAAGACATTAAAATCAACTAAAAGATGCATCAAGAATGAGGGAATCCGGTTGGGTGCAGCGGCTCCCACCTATAATCTTAGCACTTTGGGAGGCCAAGGCGGGCAGATCATATGAGGTCAGAAGTTTGAGACCAGCCTGGCCAACATGGTGAAACCCCATCTCTACTAAAAATACAAAAAATTAGCCCAGCATGGTGGTGTGCACCTGTAATTGCAGCTACTGGGGAGGCTGAGGCACAAGAATCACTTGAACCCAGGAAGCGGAGGTTGCAGTGAGCTGAGATCGCACCATTGCACTCTAGCCTGGGTGACAGAGCGAGACTGTTTCAAAAAAAAAAAAAAGAATGAGGAAATCTACACTAAGGAATGAGAACTGTGGGCAATTTACTCTATAATTAAAGTTACTTATATAAGTCAGAACAATAAATAATATAGGGTAATTCTCTACATCTTGGTGAAACCTTTGGTAAATTTCTTTGTGGAGTTCCCTTATTTCCATTTTTTGTTGTTTGTTTGTTTGTTTTGAGGCAGGGTCTCACTCTGTCACCCAGGCTGGAGTAGTAGTGCGATTGTGGCTCACTGCAGCCTCAACTTCCTGGGCTCAAGGCTCCCTCTTCAGCCTCCTAAGTAACTGGGACCACAAGCACATGCCACCACGCCCAGCTAATTTATTATTATTATTATTATTATTATTATTATTATCTGTAGATATGGGGTTGCACTATGGCTGCCTAGGCTGGTCTTGAACTCCTGGGCTCAAACAATCCTCGCCTCAGCCTCCCAAAGTGTTGGATTACAGGCGTGAGCCACCGTGCCCAGCCTGGAGTTTTCTGTTTCTCATGGTTTATCTCAGCATCAGCATCCCATTCTAGTCTGCAATGGAAAAGTCATTTCCTTACAGCATGAGCCTTACTGCTAATTCCAAAAATTTCATGTTCACAGTTAGCAATCACTCAACCTTCAGACAGTACTAAAACATTTTATTTGATTATTTTTAAAAAGCACCAGAAAAAAAGTGTTGATTACAGAAAATTGGGAAAATATGAAAAGTATAATAAAAAAGTAAAATGAGCCATAATCTTCCCACTCACATATAACAGTGTGAATTGTTTCTTTCTAGTTTTTCTTTTTCTTATACTGTATATATATTCATATACATGCATTGTTTGACAAAAAATTAGATCACACTGTAAACTGCTTCTTAAAGTTACTTTTTAAAATGAGTTTTGGCTAGGCACGGTAACTCACACCTGTAATCCCAGTACTTTGGGAGGCCGAGGCGGGCAGATCA
The DNA here is from genome assembly GCF_000001405.40 of Homo sapiens. Classification (NCBI taxonomy): domain Eukaryota; kingdom Metazoa; phylum Chordata; class Mammalia; order Primates; family Hominidae; genus Homo; species Homo sapiens. Next base: position 29,284,525 of record NC_000008.11, on the reverse strand, counting down.
CAAGGTCAGGAGTTCAAGACCAGCCTGGCCAACATGGTGAAACCCTGTCTACTAAAAATATAAAAATTAGATGGGCGTGGTACCAGGTGCCTGTAATCCCAGCTACTGGGGAGGCTGAGGCAGGAAATTGCTTAAACCGGGAGGCAGAGGTTTCAGTGAGCCGAGATTGCACCACTGCACTCCAGCCTGGGCGACAGAGCAAGACTCTGTCATGGAAAATAAATAAATAAGTTTTAAGGTACAAAAACATGAGTTTAAAGGACTGCATTTATTCATTAGAAGGGCATGCAACATAAAACAAAAGGACTGTACTTAATGACTGCATCCCATTGTTAAAAAATTTAATATATTACATATATGTCACAGTTTATTTCCCTACTGTTGAAAATTTAAACTATTTTCAATTTTCAAATGTTATAAAAAAAACCCAGTCAACTATCCATAATTATAAATGTTTAGGAACTTCCTTAATTATTTCCTTAGGATAAATTTCCTGAAAATGGAATTACTGGCTCAAAGTTATAAATATGTTTAAGACTCTTGAAATGCACATTCAAGTTGCTCTCCAGACAAGTTGCACAAGGCTGGGAATGGTGGCTCATGCCTGTCATCCCAGCAGTTTGGGAACCCAAGGTAGGAGGATCACCTGAGGTCAGGAGTTTGAGACCAGCCTGGCCAACAGTGGTGAAGCCCCATCTCTACTAAAAATACAAAAATTAGCCGGGTGTGGTGGTGGGCACCTGTAATCCCAGCTACTCAGGAGGCTGAGGCAGGAGAATCGCTTAAACCCGGGAGATGGAGGTTGCAGTGAGTTGAGATTGTGCCGCTGCACTCTTGCCTGGGCGGCAGAGCGAGACTCCATCTCAAAAAAAAAAAAAAAAAAAAAGAAAGAAAAATGAAAAGTTGCACCAATATATATTTCTACCACAAATATCTGAAAGTTTGTTGTTCACAGGGCCTGTGCCTGTGTGGTTTTAGCAGTTAAAGCTCCACATTTCACAAGAGTCCTCTGCAGGACATGAGAAGTCCCAGTTTTTAGCAATGAATGTGGAAGACTGAGGTCAAGTACAAAACTTGCATGGCAATCAAAAAATTGGGGTTGAAAGCAACACTGGTTTCGGTGTCAAGCGGTTAGTGCACAGACTGTCCACCTTCCATGGTCATTGGCCACTGATACTGATTTGCAGTTCCCAGTAATAGACATTATTATTAGGGACAAGGGCTGCTATAATTCTTGCTGGGCATGATAGGACTTCAGTGCACAACTCACATGCTTTGTTACTGTGAGCATGGACAGTCTGGCTCTGCCTTTGCCTGTGGAGTAACTGTTGTGCTTTGTTTGTATTGAGATAGTGTAGTTTAATCTTTAACACTGTGACTATTACGATCAGGTTTTCTAAGAGTTCAGATTACAATACCAATGCCAGCATGACCCAGTAGTCACTGAAAAGGAAGGCTAAACAACTGTGTCATTTTAATGACAGTTGGAAGGACAGGGTGCCTGATTAAGGAGGCAAATAGCAGAAACAGCACATACTTGATGGGTGGGGTGTGGTAGACAGGAGAATAAGGCACATATGGAGCAGATTCTCACAAGTCTGGGGTTAGACAGGCAAGACTTTCTCAATCAAAAGGTTTTTTGGGTTTTTGTTTGTTTGTTTTTGAGACAGGGTCTTACTCTGTCACCCAGGCTGGAGTGCAGTAGTGTGATCATGGCTCACTGCAGCCTCAAACTCCTGGGTTCAAGCAATCCTCCTTCCTCAGCCTCCTGGTAGCTGGGACTACAGGTGCACACTACTGCACCCCACTAATACTTTTTATTTTTTGTAGAAACAGTCTTGCTATGTTGCCCAGGTTGGTCTTGCACCAAGGATCCCTTGGCCTCCTGCCTCAGCTTCACCTGGCCAGAAGTTTTTCTGTTTCTTCAAAAGACACCAAAAAGGCTGGGTGTGGTGGCTCACACCTGTAATCCCAGCACTTTGAGAGGCAAACGTGAGATCACTTGAGGCTAAGAGTTTGAGACCAGCCTGGGTAACATAGCAAGTCCCTATTGCTACAAAAAATAAACCTATTAGCCAGGCGGGGTGGTGCGCACCTGTCTCAGCTGCAGGGAGGCTGAGGAAGTAGGATCACTTGAGGAAGTAGGATCACTTGAGCCCAGGAGTTCAAGGCTGCAATGAGCCCTAATGGCACCACTGCACTCTGGCCTGGGTGACAGAGTGAGACTCCATCTAAAAAAAAAAAAAAAGAATTGGCTTGAGCATACCACGCTAAAGAACACACATTATCATATCGTTCCCTTGATTGCTCTATGAAACACCAGTATTTCAAAGAATGGGTTAGATCACACCAACAACAGTCACCATGAAGGGAACCAGAACATGCCACGTTGGCATATTGACTCTTTTGAGATGAAGGCAATTGAGAAATAGCAGATGTGGGAAGAGCTCTCTGTCCTCCCACCTGTCTAAAAATAAGGCATATATTTCCCCTCAAAACAGGTAACTCTCTCCTTGCCCCAGAACAGAAGAGCGTTTTGATAACTGGATACAGGGAGAAGACATTGAGACCAGTTTGCATAAACACACCTTACTCATGAAACCCTTATCTTCCATTAGTTCTCCCATATATTTTTGTTGTTGTTGTTTGAAACAGAGTCTCGCTGTCTCCCAGGCTGGAGTGCAGTGGCGCAATCTCGGCTTACTGCAATCTTTGCCTTCCAGGTTCAAGCGATTCTCCTACCTCAGCCTCCCGAGTAGCTGGGATTACAGGTGCCTGCCACTACACCCTGCTAATTTTTGTATTTTTAGTAGAGACGGGGTTTCACAATGTTGGCCAGGCTGCTCTCGAACTCCTGGCCTCAAGTGATCCACCTGCCTCAACCTCCCAAAGTGCTGGGATGACAGGCGTGAGCCACCGCACCTGGCCAGTTCCCCCATATATTTCTAGTTACTTCCCATGATTGTCCCTTGAAGCCCAAACTGCTTTGTTTTTATTTATTTTATTTTATTTTTATCTTGCATCTGCAGCTCAAAGGACTCTTTTCCTTGTGAAAATGGTATATAAGCACCCGAGTCCAACTGCTTCTTTGAGTTTCACTTCTTTTCTGTAAATGCCTGTGTATGTAACTGCTAAACAAAAATTTTATCTTTTCCCCTGTTAATCTGTCTTTTGTTCATTTAATTATCAGGCCTCAGTTACTGAATATAAGACAGCAGAGGGAAGGTTTCTCCTCCCCAACAACAACAAAATGTTCTCTCTACTTCTTAGGTACTTTCCCAAAAAAAAAAAAAAAAAAAAAAAAAATCAAATTTCAAATCATCCTCTTGATTTCTATGAGGATTTTAATGAAACTATAGAAAACATAGAACAAAATTATTGATATATAGTTAATATTGATATATTATCCAAATATAAACTGGGCCTTGCCAGTCTATTTGCATATGTGGCAAATAGTACAAATGTAAATTTTGGGAAATTTCATTCCATTTTTATATTGCTTACCAAAGACAATAAAAAAGATCTTTCCTGTTCAATGTCCTGCACACTTTGGACACCACATTGCTAAAATGGAGTGTGGCTTGCTTACCTGTAACATTGAGGCTTTCATTATGAAAGTTTTGGTCACTTGTTAGTTCCCTCAAAGCTGCAAGATTACTTAATGAGATATTAGACTTTATAAAAATGGAAGGAGGTAGTCTCCTTAGACATGTGCCCATAAGACGACTGTCTGGCTGCCAGCTATAAAAAATTATTATTGCCAGGCGCAGTGGCTCACGCCTGTAATCCCAGTACTTTGGGAGGCTGAGGCAGGTGAATCACAAGGTCAGGAGATCAAGACCATCCTGGCTAACATGGTGAAATCCTGTCTCTACTAAAAATACAAAAAATTAGCCGGGCGTGGTGGCGGGCACCTGTAGTCCCAGCTACTCAGGAGGCTGAGGCAGGAGAATGGCGTGAACCTGGGAGGCGGAGCTTGCAGTGAGCTGAGATTGCGCCACTGCACTCCAGCCTGGGCGACACAGCAAGACTCTGTCTCAAAAAAAAAAATTATTATTATTATTATTATTGAGACAGGGTCTTGGTCTGTTGCTCAGACTGGGGTGCAGTGGCATGATCATAGCTCAGCACAGCCTCAGACTCCTGGGTTCGAGTAATCCCCCCTCCTCAGCCTACTTAGTAGGTGGGACCACTGACGTGCATCATCATGCCCGGTGAATTTTTTTACTACTTGTAGAGACAGGGTCTTGTTATGTTGCCCAGGTTAGTCTTGAACTCCTGGACTGGACTCAAGAGATCCTCCAGCCTTGGCCTTCTAAAGTGCTGGGATTACAGGCAGGTAATTAAATATTGTCTGTAAAGTTGTATTTTCAAAATGTGAGACAAGGGCCAGGTGCAGTGGCTCACCCCTGTAATCCCAGCACTTTGGGAGGCCGAGGCAGGCAGATCACCTGAGGTCAGGAGTTCAAGCCCAGCCTGGCCAACATGGTGAAACCCCGTCTCTACTAAAAATACAAAAATTAGCCAGGCATGGTGGTGCATGCCTATAATCCCAGCTACCCAGAAGGCTGAGGCAGGAGAATCACTGGAACCTGGGAGGCAGAGGCTGCAGTGAGCCGAGATCACACCTTTGCACTCTAGCCTGGGCGACAGAGCAAGACTCCATCTCAAAAAAAAAAAAAGTGAGACAAGGAGCATGTCCTTCTCTAATTTGAAAATACATTGAGGCTGAATTATGGGGAAAAAAAGGTTACACTAACAGAAATTTATATGCTGTGTCTCCAAAACTGATGATCTTAGAAGAAGCCATAAGACCATAAAGAGCCATGACTCCACATGAATTGTTCTGTGTAGGTTGTGACAAACATGTATATAGTAATTTTTGGAAACAAAGACTGCTTCAAAACTAAAAAAAAAAATAAAAGATAAATGTTACCAGAAAAAGGCAGCCAAGTTAAACAGGACTTTCTGATTTCTTTACTAAAACTACAACTTATTTGGAATCCAGTTTTTATTTCATAAAATCAGATTACATCTGTGCTTTAAACCCATTTTTCCCGAGAGGGATTTAACTTATGACAGCATCCAATGTCCTTTGGAATATTTACAAATGATGCACATCTTAGATGTGGATCGTCTATATGATGGATGTACAGATGCAGAGGGCCTCATTGAAAACAGCTGGTTTACAAAACAAGGCTGTAGATACAAAGCAGATGGACATTTTTGGAGTGTTGGAAACTAATTCTTCCTAGTCTAAAAACCTGCCATTACTAGTAAGTAAAATCCTAAGGATTCCACGCTTACAAGCTTTTGTTGAGATGATATTCAGCTTGATGTCATCCCAAGAAACTGACACCAGGAATTAGTATACCATGGGATCAATAAGGGCAGAGCTACCGGTCAGACTGAATTTTTCATTTGACCATATTCAGTTCACCACTGCAGGAAAAAAAGAAGGATATCCTAAAGGCTGAAGGCATTTCAGAGGAATATTATTGGAAAAGAAAACAAAGAGTAAAAATATCCTATATTATGGAACAGAAAGAAATATGTTGTTGTTTTTTGTTGCTGGTATTTTGAGACAGAGTCTGTCGCCCAGGCTGGAGTGCAGTGGCACGATCTCCGCTCACTGCAACCTCCTTCTCCCGGGTTCAAGTGATTCTCCTGCCTCAGCCTCCTGAGTAGCTGGGATTGTAGGTGTGCACCACCACGTCCGGCTAATTTTTGTATTTTTAGAAGAGATAGGGTTTTACTATGTTGGCCAGGCTGGTCTCAAACTCCTGACCTCGAGTGATCCACCCCCTCAGCCTCCCAAAGTGCCAGAATTACAGGCATGAGCCACCGCGCCTGGCTATCATTATTTTTTATTAGATATAGGTTAATATTTGTTTAACTAGTCCTATTGTATTCATGCTCTCCTTTCGAAGAGTATTACATTTGTGTATTTTAAGAATATATGAGGCCGGGTGGAGTGGCTCATGTCTGTAATCCCAGCACTTTGGGAGGCTGAGGTGGGCAGATTGCTTGAGTCCTGGAGTTCAAGACTAGCTTGGGCAACATAGCAAAACCCTATCTCTATAAAAAATACAAAAATTAGCTGGGCAAGGTGGCACAGGCCTGTAGTCCCAGCTACTTTGGAGGCTGAGCTGGGAGGATCACTTGAGCCTAGGAGGTTGAGGCTGCAGTGAACCGTGTCTGTGCCACTGAATTTCAGCCTGGGTGCAGAGTGAGATCTTGTCTCAAAGAAAAAAAGGAAAAAAAAAAGAATATACAATAATATAATCTACACAATTTAAATATCTAATAAAGAGTTAAAAAATTGTTGTATCGGGCCAGGAGCGGTGGCTCACACCTGTAATCCCAGCACTTTGGGAGGCTGAGGCAGGTGGGTCACTCGAGGTCAGGAGTTTGAGACCAGCCTGGCCAATATGGTGAAACTCTGTCTCTACTAAAAATACAAAAATTAGACGGGTATAGTGGCGCACATCTGTAATCCCAGCTACACAAGAGGCTGAGGCAGGAGAATCACTTGAACCCGAGAGGCGGAGGTTGCAGTGAGCAGAGATCACACTACTGCCCTCCAGCCTGGGTAACAGAATGAGACTCTGTCTCAAAAAAAAAAAAAAAATTGTTGTATCAGAGGATGCAAAGAAACGTTATAAAATATCATTATACTTTCTTGCACATTATTTTTAATTACTTCTATTATTAATTACTACTAATTGCCTCTGTTAACTAGTCTTATGTGGTTTTGTTTAAATAATAGCATTTATGGAAGAAAAGTAACACAGAATATGTAATTTTAAATAAATACCTATTTTTCATATTTTATGTTAAAGTAGTAACACACATATGTGTAAATATATATATATATATACATATATATATATTTTTTTTTTGGTCTGTTATGATTGTTTCCCAGTTGACTCTCTAAAAAGCTGGTCACCATACACCAAAAACTAGGCATTAGCTTTTTGCTAAAAGTTTGCTAGCCAGGTGGTGGCTCATGCCTGTAATCCCAGCACTCTGAGAGGCTGAGGTGGGTGGATCCCTTGAGCCCAGGAGTTCAAGGCCAGCCTGAACAACATAGCAAGACCACCCACCCCCCATACCATCTCTTAAAAAAAAAGTTTGCCAAATCGTTAGACAAGAAAATGTATGTTAAATAATGATTTGATGAATAATTTTTGAGAAAATGTACATTTCTTTGATTCCTAGAAAGACTGAACATTTTTCATATGTTCATTGGTCACCAAATGACTTCCGTTGGAGCAGCCTGTTTTTAACTTTTGGCAACATTTTTACCGACCTCTTTTTGTCTTTTTCTTTTTGATTTGTTAAGACTTCTTTAGGACTGTACCCCACGCCTATCATATATTGCAAAAACATCTCAAATTGTTGCTTGCTCTTTATGGTGGATTATTTGGACATACTGTAGAAGTCTTTATCTTCTGAGTTACCTATTTTTAGTTTTTCCTTAAGGAGACAGTTTCATGCAAGTTTAAGAGTGGGGCTCTGGGCCGGGCATGGTGGCCCACGTTCATAATCCCAACACTTTGGGAGGCTGAGAGGGGAGGGTCACTTGAGCTCTGGGCAACACAGACCTCGTCTCTAAAAAAATATATATATATTTTTAAATAAAGTATGGGGCTCTGGGCCAGGCACAGTGGCTCATGCCTGTAATTCCAACACTTTGGGAGGCCAAGGCAGGTGGATCACCTGAGGTCAGGAGTTTGAGACCAGCCTGGCCAACGTGGTGAAACCCGATCTCTACTAAAAAAATACAAAAATTAGCCAGGCATGGTGGCGGGCACCTGTAATCCCAGCTACATGGGAGGCTAAGGCAGGAGAATTGCTTGAACCCGGGAGGCAGAGGTTGCAGTGAGCCGAGATCGCGCCAGTGCACTCCAGCCTGGGCAACAAGAGCAAAACTCCATCTCAAAAAAAAAAAAAAAGAATGAGGCTCTGGAGTTCTAAGTTTGAGTCCCAGCTCCACCTAGATAGACTTTGAGCAAGTATCTCAGTACTGTTACTATTACTGATGCCTTCTCCCTTTGCTCGAGATCAGCTAAATATTCACTTTTCTTTTCTTTAGTTTTTCTAGTTTTTATACCAAGCCTTTCATTTGTCTGGAATTTATATTGGTAAACGATGGCTAAATCATCCTGTTTCTAGGGAGGCTTGTGCTTTCCTCCCGTAGAAGATGGAAAAGGGTGAGCCCGCAGCAGCTGTCCCTCTGTTCTGGGTCCTGCTCAGCTGCCTCTGAGTCACGCATGCTGTGGCACTGGGAGGGTTTTATAGCTCCTGGCTTCCTGGTGAGCAGAACAGCATCCAGATTGGGTCTCAGCTGAAACAAGTCTCCCTTCGTGGCATAGAAAAATGACCTCTATGCGCTTCCTCTGCGTGGCTATTATGGAGCCCCTGGCTGCAGCTGTCTTGGGTTTCTCTTTAACTGCTTCATGCCCAGCAGCCAGAAGATTAAAACCGCAGGCGACATCTCTTGGAGCTTGTGCCATTTTCTCCGACCTTCTCTTCCCTCCAGAAGCAGGATTGCCCACCCATTCTCATGTTTCCTGCCTAAGTGACACCTTCTAGATCTGAATCAGGGGTGACTGGTTCTTCTTCCTCTGCTCCTAGGCTCAGGCCTCACCTCCACCACCCACCTGCAGGTGCAACATGTGACATGCTTGGGAAAACAAGCTCTTGTTTACCTGCCTGGTAACAAAGTAGGAATTCTACGGACATTTGATTCCATTGTAACAGCATAATTACCTTCAAACAAATTCTAACTTTCTGGAAATGTCAAGTGTGTCATATTCACTTTAATTCCCTGTTGGGCAAGTACCTTGCATTTATTACATATGCAGTCAAATATTGGTTAAATTGAATTATATTTGATTTTTAAAATATTGATAATGAATACAGGGAGGAGAGTGTCTTTGTATATGGATGTAGGCTGGACTCCTCCCCAGGCCTACCTCTGCCAGATTTCTTTTTATCCAACTCTTAATTTATCTAATATTTCTCAGAGGAGAGCTTTGCTCCTTGTCCACATTATTCTTGGGGGGAAAAAGTCAGTTGCTTCTCCTTAGGCTAGGGGCCCTGGGCAAAATAGTTTCTTTACCTCTGGCTTATCTCACTCTTTCTCCTGTGGATTTTTTGAAATCCCTGGAAAATTCTAGATCAGATTTGCTGATGAGCTATGGGAACCTCTGAGCTTAAGGGAGCATGTAGGCTGCAACCGCAAGTTCTTCTGACTAATCTAATCCCTCCGGAGGTGGGTGCCCCAGGCAGTCAATGCGTTTGTACCACAGCCTGTGAATATTTTATGGGTGTCCTTTTGTGCTCACTAATGGGGCCTGAACTGTACAATCTGCCTTAAATAATATCAAAAGAATACTATCTCCTGACCTCTGTCCCTGAATGATTTATGGAGATGAACTAGGCCTATCAGAGATTTATTATTGATGCTGTTCTTTAGAGACATTTTTCAACAAAGTGGGGATGGGGGTTGTAAATTGATGTTCATCCAGACAGTGAACACTTTGGGGGAGTTTAGTGTGAAATCTGTGCTTTTGGAGATGGTTTTTAAGTTTCTGACAGAAATAGAATTCTAGCTCTTTGGAGGTTAGAAGATTAGAAGGGATTTCAATTTTGTCAATAAAGAGGCCAAAAGAATATTCTAAAGATCTTTTCTCCCACTACTCAAGATTGTGTAATTCCTCTAATTTCTTGTCAATCTAGAGTATCAATCAAAATAATTAAAGTCCTTCCTTGGCTCCGGTCTCTCCCACCTCTATGCCTTCTTTTATCTGAAAGTCACTATTCAGCCACCGAGTATTTATTAAGTCGGCTGTGTACTCTTCACTTTGAGTGATACCAAAAAAGGGAAGACATTATTTCTGCTACTGAGAAGTCCTCAGTCTAATTGGAGAAGACAAGACCTACATACATTATTTAAGTCAGCTTGTAACCAAATGTGAATATGGCACAGTGCTAGAAAAGTTTCCAGAAGGAAAACATTAAGGTGTGCAGGATGAGTGAAGCATGACTTTACGGAGAGAATGGGGCTTCAATGGTTAGATTTCAACTGGCAAAGAGCATCCTAGAAAAGGTAGCCACATGAGTATAAGTCACTAAAGCAACAGTGTGGGTTACAGGGACTGTATCAGTTGGGAAGAGAAGAGAAAATAGGGGCTAGGAATGGAAGGAAGTGTCATTTTCCAGAATAAAGTGGAGCCCAGAGCCCAGAGCTATATGATCAGTATGAAAAGAAGACTCTCCTGGGGCAGAACCCAGTGACTTCTAATCTATATATAGATTTATATATATAAACATGTATATTTAGACAGAATCTCGCGCCATCTAAGCTCACTGCAACCTCCACTTCCCAGGTTCAGGTGATTCTCCTGCCTCACCCTCCTGATTAGCTGGGATTACAGGTACTGACCACCATGTTTGACTAATTTTTGTATTTTTAGTAGAGACAGGATTTTACCATATTGGCCAGGATGGTCTTGAACTCCTGACCTCACGTGATCCGCCTGCCTCAGCTTCCCAAAGTGCTGGGATTACAGGTGTAAGCCACCATGCCTGGCCCAAATCTCTACTTCTGATTTGTCTCTTACTGTGGTTCCCCAGTTCCCACTGCCCCCACCACATTGGCCTCAGAGGTTAGACTTCCTCCTTTTCAAACCTCTGTCCCACATGTGGACCAATGTCCTTTCCTTTGCTTCCCCTTGCATAGGTGAAATAAACATAAATTTAAGAAACATTTACTAAACACAGAGGGTAAACCTAAAGAAAACCAATACATAACTAATTTAGTTTATAAAGTACACCTTGCCTTCTGGGCTTGTAAACACTAGCTTATTCCAAACCTTAGGGAAAGTGTGCATTGCCTGGGTCCATTCTACCTAGCCTATTTTATTTTATTTTATTTTTTATTTTGGAGACAGAATCTCACTCTGTCGGTCAGGTTAGAGTGCAGTGGCACAATCTTGGCTCATTGCAACTTCTGCCTCCAGGGTTCAAGCGATTCTCATGCCTCAGCCTCCTGAGTAGCTGGGACTACAGGCGCCCACCACCACGCCTGGCTAATTTTTTGTATTTTTAGTAGAGACAGGGTTTCGCCATGTTTCCCAAGCTGGTCTCGAACTCCTGAGCTCAGGCAATCCGCCCACCTTGGCCTCCCAAAGTGCTGGGATTACAGGCGGGAGCCACCTCGCCCTGTCCTTAGCCTCTTTTAGGGGACATCTTTAACCTTCAACATCCAAGAAGATCCTTCTAAACATCTCAATTCCTTAAAATCCAAGTCAATTCAATTCAGCCTCCTAAACCCACAGGGTTGTGACTTTACCTTCTCAGGAGAAATGCAATCCACCTATGACAAAGTGAGTGACGCCTGTGCACAGTTAGGAAGGATAGTTTCTGCCTGGGAGATATCTTTGGGGAGGGGCCGTGCAAGGCTTTGAAAGCAAGAGCTGTTGAAGGCTGATTGCAATGGGTTCAGGATAAGTGGATAGGAGAGATGTGGTTTTTGAGGTACACAAACTCACTTGAACTTTTTGCATGGTATGCCCCTGAGGCTACTCTCTGATGCAGACTAGCATTTCTTTCTTTTGCCTTTGGTCCTCTTTATTTTTTTGAGCTGACATCTCATTCTGTGGCCCAGGCTGGTGTGCAGTGGCACAATCATGGCTCACTGCAGCCTCAAACTCCTGGGCTGGAGCAATCCTCCTATCTCAGCCTCCCAAGTAGCTGGAATCACAGGCATGCACCACCACACCCAGCTAATTTTTCTTTTCTTATTTATTTATTTTTGAGATGGAGTTTCGCTTTTTCTCCCAGGCTGGAGTGAAGTGGCGCGATCTTGCCTCACTGCAATCTCCACCCACTGGGTTCAAGCGATTCTCCTGTCTCAGCCTCTCAAGTAGCTGGGACTACAGGTGCCTGCCACCACGCCTGGCTAAGTTTTGTATTTTTAGTAGAGATGGGTTTTCTCCATGTTGGCCAGGCTGGTCTCGAACCTATGACCTCAGGTGATCCACCTGCCTCAGCCTCCCAAAGCACTAGGATTACAGGCATGAGTCACTGTGCCTAGCCCTGGCTAATTTTTTTTTTTTTAAGACAGGATCTTGCTATATTGCCCAGGCTAGTCTCAAACTCATATCCTCAAGCCATCCTCCCCTCTCTGCTTCCCAAAGTGCTGGGATTACATGCTTGAGCCACCACGCCCGACTCTTTTGTCTTCTTTCTTTCCTCAGCTGCCCACTTTTTTTTCTTTTCTTTTCTTTTCTTTTTTTTTGAGACGGAGTCTTGCTCTGTTGCCCAGATTGGAGTTCAGTGACACGATCTCAGTTCACTGCAACCTCCGCCTCCTGAGTTCAATCAATTATCCTGCCTCAGCCTCCCCAGTAGCTGGGATTACAGGCGCCCGCCACCACGCCTGGCTAATTTTTGTATTTTTTTAATAGAGATGGCGTTTCACCATGTTGGCCAGGCTGGTCTCGAACTCCTGACCTCAAGTGATCTGCCCGCCTTGGCCTCCCAAAGTGCAGGGATTACAGGTGTGAGCCCCCGTGCCCAGCCTGCCCACTTCATCTCTAGCTCCTCTTTCCCCAGGAACACCTGAAGGTCCTTAGCTTTGCCTTCCACGTTCTCCCCCAGGCCGAGCTACTGAGCCTCCTCCTTTTCAAGGATAGTGTCCTTAAAGGGGGTTCCCACTCCGTACTGAGCAGCAAAGAGCAGCAATACAACCTGAAGAAGTTACCAAATTTCCAGAAATCTGACCAAACCTCTTAGTCCTTAAAGACCAGGCGTCTTTTAAAAATCTTTGTATCCCGGCTGGGCAAGGTGGCTCATGCCTGTAATCCTAGCACTTTGGGCCTGAGGTCAGGAGTTCAAGACCAGCCTGGCCAACATGGCAACACCCTGTCTCAACTGAAAACACAAAAATTAGCCAGGCAAGGTGGCACACGTCTGTAATCCCAGTAACTCCGGAGGCTGAGGCAGGAGAATCACTTGAACCCGGGAGGCGGAGGTTGCAGTGAGCCGAGATCACACCACTTCACTCCAGCCTGGGCATAGGAGCGAAACTCCGTCTCGGGGGAAAAATAAATAAATCTTTGTATCCCAGGCTCCTAACATAGTTCCAAGCCTGTGATAAGGAAGTGTTTTAACTAACCTAATATATTACTTAAAACAAGGGGAAAAGAGCCATGTCATAGAAGCCAAGGGAATCAAAAGTTTCCAGAAGCGGATGCTCAATAACACCAACTATTACAGAGACATCAAATGAGGACCAAAAACCACGCTCCTAGATTTGCGAAGGGAAGGTCAATGGTGTGCTTTGTCATGACAGTTTTAGTGCAGGGGTGAAGGCAGGTGAAAGCGTGATTGAATTAATCATTGGTTGACTAATGACAGGTGGAGAAGGGAAGCTGGTCAGTGTAGACTATTATGTTGCGGGGAGAGCTGGCTCCTGAGGAGGTAGGAAGACTTCGGGAAATTGTCCTTGTTTTTTCTTATAGTGTTACTGTTTGTTCTTGTTTTTCCATGGGAGGTTCTCAGCTGAGGATAAGGGGTTAATGGAGAAGGAAAGGTTGAATGTATCAGAGAACGGCTAATAGAACAACAGTGCCATGGAGGTGGTGTGAAGAGTATGGAAGAGCGGCCTTAGCCTTGAGATGAAGACACATCTACTTTGGCCACTGAGGGGGAAGTTAGTGCTGGACGCAGTCACAGAAAAAACTGTGGGGGTAGGAAGTTTAGGGAATTTTCACCTGAGAGCCCTATTTTTTTTTTAAAGAGATAGGGGTCTTGGCTGGGTGTGGTGTCTCATGCCCGTAATTCTAGCACTTTGGGAGGTCAAGGAGAGGGGAATCACTTGATCCCAGGAGTTCTAGACCAGGCTGGGCAACATAGTGAGACCCAAACTCAAAAAAAAAAAAAAAAAGGAGAGAGAGAGAGAGATGAGGTCTCGCTATGTTGTCCAGGCTACAAAGCAGTGGCTATTCCCAGGAGGTGCAATCACGGCTTAGTGCAGCCTCAAATTCCTGGGCTCAAGTGGTCCTCCTGCCTCAGCCTCCCAGATAGTTGGGACTACAGGTACGCAACACCATGCCCAGCCTGAGCCCTAATTTTCGCAGGGATGTAGAAGCAAGGTGATCTGGCACAGAGGGTGGTCATGTTGGGTTGGGCTTGAAGAGAATGGTGATGATGGTAGAAGTCTCTGGAGGTGTATGAGCAGGAAAAATGGTTTGGAGTGCTACTGAGGACCCCACTAGGATCAAAGATCACAAACTCTTCAGGGTACCATGTGCATGGATCTGTGACTTCCTCCAGCTGAGCTCCCTGCCCAAAATGAGAGTCTTGGAGAAAGGAGAGTGATGACATAGGTTTAGGGTTCCCAGGGCATGAGTGGTGTTGATGATACAGTCAAGACAGAGGTTTAGATTGCAGATGTATTAGGTTGGTGCAAAGGTAATTGTGGTTTTTGCCCTAAAGTAATGCCAAAAACCACAATTACTTTTGCACGAACATATAAAATGAATCCCGGAGAAGCCTCGGTGTGACAAAGGGGGTAAGTTGAGGCATTGGAGGCTTAAGAGCGATGTCTGGATACTTGGGAGTAGGCGAGTGAGTCAGGTTGGATGAGGTTGAGGTTGGATAAGAATGACTGCTTTTCATTTCCTAGGTGGAGCAGCCAAAGATCATGACAAAGTCCAGGTGTGGCCCTGCGGCGGCTGGTTGCTGGGGAGTGTCAGTAAAGGCTGTGGACCCAGGAGAGCACCAGACACTACATGAAGAGGCAGGGCAAGTAGTGGTAATGATCTTATTGCCTGGACAAGGGGACCAGGGCTTTGCATTCAGGTATCTCTTACTCAGGTCAGTGTGCAAGTTCACCGGCCCCAGGAAGTCTGTTTCCTCTCTGTTTCTTTTTGAGACGGAGTCTTGCTCTGTCTCCCAGGCTGGAGTGCAACAGTGCAATCTCTGCTCACTGCAACCTCCGCCTCCTGGGTTCAAGCAATTCTCCTGTCTCAGCCTCCCGAGTAGCTGGGATTACAGGCACGCGCCACCATGCCCGGCTAATTTTTGTATTTTTAGTAGAGATGGGGTTTCACTATGTTGGCCAGGTTGGTCTTGAACTCCTGACCTCAGGTGATCAACCCACCTCAGCCTCCCAAAGTGCTAGGATTATAGGCATGAGCCACCATGCTGGCCTGTTTCCTTTCTGTTAAAGGCCATAATAATAGTGCCAATCTCATGGGATTGTTGTGAAAATTAAATGAGATCATATGTGTGAAGTGCTAAATGCAATGCCTGGCACATCATAAGCACTCAATAAATAACAGCTAGAAGAGGTCATTGCTATTAGTGAGATCTAGGCTTTCACTAGGAGTTCACAATGCTGGAAAGATAATGTACACCTGAAAAATATGTAAGGGGACATGTAGGGCCTTGTTTGTGGAAAGGGCAAAGATTTGTGGAATCAAACAAATTTGTGTTTGCATTCCAACTCTGCCACCTACCAGCTGCGTGGCTTGAGGCAAGCCATTTAAGCTGAGAGTAATGATAATGCCATGTGGTTAATATCTTCATTCTCCAATGTGTTAAGTGCCTACTAAGTACCAGCCACTATACGAGGTGTTAGAGATCAAGAGACTTTAAAAAGATACTTTCGGCCAGGTGCGGTGGTCATGCCTGTAATCCCAGCACTTTGGGAAGCTGAGATGGGTGGATCACCTGAGGTCAGGAGTTCAAGACCAGCCTGGCCAACATGATGAAAGCCTATCTCTACTAAAACTACAAAAATTAGCTGGGCGTGGTGGCGCATGCTTGTAATCCCAGCTACTCGGGAGGCTGAGGCAGGAGAATCCCCGGAACCTGGGAGGCAGAGGTTGCGCGGTGAGCCGAGATTGCGCCACTGTACTCCAACCTGGGCAACAGAGCGAGACTTCATCTCAAAAAAAAAAAAATATTAATAATAATAATAAAAAGACACTTTCAAGCTGGGTGTCGTGGCTCATGTCTGTAATCCCAGTACTTTGGGAGGCTTGAGGCAGGTGATTGCTTGAGCCTAGGAATTGGAGACCAGCCTGGGCAACACAGTGAGACAAAAAATACAAAAATTAGCTAGGAGTGGTGATGTATGCCTGTAGTTCCAGCTACTTAGGAGGCTGAGGTTGGAGGCTCATTTGAGCCCAGGAGTTTGAGGCTGCAATGAGCCATGATTGTGCCACTGTACTCCAGCCTGGGCAACAGAGCGAGACCCTGTCTCAAAAACAAAAGACACTTTATCCAGGCTCAAAGAGCACACAGTAGCACAGCGTAGCTGGGGAGGCAGATGAAGGTATGCTTATAATTGGGAAAACTAAGTGCTCTCACAAAGGTAGGTCTCAGGCAAGCAGGGAAATCGTGACACAGCAAGACTCCATCTCAAAAAAAAAAAGATAGGACAAAGTGACTTCTATAGCCTATGAAGGGACCATCAGAAACTACTGAATGGGTAGATCAAAGCCATAAAAAGAAAACTAGAAATCAGTTTAGGAATGAGCAGATTTGCAAAATGTGAGGGCAAAAAATGAGAAACTCCTTATCTGCACAGCTAAAATTCAACAGCTCTATCAAAATGGCTATAGAATCTACACCATAAATACTTGTTGATTTCCTAAGTACTTGCTTTAAGAAACAGGTACAAGGGAATGCCTTATTTACTAGTTCTTTGTTTCTTTTTCCTCTAATAGTTGAAAAGAGAGAAACTGGCCAGGTGCAGTGGATCACACCTGTCATCCCAGTACCCTGGGAAACCGAGGTGGGCGGATCACCTGAGGTGGCGAGTTTGAGACCAGCCTGACCAACATGGCGAAACCCCGTCTCCACTAGAACTACAAAAATTAGCCGGGCATGGTCGTGGGCGCCTGTGATCCCAGCTACTCGGGAGGCTGAGGCAGAAGAATCACTTGAGCCCAGGAGGAGGAGGTTGCAGTGAGCCGAGACTGTGCCACTGCATTCCAGCCTGGGCGACAGGGCGAGACCCTGTCTCGGAAAAAAAAAAAAAAAAGAGAAAAAAGAGAGAGAGAAAAACCAGGACTTTTCTCTCTGTCTTGCTGGAGCCTGTGCTGAACCCTGAATCCTGTTGATAGTTCTCCAATTTCATTTGGTGTTGAAGCCCCTGAAACTCCCAGGCTGCAGGTTGTAACTTGCAATTTGGTCCTCTGTCTCCCGCCTATCAGAGGAACACTTTCCATGGGAAGATATGGGCATTTCTAGTCTTGGGCTCTCTCTCTTTTTTTCTTTTTCTTTTCTTTTCTTTTTTAGAAGACGGAGTCTCACTTTGTCGCCCAGGCTGTAATGCAGTGGCGCGATCTCAGCTCACTGCAAGCTCTGCCTCCCAGGTTCACGCCATTCTCCTGCATCAGTCTCCGGAGTAGCTGGGACTACAGGTGCCCGCCACCACGCCCAGCAAATTTTTTTTGTATTTTTAGTAGAAACGGGGTTTCGCTGTGTTAGCCAGGATGGTCTCCATCTCCTGACCTTGTGATCCACCCGCCTCGGCCTCCCAAAGTGCTGGGATTACAGGCGTGAGCCACCGCGCCTGGCTGGGCTCTCTTTTAAGAATCATCTTCACTGCAAAAGTCAAAGGAGACAGAGTAGTATGAACAGAAGTCAAAAGGGGAAACAGCTCACAGGGGTTCTTCCCTGCAGTCCCTAGGGAGGCTACTGTCCTTTTCCTCTAAATATTTTCAGAACATTTTAAATGGTTTTGAGGACTTTAGAGAAAGTCCTCACTTCTTCTCTATTCTATTCTTCCCTTCCTTGAGGTCCTTAGGGGCTTTCCTCTCTTTTCAGTTTCAGCTTAAGTTTAAACACAATATTTCCATAGAAATGTTCTCTTGTTCTCTTTTTCTGCCTGCTTTGACTCTGTTTAAAAAGCCAGATTCAAGCTAGCACCAGGACGTGCCATTTAAAAATTAAATTTACCTGGTTATAAAAGAGATATAAAGTGACGTATGGAATCTTGGGACATTCCAAATCCTTATTTTTTATAACCTGAATGTAGGGAGGTGGTAATTAGGATGTGTGTTTAAGACAAGAGTACCAACCTGTGGTAACCAGTCTGGGGCCATGGCAAAGGTGACTTCAACACTAAATAAGAGCAAAAGAACAGTAGGGCAAAACAATTTCAATATAAAATCATACCCTTTATGATCTTTTTTAAAAAAAAAAAAAGATAGTGATGGTAGATAGTAATTTTTGTGTGCATTCTTTTTCAAATAATTTACTCGGTGACCTAGCACAATGGCTCACACCTGTAATTCCAACACTTTGGGAGGCTGAGGTGGGAGGATCACTTGAGGTCATGGGTTCAAGACCAGAGTGGGTAACATAGCGAGACACTGTTTCTACAAAAAATTTAAAAATCAGCTGGGCATGGTGGTGCATGCTTGTAGTCCCAGCTACTTGGGAGGCTAAGGTGGGAGGATCGCTTGAGCCTGGGAGGTTGAGGCTGCAGTGAGCTAAGATGGTGCCACTGCACTCCAGCCTGGGCACAGAATGAGACCCTGTCTCAAAAAAATATATACTTGCTAAAATTAAGAAGCTGTCATAGTGTCAAACACTGAGATTGGCAATCCTAATTTGGTTATCCTGATGTTGTTTACTTTATTGGGCTGTGAAAATCAAAGGACCTGCTGCACTAAACCCACTGCTGGTCTAGATGAGACCTCCTGAAGTGCAGAGGCAGTGCCCCTAAGAAAGAAATTTCCTTTTTTAAAAAAGAGGGCCTTCTGGGGTAGCATTTTCTATTTTTAACCTTTTTTGAAATTTTGATAAAAAACACGTAACATAAAACTTACTATTGGCCAGGCACAGTGGCTCACACCTGTAATCCCAGCATTTTGGGGGGGCTGAGGTGGGTGGATCACTTGAGGTCAAGAGTTTGAGACCAGCCTGGCCAACATGGTGAATCCCCATCTCTATTAAAAATATAAAAATTAGCTGTGTGTGATGGTGCACACCTGTAATCCCAGTCACTCTGGAGGCTGAGGCAGGAGAATCACTTGAACCCAGGAGGCAGAGACTGCAGTGAGCAGAGATCATGTCACTCACTGCATTCCAGCCTGGGCGACAGAGCAAGACTCCATCTCAAACAAACAAACAAACAACAACAAAAAGCTTACCATCTTGGCTGGGTGTAATGGCTCACACCTGTAATCCTAGTGCTTTGGGAGGCTGAAGTGAGGAGGATTACTTGAGGCCAAGAGTTCAAGACCAGCCTGGACAACATAGCGAGACTCCATCTCTACCAAAAAATGAAATATAAAAATTAGCTAGGTGTCGTGGTGCGTACCTGTAATTCCATCTAGGTGAGAGGCTGAAGCAGGAAAATCGCTTGAGCCCAGGAGTTTGAGGCTGCAGTGAGCTATGATCACACCACTGCACTCCAGTCTGGGCAAACAGAGCGAGATCCTGTCTCTAAAAAAACCCAAAAAACCTTACTGCCTTAACCACTCTTAAGTGGTTAGGTGGCGTTAAGTACATTTACATTGTTGTGCAACCATCACCACCATTCATTTCCGCAGCTGAAATCTTCCCAAGCCGAATCTCTGCACCCATTGAATACTAACTCCTCATACCCCCTTCTCCTAGCCCTTAGTAACCTCCAGTCTACTTTCTATCTCCATGAATTTGACTACCATGTGTATCTCATATATGTAGAACCATGCAGTGGTTGTTCTTTTGTGTCTGGCTTATTTCACCTAGCATAATGTTTTCAAGGCCCATCATCCATGTTGCAGCATGTTTCAGAATTTCCTTTCTTTTAAAGGTATTTTTAGACCGGACACAGTGGCTTATGCCTGTAATCCCAGCACTTTGGGAGACTGAGGTGGGTGGATCACCTGAGGTCAGGAGTTCGAGACCAGCCTGGTCAACATGGCAAAACTACGTCTCTACTAAAAATATGAAAATTAGCCAGGATTGGTGGCACATGCCTGTAATCCCAGCTACTGTCGAGGTTGAGGCATGAGAGTCGCTTGAAGCCAGGAGGTGGAGGTTGCAGTGAGCCGAGATCATGCCACTGTACTCCAGCCTGGGTGACAGAGCTAGATCCATCTCAAAAAAAAAAAAGTATTTTTATACTTTTTGACAACATTGCTTGTATTGAAGATACTCAATAACAGGATGGTTGGTAAAAGGGCAAGTCTTACCAGCTTTCTGTATTTACTCATCTGTAAAATGGTTCTGAGTTCTATTACTATCATTTAAACACATCTAAGCAGGGGTCACAAACCCACAAGGTCCAGGCGCATGTGTGGTAAAGCCACCTGGAGGGGGGCCGTGGTGAAGTGGAGAGACGGGTCTCTGATAAAGGTGGCTGCTGCTATTTAGTTCCAATCCACTCTGTCCAATATGTAATGTAGGCCCAGTACTGCATGCACAAATCTGATTTCACACTCTGTTACCCAAGCTGGTCTCAAACTCCTGGCCTCAAGCAATCCTCCTGCCTCAGCATCCTAAAATGCTGGGATTCCAGGTGTGAGCCCCTGCACCTGGCCACAAATCTGATTTTTATGTGTTGGCCAACACTGTTGGGCCAAACAGAACATGTTTGCGTGCTGGCTCTGGCACCCAGGCCACCTGTTAGAATGTCTGCCAGGGCTAATAAAAAGCTAATTTTAGTGTGGCCTCATTCATTAATTCATGCAATTAATGTTTATGGGTCTCTACTAAAGGCTAGGTTACACATATGTTAATCTTATTTAAAAATGTACCTATTTTACTAGGTATTAGTATCATATCCACTTTTCATATTAAAGACAAGCCCAGAGCGGTCAAATAACTTGCCCCTGGTCACACAGTGGGAAGCGCTGAGGTGGGCTTTGAACTCAGATGGTTTTCAGAGCCCAAGGTCCTGTCTCAAAGGAGGGGGACTCACAGGACAATGTTAACCCGTGGACCTATGGACACTCCCAGAAAACGTGATTTGCAACTTGTCGTGAAGGACGAGCTCAGCAAACAAGGCCGGACGTCAATCCAGGCAGAGGAAATAACTTGAGCCAGGGATCAAACACTAAGATTGGCAGGAAATGAGCAGGAAGAGGTAGCGGGGTCCCTGACGCCATCTATTCAATTGTTTTTCAGAAGAGGTATCAGCTCTTGAAGGCTTACTTCTCAATACTGGCTGCGAGAGCAAGAATGGTGTGTAATTTACAAAAGCCGTCATTGCTGTAGGTAAGTTGTAGCAAACGACTCGCGCCCGAGCATTCCCGCCCCCGCCTTCGCTGCGGCCCCGCCCACGACGACCCTGGGGAACTACAAGTCCCGCCATACAGCGGGGAGCGCCCGGAGCTCGCGCCGGCCCCGCCCCCAGCCCGGTCCCCACCCCCGGCTCCGCCCCCGGCCCCCTCCCGCCGGGTCAACCCCGAAGAGTCGCCGGTGGCCGCGGCAGACGGAAGCCGAACGAGTTCCTCGGCGGCTGCAGGATGGGGGACTCCAAAGTGAAAGTGGCGGTGCGGATACGACCCATGAACCGGCGAGGTGAGAGCCGAGCCCTCCTGGGCCGCCGGGGCGGAGGCGGCAGGTGCCTGGCGCGCCCTTCCCTCGGCCGCCGTGGGGGGTCCGGCGGCCCCGCCCCTATAGTCAGCGGCGGGGCGCGAGGAGGGGCCCGGGGACCCTGAAACCCGCTCCCGCGCTGAGACGCCCGGCTCCCTCTTCTCCCCTCCCTTCCCCCCTGGCCAGCCCCGTCCCTGGCGCCGTCGGGCCCCTCGTGCCGGCCCCGCTGCCCCTTCCGCCTGCGCCCGCCCCGCCCCTGCGCCCTTTTGCCCTCTCGTCTCCCCCGGAGGTTCCCGAGGGCGCCCTCGGCCCTCGCGCCCAGCCTCGTCCTGGCCCCTCAGCCTCGCTCCTTCCCCGCCAGCTGTCATCGTCGCCCCCGCGCGCGGGTCGCCAGCCCCTGCAGCCCGCCTCGGGACCGCCCGGGACCCCCCGGGACCCCGCGTCTCGCCCGGGTCGCCCAAGCCTGCACCGCCTTGGCCCGCGGCGGGAAGAAGGGCAGGGGGCCAGGCGGGTGCCCCGCGGCGAGTTCCTTCCACCTGGGCGTCCTGAGATTGGGGTCAGGTGGAGGAGATGCCCTTTTCGTTGTTTTTGGACAGTTGAGAAAGTTTTGGTTTTGCCTGAAGTCTCATTCATCATCTCTCAATAAATAGCTAAAGTGCCAAGATTCTTGTGGAATTGTATCTTTCTGACATTCTCTTAACTCTGCAGGGAGTGTAGAGAAGGCAGATAAACCGAGTACATTTAAATAATCTGTAGACCCGGGGAGTGGAGAGAACCCCAAAAGTCAGGGGAGGAGGTGGGCTGGGTCTTGGCTTTGATAGTCAAAGCAGCATGACTGGGTGAGTTGCTTTAAATAAGATAATGTGTTTGAAAACGCTTTATATACAAGGTCCTGTCATTGGGGGTCACTATTACTGTCTCAGGAGATGACTTTGCCATTGATGAGACTTTGAACTAATTAGAATCATTTAAGTACCAGAGACAAAGTTGTAGCTTCTTAGCAAAATCAAGTGTTGTTTAATTTTTATGTAGAAATTATAGGTTGTTTTCCTCTTCTTTGCTTTCTTTTGTATATATTGAGACATACAGATCAACCAGTTGACATAAGCTTTGTTGGTTTGTCCTTCTCGGGGAAATTGGTTTCTCGCTTGGAGTTATCTCATCTATGGGAATTGTTTTGTCCTGTTCCTGCTAGGTCCGATTAAAGCTGTCAGGTGAGTTTTTTTCCCTAAGAACTTAATTACTTTAAGTTCTCAACTAGTGCAAGATTGAGTCCTGCTTTGCTTCACTAATCTCGTGCTCTGACAACACACAATAAACGTCGATACAATTCTGAAAATTTTCAGAAGCATCAGTTTTTAAATATTCAGGTATCTGTATTTCAGTTTACTTCCAGTTTACCATCACAATAATTTAAAGAAAGAAGCCAAATGAAACATAACTTATCTGGGAATTGATTCTGAAAGGATGGTTTCAGCACATTCTTAAAATTTCCTTTTCACAAAAAACTTGGAAATGTCAGTGCTAAAAAGAGGCCGCTAACCAACCACCACAAAAGACATCTCAGATATTTAGAGCCCTTTCCCTCTCCCTTTCCCCATTGGTTTCACTTTTTGAGGGAAATTCTTATGCTTTTCTCTTATAAATTGCCATTGATAAGGTTGTAATAAACATCAGAGTTTAGAGGAAGGCAAAGAATAATAGTTTTAGCTGTGGAACGGATGTGAGCTGATCCTTGGGTTCAACAATCATTTTGAAATTGAGGTTTACCCATAGATTCCATTAGCCTATATAGAGAAGTGCATTATTTGGTGTAAAGTACCTCCTGTGTTCACTTAGTGCCCATTCTTAGCCTTATATTTCCTGACGTGCATGTGGACTTCTTTTTTCAGTGATTACCACACATAAATTTGTTCTTTTCCATTTTTGTTATGAAGTAATTGTTCACATAAATATAAAGGTTATTATGGAATACAGTGTGGTGGGATTGTAAATCCAGTGATTTTTAAAAATTGGTGTCCAAAGTTTGTATAAAAAGACTAAAACAGGCCAGGCACGGTGGCTTACGCTTATAATCCCAGCACTTTGGGAGGCCGAGGCGGGTGGATCACCTGAGGTCAGGAGTTCGAGACCAGCCTGCCTAACATGGCAAAACCCTGTCTCTACTAAAAATACAAAAAATTAGCCGGGCGTGGTGGTGGACGCCTGTAATCCCAGCTACTAAGGAGGCTGAGGCGGGAGAATAGCCTGAACCCAGGAGGCGGAGGTTGCAGTGAGCCAAGATCGTGCCACTGTGCTCCACCCTGGGCGACAAGAGTGAAACTCTGTCTCAAAAAAAAAAAAGACTAAAACAAAACCATATTTCTTTCCAGTAATTTCCTTTTTTTTCTTCCTTGTATGATCTGTAGGAACCTTTCCAGTAATTTTGAAAAGAATATTACTTTGAACAGTTATTAGTATTATGTAATACTGTATAATTATGACAAAGAGTAAAACTTGAGTCCTAATAGTTTCTATCATATAGGTGCCGGAAGCAACCTTATAAATCGCTATCTATAAAAGAGGACGGGGATGAGAATGGGTTACTGTGATGATGTAGTTTTACTGTGTAGACTCTGATATTTGGAATCACATTAGCTATCTTTTGAGGAAAATCTGAAAATTTCCAGAAAACTCTGGTGTATTAAGTTCTTGTGTGATTCAGTGGTTGTGCTTAGGTGTTTGGAGTTTTAAGGTGGTTAGCTGATTTATTATTTAACAGTTATCCTCGAAGTGAGAGTATTTTAGTCTTTCTGCTAAACTGTATGTGGGTTTGGGAACCTTAGTTATTTGAAGGTTAAGCATTAGGCCCTAATTCAGTAACAGGAAGAGTTGTAATGGCTAATTTGTCAGAAATATTTGTCTAGTCATACATTTATTTTAACATTCCACTAACAAAAGGAAAAAGAAAAAGAAAAAAGTTCACATACTTTCTTCATCCTAACAGCTTTTCATTTCCATGCCAGTTTGTGCTCACACGTGTATGTAATTTTACATAATTTTAATATTACAACCTTTATTTTGCCTTTCTTCATCTGAGATGCAAAGCTAAACAACTAGAGAAAAGGGTAAATTTTTGTCACAAGATCTTCAAGTTCTATTTGCAGATATCGTTTGTTTTCCAGTGTTGTTGTTCAGACTGTACAGCTAAACAGATAATTCTTGTGTGCTTCCATGTGCCGCACAGAACACCCATTCATACATTATTAACCCGTCTAATCATTACAGGAGCTGAAAGTTCTGTAGCCGTAATTGGTGGGATTAGTTAGATCAGCAACATTCTCCTTTCCAGGAATTTGATGTTTTCTAACTTTAGGTGGCTTAAAAAACATTTAATAGGTAAGCAAACATTGATTGAGTGCCTGCCAGGTATCTGGCTTATATTAGATAGGATGAGATCTTAATGCTTTTCCTCAAGGGATTTCCTGTGTGTAAATCTGTATAAGATCAACTACCAAAATAAGTAAATATCTATAAAAGGTGTTTGGAATACCTTTGTTACCTACCTAGCCTAAGGGGGTAGAACCGGGAAACGAAAGAAATGAAGATAGAAACAGTGAAATAGATTATTTCAGGTGTTAGGGAGAATGGACAAGAAATTTATTTCAGGAGATATTTCAAATGAGTTTACTTGGCATTTTCCAATACTTGATGTGGTGAAAGACACAGAAGTATGTAATAATGTCTAATAGAGTCAATGTAGAGTCAGTGCCTTGGTAATCATGATCTAGTATCTCAATGGAGGGACTATTATACAGCGATTAAAATGATGACAGTCAAAACCATTTAACAAGGAAGATCGTTTTCTCTGTTAGTGGAAAAAGAATGTAAAGCTGTACGTGTAACTGATCAAATCTATTATTATTACTATGTAAAAATGTATACAGGAATGGGCAAGAGCTAGAAAGAAACATGAAAAAGTGAAATTGATTGTTCTTGTTAGGGGGATTTTACTTCCTAAAAGTTTTCTTAGGGTTGCCTGTTACCATCATATTCAGTTTCTTAAAGCATGCTTTATGGTTCATGCCTGTGAGGAAATGACTGTCATGGGCTTGAAAAGAAAATGCCTGTGAAAAGATTAGATTAAAAGGTAAACAGCTGTAGCAGGCTGCTAGTTACTAAGTGCCAGGTGAATGACAGGGAAATAAGGGAATCGAGAGGAGTTTAGACTTCACTGAGGAGGGTGAACTTTGGTTGGACTTCCAGGGAGGAAGCTTATGATGTGAGCACGGGAGAGGGGATGGCATGTATTCTTTGAGGAGGAAGTATGGCCTGAGAGTGAGGACACAGAGACTAGAATGAGTAAAGCAGGTTTAGGCAGCAGAGATGAGATCTGCCTGCCAGAATGGAGATTCTGTGAGGATAGCTAGAGAATGATGGGACAGGAAAGGTCAGGTGGATTGCAGGAAGCCCTGAAAGCAGCCAGGCCAGAAGTCCGGACCTAGGGTGGCTGGTCCACGCACTCTGTTTTGCTTCTTGGGACCTTGTATGGGGCTTGGACACAAACACAACGGGGAAAGATTGCTAGATCCCAAAGCAAGATTGGAAGCTTCAGTAGATGACCGATTTCTGGCATAGCTGGGCAGGATTTAAAAGCGCTTGCTGAAAATGAAGCCTTGTGAATGGGAAGCATAAGGAAGTCGGTCAAAATTAAGCAGCTGTGAATCAACAGGCAAAGGAAAAACCCAGCAAGTGCGAGGAAGCTTAGAAGATGCTGGTAGTCAGTGAAGATAGAGGTGACCCTTAGGAAATGAAGGGACAGGAGAAGGTGGCTTTGACCCCTGGGGTCATTGGTGATTCTTCAGTATTCTCAGAGAGATCACTGACAGATGTGGAGCCAAGGAGGACCGTGGATGGAAATTTCTGGCAGTATTTGCTAAAACAGAAGATACTTGTTTTGTCAGCATCTGCTTGACATGCTAATGGTGAATGAGACACACATGTATTACAACATTGTTTTGTTTCTACTGTCAACTCAGTGACTGAAATTTGGATATATGCACATAGGGCCAGAGGCATTTTGAGAAGAAGGTATACTTTTAAATTCTTTTCCCCAAATCTCCTGTTTTTTGTTTGTTGGTTGGTTTCTTTGTTTTTATTTATTTATTTTTTTTGAGACAGGGTCTCCCTCTGTTGCCCAGGCTGGAGTGCAGTGGCATGATCATCACTCACTGCATCCTCAACCTCAACCTCCTGGGCTCTAGCGATATTCCTGCTGCAGCCTGCTGTGGAGTTGGTACATAGGTGTGCACAACCATGTCTGTCTAATTTCAATATTTTTTGTAGAGATAGGGTCTCACTTTGTTGCTCTGGCTGGCCAGACCTCTTTTCAAGAAATATACATTTATAATATAAAATACAATGTTGTTTAATTGGCATTAGCTTTTACCCTCTCACCTCCATAAAACAATAACTGTCCGACTTTTCCACTTCTTAAGTGCTGAAAATGGAAGAAACCACTGACAAAACTATTAATTAAGGAGATGGATTGAAGTGCTGATTGAGTGGAAATGGATGTATTGATCTCTATGCTTGCTCCTCAAGTTCCCCTTGTGTTTGGCAGAGCATGTTCTTTAAAAAAAAAAACAAAAACTCGACCAAGATGAGCAGTGTGCCCTGTGACCTGGGAAGTGCGTGAAACTAACTGGTCCACTCCATGCAAGTCCATGACTTAACTGTATGGGGCTTTCGCTCTGAGGAGATAAAGATATCTTTAGAAAATGGTATCCATTAGTCATTCATTTCAACAGTGTTGACTGAAGAAAAAGAAAATAGCTGCTTTTTGACAACTTTCTATTTGCGAGCAATGGAGTTCAATGCTTTTTAATGCATTATTTTATTCTTCAAACCAGACTTTGAAAAGGAATTGTAGGCCAGGTGTGGTGGCTCACCCCTGTACTCCCAGCACTTTGGGAGGCCGAGGTGGGTGGATCACTTGAGGCCAGGAGTTTGAGACCAGACTGGCCAACATGGTGAAACCCTGTCTCTACTAAAAATACAGAAACTAGCTGGGTGTGGTGGTGAGTGCCTGTAATCCCAGCTACTCAGGAGGCTGAGGTGGGATAATCGCTTCAACCTGGAAGGCGGAGGTTGCAGTGAGCTGAAATCGCACCACTGCACTCTAGCCTGGGCGACAGAGCGAGACTGTCTCAAAACAAACAAACAAACAAACAAAAAAAGTAGTAATTGTAGCATTTCTATGTAGCAGAACCTCAGAGAGGTTAATTAACATTCCCAGAATTACAAAACCCACCTGTGCTTTTACTACAATGTTGGACATGATTATCTTTAAGAGGATCTTGCTATCCTGAGATGACACCATTTTCAAAGATGTGCAGGATAAACTGGAAGCATAAGTCTTGATCTTCCATCAAAGGAGCTCCCAGTCTTGTTGATAATAAGATGCACATGTGAGTTCATTGGAAGAATATATGTACCTAGTGCACTGATGGCAGCCAATCATGAATTAAAGAAATGGGGGTGGAATTTGAGAACAGCACAGAAGACAGCACAAGCAGGCCCCTTGGCTCCAAGTTCCACCGGGGTGACGTGGAGGAATCCAGATGGGTGCTGCACATACAGTGGGTTTGTGTCGGCATCTGAGGATCACTGAACTTGGGGAATCCGCTGCAAAGTCTCTGATTTAGATGACTAGGTGAATGCTGGTGTCATTAACTGAATCAGAAGCACAGGAGAAGCAGGTTTTAGGGTGGAGGTGTGGGAAATGATGAGTTCTAGTCTCAGTCAACAGTGTGTCGTCAGTGCTTATGTGCTGTGTACCCTGCCTGCAACTATGAATAAGATGCAGTGTGTGCCTGGAAGCAACTCAGCACAATTGAGTTTTAGGTGTCTGAAGTGCAGCCAGGTGGATGGATCCAGAAGGCCATTGTGAATATGAGTCTGAAACGAAGGGACTGGACGTAGGTGTAGATTTCGGAGTCATTACTGTAGGTAGAAGATAGAGCACCTCAGGTGTGTCTGTGACAGAGGCGGTCACAGAGGCCAAGAAGAGCAACCTCAGGAGAATCAGGTGAAAGCAATGTTGTGGATGCCTAGGGAGGAAAAATGTGTCAAAAGAGTGAAAGGTGAAAGCAATCACATGTCACAGGAATGGCCGCGTGATTAACACAGAATTGTGTTCAGTGGATTTGGCATTATGATGGTCAGTGTTCATTTTCAGGATAATTTCACTGAAACGAATTAATTGGTATTGGGCATTGGCAGTGGGCTGAGGAGTGAGTGGGCGTGCCAGTATGGAGGCAGCGAGTCTCAAGAACATTCCTCTGAGAAACTCCAGGTAGAAGGGGAGGGTTCAGAGTGGTACCTGGAGGGGTAGGTACCTTTTTTTAAAAAAAAAAGTTTTGGGGAGATATTTGAACCTTGTATAGATAGAGCCAATAGATAGAAGTTTTTGAAATATGGGAGGAAGAGAATAATTATATAATGGGAAAGCCCAGGAATTTCAAGCTTAATTTTCTTGATGGGGTAGAATGTGAGGTTATTGAAAGTAGGAGGAATTGGGTGAGCTGGGGTCTTCTGAGTAGTGAATGTGTAGGAATGTGGTTGAAGGACCCTAACTGTATTTTCTATCTATTGAGGGTACTGGGGTCATCCATTCCGAGTTTTTTCTTCTTGGTTTTTAGATATAAGTCACATCCCCAAAGTGTACCATTCACTGGGTTTTAGTTTACTCACAGACTTGTGCAGCCATTATTAGTATACAATTCCAGAACATTTTCATCACCCCACAGAGGAACCTTGTAACTGTTAGCAGTCAGTCTCCATTTCCCACTTCCCAGCCCCTGGCAACCACTAATCTACTTCCTGACTCTATGGATTTGCTTATTCTGGACATTTAATACATGGAATCCTATATTATGTGGACTTTTGTATCTCACTTCTTTCACTTGGTATAATGTATTCAGGGCTCATCCATGTTTTGTCATGAATCAATACTTCATTCTTTTTATAGCTGAACAACATTCTGTTACACAGATATGCTGTGTTTTGTATTCATTCATCAATTGATGGGCATTTGGCTTGTTTCCAATTTTTGGCTATTATGAATGATGCTCCTTTGAACATTTATGTACAGGCTTTTGTGTAGACATGTGTTTTCATTTTTCTCAGATACGCATATGTATAGGAGTGGAATTTCTGAGTCATATAGTAACTAACTTTTGAGGAACTGTTTTCCAAAGCATATGAACCATTTTACATTCCCATAGAAATGCATGAAGGTTCCACTTTCTCCACATCCTCACCAACACTTGTTCTTGTCTCTCTCCATGAGTATTGCTATCCTAGTGGGTATGAGGTGGTATCTGATTGTGGTTTAGATTTGCCTTTCTCTGGTAGATAATGTTGAGCGTCTTTTCATGTGCATATTGGCCGTTTGTATAGCTTGAGAGAGATCTCTATTCACATCTTCCCCTTATTTCAAAAACTATATCTTTTTATTACTGAGTTGTAAGACTTCTTCATACATTCTGTATACCATTCTGTTATCAAATAGATGATTTGCAAATATTTTGATTTTATGGGTTTCTTTTTCACTCCCTTGTGTCCTTTGATGCATGAAAGTTTTAAATTTTGATGAAGTCCAGTTTATTTTTAGTTGCTTGTGATTTTGCTGTGATTTCTGAGAAACCATTATCTAACATCATGTGGATTTTCATTTGTTTTCTTCTAAGAGTTTGATAGGTTTAGCTCTTACATTTAGATCTTTGATCCAGTTGGAGTTTTGAATGTGGTATGAGGTAGGGATCCAACTTCATTCTTTGGCATGTGGATATCCAGTTGTTCTAGAACCATTTGATGAAAAGACTGTTCTTTCTCCATTAGATTGTCTTGGTACCCTTGTCAAAATCAATTGACCATAACT